>NC_000004.12:50475269-50791424 GCF_000001405.40 Homo sapiens | reverse complement strand
AAGTTTCTGAGAATGCTTCTTTCTGGTTTTTATGAGAAGATATTTCCTTTTTCACCATAGGCCTCAAAGAGCTCGAAATGTCCGCTTCCAGGTAGGGCAGAAAGAGTGTTTCAAACCTGCTCTATGAAAGGACGTGTTCAACTCTACTGAGTTGAATGCAAACATCACAGAGATGTTTCCGAGAATGCTTCTGTCTTGATTTTATAGGAAGATATTCCGGTTTCCAACGAAATCTTCAAAGCTATCCAAATATCCACCTGCAGATTCTACAAAAGGAGTGTTTCCAAAATGCTGTATCAAAACAAAGGTTCAACTCTGTTAGTTGAGGACACACATCACAAATAAGTTTCTGAGAATGCTTCTGTCTAGTTTTTATTTGAAGGTATTTCCTTTCTCTCCATAGGCCTGAAAGCGCTTGAAATGCCCACTTCCAGATACTAGAGAAAGAGTGTTTCAAACCTGCTCTATGAAAGGGAATGTTCAATTCTGTGACTTGAATGCAAACATCACAAAGAAGTTCCTGAGAATGCTTCTCTCTAGATATTATATGTCATCCCGTTTCCAACGAAATCCTCAAAGCTATCCAAATATCCACTTGCAGATTCTACAAAAAGAGTGTTTCAAAACTGCTCTGTCAAAAGGATGGTTCAACACTGTTACATGAGTACACACAACACAAAGAAGTTTCTGAGAATGCTTCTTTCTGGTTTCTATGAGAAGATATTTCCTTTTTCACCATAGGACTCAAAGCGCTCGAAATGTCCTCTTCCAGGTAGTGCAGAAAGAGTGTTTCAAACCGGCTCTATGAAAGGAAGTGTTCAACTCCATGAACTGAATGCAAACATCACTGAGAAGTTTCTGAGAATGCTTCTGTTTGATTTTATATGAAGAAATTCCCGTTTCCAACGAAATCTTCAGAGCTATCCACATATCCACCTGCAGATTCTACAAAAGGAGTGTTTCCAAAATGCTGTATCAAAACCAAAGTTCAACTCTGTTAGTTGAGGACACACATCACAAATAAGTTTCTGAGAATGCTTCTGTCTAGATTCTATATGACGATATCCCCTTTCCAACGAATCCCTCTAAGCTATCCAAATATCCACCTGCAGATTCTACAAAAAGAGTGTTTCCAAAATGCTGTATCAAAACAAAGTTTCAACTCTGTTAGTTGAGGACACACATCACAAATAAGTTTGAGGATGCTTCTGTCTAGTTTTTATTCGAAGATATTTCCTTTCTCACCATAGGCCTGAAAGCGCTTGAAATGTCCACTTCCAGATACTACAGAATGAGTGTTTCAAACCTGCTCTATCAAAGTGAATGTTCAATTCTGTGACTTCAATGCAAACATCACAAAGAAGTTCCTGAGAATGCTTCTCTCTAGATTTTATATGTAATCCCGCTTCCAACGAAATCCTCAGAGCCATCGGAATATCCACTTTCTGATCCCACAAAAAGAGTGTTTTAAAACTGCTCTGTAGAAACAAAAGTTCAACTCTGTTAGTTGAATACACACATCACAAACAAGTTTCTGAGAATGCTTCTGTCTAGTTTTTACGGGAAGATATTTCCTTTTTCACCATAGGCCTCAAAGCGCTCGAAATGTCCACTTCCAGATAGAGCAGAAAGAGTGTTTCAAACGTGCTCTATAAAAGAGAATATTCAACTCTGTGACTTGAATGGAAACATCACAAAGCAGTTTCTGAGAATGCTTCCGTCTAGATTTTATATGAAGATATTCCCGTTTCCAACGAAATCTTCAAATCTATCTAAATATCAACTTGCAGATTCTACTAAAGGAATGTTTCCAAAATGCTGTATCCAAGCAATGGTTCAACTCTGTTAATTGAGGACATACAGCACAAAGAAGTTTCTGAGAATGCTTCTGTCTACATTTTATATGAAGATATCCCGTTTCCAACGAAATCCTCAAAGCTATCCAAATATCCACTTGCAGATTCTACAAAAAGATTGTTTCAAAACTGCTGTGTCAAAAGGAAGGTTCAACTCTGTTACTTGAGTACACACATCAAAAAGCAGTTTCTGAGAATGCTTGTTTCTGGTTTTTATGAGAAGATATTTCCTTTTTCACCATAGGCCTCAAAGCGCTGCAAATGTCCACTTCCAAATATTACAAAAAGAGTGTTTCAAACCTGCTCTATGAAAGGAAGTTTTCAACTCTATGAGTGGAATGCAAACATCACAGAAAAGTTTCTGAGAATGCATCTGTCTTGAGCTTCTATGAAGAAATTCCCGTTTCCAACGAAATCTTAAAATCTATCCAAATATCCACCTGCAGATCCTACAAAAGGAGTGTTTCCAAAATGCTGTATCAAAACAAAGGTTCAACTGTGTTCGTTTAGGACACACATCACAAATAAGTTTCTGAGAATCCTTCTGTCTAGTTTTTATTTGAAGATATTTCCTTTCTCCCCGTAGGCCTGAAAGCGCTTGAAATGTCCACTTCCAGATACTACAGAAAGAGTGTTTCAAACCTGCACTCTGAAAAGGAATGTTCAATTCTGTGACTTGAATGCAAACATCAGAAAGAAGTTCCTGAGAATGCTTCTCTCTAGATTTTATACGTCATCCCGTTTCCAACGAAATCCACAAAGCTATCCAATTATCCACTTTCAGATTCCACAAAAAGAGTGTTTTAAAATTGCTCTGTAACAGAAATGTTCAACTCTGTTAGTTGAATACACACATCACAAACAAGTTTCTGAGACGGCTTCTGTCTAGTTTTTATGGGAAGATATTTCCTTTTAACCATAGGCCTCAAAGAGCTCGAAATATCCACTTCCAGGTAGTGCCGAAAGAGTGTTTCAAACCTACTCTATAAAAGGGAATATTCAACTCTGTGACTTGAATGCAAACATCACAAAGCAGTTTCTGAGAATGCTTCCGTCTAGATTTTCTATGAAGATATTCCCGTTTCCAACGAAATCTTCAAAGCTATCTAAATATCAACTTGCAGATTCTACTAAAGGAATGTCTCCAAAATGCTGTATCCAAACAAAGGTTCAGCTCTGTGAATTGAGGACATACAACACAAAGAAGTTTCTGAGAATGCTCCTGTCTGGATTTTATAGGAAGATAACCCGTTTCCAACGAAATCCTCAAAGCTATCCAAATATCCACTTGCAGATTCTACCAAAAGAGTGTTTCAAAACTACTCTGTCAAAAGGAAGGTTCAACACTGTTACTTGAGTACACACAACACAAAGAAGTTTCTGAGAATGCTTCTTTCTGGTTTTTATGAGAAGATATTTCCTTTTTCACCATAGGCCTCAAAGCGCTCGAAATGTCCGCTTCCAGGTAGTGCAGAAAGAGTGTTTCAAACCTGCTCTATGAAAGGAAGTGTTCAACTCTACTGAGTTGAATGCAAACATCACAGAGATGTTTCCGAGAATGCTTCTGTCTTGATTTTATATGAAGATATTCCGGTTTCCAACGAAATCTTCAAAGCTATCCAAATATCTACCTGCAGATTCTACAAAAGGAGTGTTTCCAAAATGCTGTATCAAAACCAAGGTTCAACTCTGTTAGTTGAGGACACACATCACAAATAAGTTTCTGAGAATGCTTCTGTCTAGTTTTTATTTGAAGGTATTTCCTTTCTCTCCATAGGCCTGAAAGCGCTTGAAATGCCCACTTCCAGATACTAGAGAAAGAGTGTTTCAAACCTGCTCTATGAAAGGGAATGTTCAATTCTGTGACTTGAATGCAAACATCACAAAGAAGTTCCTGAGAATGCTTCTCTCTAGATATTATATGTCATCCCGTTTCCAACGAAATCCTCAAAGCTATCCAAATATCCACTTGCAGATTCTACAAAAAGAGTGTTTCAAAACTGCTCTGTCAAAAGGATGGTTCAACACTGTTACATGAGTACACACAACACAAAGAAGTTTCTGAGAATGCTTCTTTCTGGTTTCTATGAGAAGATATTTCCTTTTTCACCATAGGACTCAAAGCCCTCGAAATGTCCTCTTCCAGGTAGTGCAGAAAGAGTGTTTCAAACCGGCTCTATGAAAGGAAGTGTTCAACTCCATGAACTGAATGCAAACATCACTGAGAAGTTTCTGAGAATGCTTCTGTTTGATTTTATATGAAGAAATTCCCGTTTCCAACGAAATCTTCAGAGCTATCCACATATCCACCTGCAGATTCTACAAAAGGAGTGTTTCCAAAATGCTGTATCAAAACCAAAGTTCAACTCTGTTAGTTGAGGACACACATCACAAATAAGTTTCTGAGAATGCTTCTGTCTAGATTCTATATGAAGATATCCCCTTTCCAACGAATCCCTCTAAGCTATCCAAATATCCACCTGCAGATTCTACAAAAAGAGTGTTTCCAAAATGCTGTATCAAAACAAAGTTTCAACTCTGTTAGTTGAGGACACACATCACAAATAAGTTTGAGGATGCTTCTGTCTAGTTTTTATTCGAAGATATTTCCTTTCTCACCATAGGCCTGAAAGCGCTTGAAATGTCCACTTCCAGATACTACAGAATGAGTGTTTCAAACCTGCTCTATAAAAGTGAATGTTCAATTCCGTGACTTCAATGCAAACATCAGAAAGAAGTTCCTGAGAATGCTTCTCTCTAGATTTTATACGTAATCCCGCTTCCAACGAAATCCTCAGAGCCATCCGAATATCCACTTTCTGATTCCACAAAAAGAGTGTTTTAAAACGGCTCTGTAAAAACAAAAGTTCAACTCTGTTAGTTGAATACACACATCACAAACAAGTTTCTGAGAATGCTTCTGTCTAGTTTTTATGGGAAGATATTTCCTTTTTCACCATAGGCCTCAAAGCGCTCGAAATGTCCGCTTCCAGATAGTGCAGAAAGAGTGTTTCAAACGTGCTCTATAAAAGGGAATATTCAACTCTGTGACTTGAATGGAAACATCACAAAGCAGTTTCTGAGAATGCTTCCCTCTAGATTTTATATGGAGATATTCCCTTTTCCAACGAAATCTTCAAATCTATCTAAATATCAACTTGCAGATTCTACTCAAGGAATGTTTCCAAAATGCTGTATGCAAGCAATGGTTCAGCTCTGTTAATTGAGGTCATACAGCACAAAGAAGTTTCTGAGAATGCTTCTGTCTAGATTTTATATGAAGATATCCCGTTTCCAACGAAATCCTCAAAGCTATCCAAATATCCACTTGCAGATTCTACAAAAAGATTGTTTCAAAACTGCTGTGTCAAAAGGAAGGTTCAACTCTGTTACTTGAGTACACACATCAAAAAGAAGTTTCTGAGAATGCTTGTTTCTGGTTTTTATGAGAAGATATTTCCTTTTTCACCATAGGCCTCAAAGCGCTGCAAATGTCCACTTCCAAATATTACAAAAAGAGTGTTTCAAACCTGCTCTATGAAAGGAAGTTTTCAACTCTATGAGTGGAATGCAAACATCACAGAGAAGTTTCTGAGAATGCATCTGTCTTGAGTTTATATGCAGAAATTCCCGTTTCCAACGAAATCTTAAAATCTATCCAAATATCCACCTGCAGATCCTACAAAAGGAGTGTTTCCAAAATGCTGTATCAAAACAAAGGTTCAACTGTGTTCGTTTAGGACACACATCACAAATAAGTTTCTGAGAATCCTTCTGTCTAGTTTTTATTTGAAGATATTTCCTTTCTCCCCATAGGCCTGAAAGCGCTTGAAATGTCCACTTCCAGATACTACAGAAAGAGTGTTTCAAACCTGCACTCTGAAAAGGAATGTCAATTCTGTGACTTGAATGCAAACATCAGAAAGAAGTTCCTGAGAATGCTTCTCTCTAGATTTTATACGTCATCCCGTTTCCAACGAAATCCACAAAGCTACCCAATTATCCACTTTCAGATTCCACAAAAAGAGTGTTTTAAAATTGCTCTGTAACAGAAATGTTCAACTCTGTTAGTTGAATACACACATCACAAACAAGTTTCTGAGACGGCTTCTGTCTAGTTTTTATGGGAAGATATTTCCTTTTAACCATAGGCCTCAAAGAGCTCGAAATATCCACTTCCAGGTAGTGCCGAAAGAGTGTTTCAAACCTACTCTATAAAAGGGAATATTCAACTCTGTGACTTGAATGCAAACATCACAAAGCAGTTTCTGAGAATGCTTCCGTCTAGATTTTCTATGAAGATATTCCCGTTTCCATCGAAATCTTCAAAGCTATCTAAATATCAACTTGCAGATTCTACTAAAGGAATGTCTCCAAAATGCTGTATCCAAACAAAGGTTCAGCTCTGTGAATTGAGGACATACAGCACAAAGAAGTTTCTGAGAATGCTCCTGTCTGGATTTTATATGAAGATAACCCGTTTCCAACGAAATCCTCAAATCTCTCCAAATATCCACTTGCAGATTCTACCAAAAGTGTGTTTCAAAACTGCTCTGTCAAAAGGAAGGTTCAACACTGTTACTTGAGTACACACAACACAAAGAAGTTTCTGAGAATGCTTCTTTCTGGTTTTTATGAGAAGATATTTCCTTTTTCACCATAGGCCTCAAAGCGCTCGAAATGTCCACTTCCAGGTAGTGCAGAAAGAGTGTTTCAAACCTGCTCTATGAAAGGAAGTGTTCAACTCTACTGAGTTGAATGCAAACATCACAGAGATGTTTCCGAGAATGCTTCTGTCTTGATTTTATATGAAGATATTCCGGTTTCCAACGAAATCTTCAAAGCTATCCAAATATCCACCTGCAGATTCTACAAAAGGAGTGTTTCCAAAATGCTGTATCAAAACAAAGGTTCAACTCTGTTAGTTGAGGACACACATCACAAATAAGTTTCTGAGAATGCTTCTGTCTAGTTTTTATTTGAAGGTATTTCCTTTCTCTCCATAGGCCTGAAAGCGCTTGAAATGCCCACTTCCAGATACTTGAGAAAGAGTGTTTCAAACCTGCTCTATGAAAGGGAATGTTCAATTCTGTGACTTGAATGCAAACATCACAAAGAAGTTGCCTGAGAATGCTTCTCTCTACATATTATATGTCATCCCGTTTCCAACGAAATCCTCAAAGCTATCCAAATATCCACTTGCAGATTCTACAAAAAGAGTGTTTCAAAACTCCTCTGTCAAAAGGATGGTTCAACACTGTTACATGAGTACACACAACACAAAGAAGTTTCTGAGAATGCTTCTTTCTGGTTTCTATGAGAAGATATTTCCTTTTTCACCATAGGACTCAAAGCGCTCGAAATGTCCTCTTCCAGGTAGTGCAGAAAGAGTGTTTCAAACCTGCTCTATGAAAGGAAGTGTTCAACTCCATGAGCTGAATGCAAACATCACTGAGAAGTTTCTGAGAATGCTTCTGTTTGATTTTATATGAAGAAATTCCCGTTTCCAACGAAATCTTCAGAGCTATCCACATATCCACCTGCAGATTCTACAAAAGGAGTGTTTCCAAAATGCTGTATCAAAACCAAGGTTCAACTCTGTTAGTTGAGGACACACATCACAAATAAGTTTCTGAGAATGCTTCTGTCTAGATTTTATATGAAGATATCCCCTTTCCAACGAATCCCTCTAAGCTATCCAAATATCCACCTGCAGATTCTACAAAAAGAGTGTTTCCAAAATGCTGTATCAAAACAAAGTTTCAACTCTGTTAGTTGAGGACACACATCACAAATAAGTTTCTGAGGATGCTTCTGTCTAGTTTTTATTCGAAGATATTTCCTTTCTCACCATAGGCCTGAAAGCGCTTGAAATGTCCACTTCCAGATACTACAGAATGAGTGTTTCAAACCTGCTCTATCAAAGTGAATGTTCAATTCCGTGACTTCAATGCAAACATCAGAAAGAAGTTCCTGAGAATGCTTCTCTCTAGATTTTATATGTAATCCCGCTTCCAACGAAATCCTCAAAGCCATCCGAAAATCCACTTTCTGATTCCACAAAAAGATTGTTTTAAAACTGCTCTGTAAAAACAAAAGTTCAAGTCTCTTAGTTGAATACACACATCACAAACAAGTTTCTGAGAATGCTTCTGTCTAGTTTTTATGGGAAGATATTTCCTTTTTCACCATAGGCCTCAAAGCGCTCGAAATGTCCACTTCCAGATAGTGCAGAAAGAGTGTTTCAAACGTGCTCTATAAAAGAGAATATTCAACTCTGTGACTTGAATGGAAACATCACAAAGCAGTTTCTGAGAATGCCTCCGTCTAGATTTTATATGAAGATATTCCCGTTTCCAACGAAATCTTCAAAGCTATCTAAATATCAACTTGCAGATTCTACTAAAGGAATGTTTCCAAAATGCTGTATCCAAGCAATGGTTCAACTCTGTTAATTGAGGACATACAGCACAAAGAAGTTTCTGAGAATGCTCCTGTCTGGATTTTATATGAAGATAACCCGTTTCCAACGAAATCCTCAAAGCTATCCAAATATCCACTTGCAGATTCTACCAAAAGAGTGTTTCAAACCTGCTCTGTCAAAAGGAAGGTTCAACACTGTTACTTGAGTACACACAACACAAAGAAGTTTCTGAGAATGCTTCCTTCTGGTTTTTATGAGAAGATATTTCCTTTTTCACCATAGGCCTCAAAGCGCTCGAAATGTCCGCTTCCAGGTAGTGCAGAAAGAGTGTTTCAAACCTGCTCTATGAAAGGAAGTGTTCAACTCCATGAGCTGAATGCAAACATCACAGAGAAGTTTCTGAGAATGCTTCTGTTTGATTTTACATGAAGAAATTCCCGTTTCCAACGAAATCTTCAAAGCTATCCACATATCCACCTGCAGATTCTACAAAAGGAGGGTTTCCAAAATGCTGTATCAAAACCAAGGTTCAACTCTGTTAGTTGAGGACACACATCACAAATAAGTTTCTGAGAATGCTTCTGTCTAGATTTTATATGAAGATATCCCCTTTCCAACGAATCCCTCTAAGCTATCCAAATATGCACCTGCAGATTCTACAAAAAGAGTGTTTCCAAAAGGCTGTATCAAAACAAAATTTCAACTCTGTTAGTTGAGGACACACATCACAAATAAGTTTCTGACGATGTTTCTGTCTAGTTTTTATTTGAAGATATTTCCTTTCTCACCATAGGCCTGAAAGCGCTTGAAATGTCCACTTCCAGATACTACAGAATGAGTGTTTCAAACCTGCTCTATAAAAGTGAATGATCAATTCTGTGACTTCAATGCAAACATCACAAAGAAGTTCCTGAGAATGCTTCTCTCTAGATTTTATATGTAATCCCGCTTCCAACGAAATCCTCAGAGCCATCCGAATATCCACTTTCTGATTCCACAAAAAGAGTGTTTTAAAACTGCTCTGTAGAAACAAAAGTTCAACTCAGTTGAATACACACATCACAAACAAGTTTCTGAGAATGCTTCTGTCTAGTTTTTATGGGAAGATATTTCCTTTTTCACCATAGGCCTCAAAGCGCTCGAAATGTCCACTTCCAGATAGTGCAGAAAGAGTGTTTCAAACGTGCTCTATAAAAGAGAATATTCAACTCTGTGACTTGAATGGAAACATCCCAAAGCAGTTTCTGAGAATGCTTCCGTCTAGATTTTATATGAAGATATTCCCGTTTCCAACGAAATCTTCAAATCTATCTAAATATCAACTTGCAGATTCTACTAAAGGAATGTTTCCAAAATGCTGTATCCAAGCAATGGTTCAACTCTGTTAATTGAGGACATACAGCACAAAGAAGTTTCTGAGAATGCTTCTGTCCAGATTTTATATGAAGATATCCCGTTTCCAACGAAATCCTCAAAGCTATCCAAATATCCACTTGCAGATTCTACAAAAAGATTGTTTCAAAACTGCTGTGTCAAAAGGAAGGTTCAACTCTGTTACTTGAGTACACACATCAAAAAGAAGTTTCTGAGAATGCTTGTTTCTGGTTTTTATGAGAAGATATTTCCTTTTTCACCATAGGCCTCAAAGCGCTGCAAATGTCCACTTCCAAATATTACAAAAAGAGTGTTTCAAACCTGCTCTATGAAAGGAAGTTTTCAACTCTATGAGTGGAATGCAAACATCACAGAGAAGTTTCGGAGAATGCATCTGTCTTGAGTTTATATGAAGAAATTCCCGTTTCCAACGAAATCTTAAAATCTATCCAAATATCCACCTGCAGATTCTACAAAGGGAGTGTTTCCAAAATGCTGTATCAAAACAAAGGTTCAACTGTGTTCGTTTAGGACACACATCACCAATAAGTTTCTGAGAATCCTCCTGTCTAGTTTTTATTTCAAGATATTTCCTTTCTCCCCATAGGCCTGAAAGCGCTTGAAATGTCCACTTCCAGATACTACAGAGTGTTTCAAACCTGCACTATGAAAAGGAATGTTCAATTCTGTGACTTGAATGCAAACATCAGAAAGAAGTTTCCTGAGAATGCTTCTCTCTAGATTTTATACGTCATCCCGTTTCCAACGAAATCCACAAAGCTATCCAATTATCCACTTTCAGATTCCACAAAGAGTGTTTTAAAATTGCTCCGTAACAGAAATGTTCAACTCTGTTAGTTGAATACACACATCACAAACAAGTTTCTGAGACGGCTTCTGTCTAGTTTTTATGGGAAGATATTTCCTTTTAACCATAGGCCTCAAAGAGCTCGAAATATCCACTTCCAGGTAGTGCCGAAAGAGTGTTTCAAACCTACTCTATAAAAGGGAATATTCAACTCTGTGACTTGAATGCAAACATCACAAAGCAGTTTCTGAGAATGCTTCCGTCTAGATTTTCTATGAAGATATTCCCGTTTCCAACGAAATCTTCAAAGCTATCTAAATATCAACTTGCAGATTCTACTAAAGGAATGTCTCCAAAATGCTGTATCCAAACAAAGGTTCAGCTCTGTGAATTGAGGACATACAGCACAAAGAAGTTTCTGAGAATGCTCCTGTCTGGATTTTATAGGAAGATAACCCGTTTCCAACGAAATCCTCAAAGCTCTCCAAATATCCACTTGCAGATTCTACCAAAAGAGTGTTTCAAAACTGCTCTGTCAAAAGGAAGGTTCAACACTGTTACTTGAGTACACACAACACAAAGAAGTTTCTGAGAATGCTTCTTTCTGGTTTTTATGAGAAGATATTTCCTTTTTCACCATAGGCCTCAAAGCGCTCGAAATGTCCGCTTCCAGGTAGTGCAGAAAGAGTGTTTCAAACCTGCTCTATGAAAGGAAGTGTTCAACTCTACTGAGTTGAATGCAAACATCACAGAGATGTTTCCGAGAATGCTTCTGTCTTGATTTTATATGAAGCATATTCCGGTTTCCAACGAAATCTTCAAAGCTATCCAAATATCCACCTGCAGATTCTACAAAAGGAGTGTTTCCAAAATGCTGTATCAAAACAAAGGTTCAACTCTGTTAGTTGAGGACACACATCACAAATAAGTTTCTGAGAATGCTTCTGTCTAGATTTTATATGAAGATATCCCCTTTCCAACGAATCCCTCTAAGCTATCCAAATATCCACCTGCAGATTCTACAAAAAGAGTGTTTCCAAAATGCTGTATCAAAACAAAGTTTCAACTCTGTTAGTTGAGGACACACATCACAAGTAAGTTTCTGAGGATGCTTCTGTCTAGTTTTTATTTGAAGATATTTCCTTTCTCACCATAGGCCTGAAAGCGCTTGAAATGTCCGCTTCCAGATACTACAGAATGAGTGTTTCAAAACTTCTCTATCAAAGTGAATGTTCAATTCTGTGACTTCAATGCAAACATCACAAAGAAGTTCCTGAGAATGCTTCTTTCTGGTTTCTATGAGAAGATATTTCCTTTTTCACCATAGGACTCAAAGCGCTCGAAATGTCCTCTTCCAGGTAGTGCAGAAAGAGTGTTTCAAACCGGCTCTATGAAGGGAAGTGTTCAACTCCATGAACTGAATGCAAACATCACTGAGAAGTTTCTGAGAATGCTTCTGTTTGATTTTATATGAAGAAATTCCCGTTTCCAACGAAATCTTCAAAGCTATCCACATATCCACCTGCAGATTCTACAAAAGGAGTGTTTCCAAAATGCTGTATCAAAACCAAGGTTCCACTCTGTTAGTTGAGGACACACATCACAAATAAGTTTCTGAGAATGCTTCTGTCTAGATTTTATATGAAGATATCCCCTTTCCAACGAATCCCTCTAAGCTATCCAAATATCCACCTGCAGATTCTACAAAAAGAGTGTTTCCAAAATGCTGTATCAAAACCAAGGTTCAACTCTGTTAGTTGAGGACACACATCACAAATAAGTTTCTGAGGATGCTTCTGTCTAGTTTTTATTCGAAGATATTTCCTTTCTCACCATAGGCCTGAAAGCGCTTGAAATGTCCACTTCCAGATCCTACAGAATGAGTGTTTCAAACCTGCTCTATCAAAGTGAATGTTCAATTCTGTGACTTCAATGCAAACATCACAAAGAAGTTCCTGAGAATGCTTCTCTCTAGATTTTATATGTAATCCCGCTTCCAACGAAATCCTCAGAGCCATCCGAATATCCACTTTCTGATTCCACAAAAAGAGTGTTTTAAAACGGCTCTGTAAAAACAAAAGTTCAACTCTGTTAGTTGAATACACACATCACAAACAAGTTTCTGAGAATGCTTCTGTCTAGTTTTTATGGGAAGATATTTCCTTTTTCACCTTAGGCCTCAAAGCGCTCGAAATGTCCACTTCCAGATAGTGCAGAAAGAGTGTTTCAAACGTGCTCTATAAAAGAGAATATTCAACTCTGTGACTTGAATGGAAACATCACAAAGCAGTTTCTGAGAATGCCTCCGTCTAGATTTTATATGAAGATATTCCCGTTTCCAACGAAATCTTCAAATCTATCTAAATATCAACTTGCAGATTCTACTAAAGGAATGTTTCCAAAATGCTGTATCCAAGCAATGGTTCAACTCTGTTAATTGAGGACATACAGCACAAAGAAGTTTCTGAGAATGCTTCTGTCTAGATTTTATATGAAGATATCCCGTTTCCAACGAAATCCTCAAAGCTATCCAAATATCCACTTGCAGATTCTACAAAAAGATTGTTTCAAAACTGCTGTGTCAAAAGGAAGGTTCAACTCTGTTACTTGAGTACACACATCAAAAAGCAGTTTCTGAGAATGCTTGTTTCTGGTTTTTATGAGAAGATATTTCCTTTTTCACCATAGGCCTCAAAGCGCTGCAAATGTCCACTTCCAAATATTACAAAAAGAGTGTTTCAAACCTGCTCTATGAAAGGAAGTTTTCAACTCTGTGAGTGGAATGCAAACATCACAGAGAAGTTTCTGAGAATGCATCTGTCTTGAGTTTATATGAAGAAATTCCCGTTTCCAATGAAATCTTAAAATCTATCCAAATATCCACCTGCAGATTCTACAAAAGGAGTGTTTCCAAAATGCTGTATCAAAACAAAGGTTCAACTGTGTTCGTTTAGGACACACATCACAAATAAGTTTCTGAGAATCCTTCTGTCTAGTTTTTATTTCAAGATATTTCCTTTCTCCCCATAGGCTTGAAAGCGCTTGAAATGTCCACTTCCAGATACTACAGAGTGTTTCAAACCTGCACTATGAAAAGGAATGTTCAATTCTGTGACTTGAATGCAAACATCAGAAAGAAGTTCCTGAGAATGCTTCTCTCTAGTATTTTATACGTCATCCCGTTTCCAACGAAATCCACAAAGCTATCCAATTATCCACTTTCAGATTCCACAAAAAGAGTGTTTTAAAATTGCTCTGTAACAGAAATGTTCAACTCTGTTAGTTGAATACACACATCACAAACAAGTTTCTGAGACGGCTTCTGTCTAGTTTTTATGGGAAGATATTTCCTTTTAACCATAGGCCTCAAAGAGCTCGAAATATCCACTTCCAGGTAGTGCCGAAAGAGTGTTTCAAACCTACTCTATAAAAGGGAATATTCAACTCTGTGACTTGAATGCAAACATCACAAAGCAGTTTCTGAGAATGCTTCCGTCTAGATTTTTTATGAAGATATTCCCGTTTCCAACGAAATCTTGAAAGCTATCTAAATATCAACTTGCAGATTCTACTAAAGGAATGTTTCCAAAATGCTGTATCCAAACAAAGGTTCAACACTGTGAATTGAGGACATACAGCACAAAGAAGTTTCTGAGAATGCTTCTGTCTAGATTTAATATGAAGATAACCCGTTTCCAACGAAATCCTCAAAGCTATCCAAATATCCACTTGCAGATTCTACAAAAAGAGTGTTTCAAAACTGCTCTGTCAAAAGGATGGTTCAACACTGTTACATGAGTACACACAACACAAAGAAGTTTCTGAGAACGCTTCTTTCTGGTTTTTATGAGAAGATATTTCCTTTTTCACCATAGGCCTCAAAGCGCTCGAAATGTCCACTTCCTGGTAGTGCAGAAAGAGTGTTTCAAACCTGCTCTATGAAAGGAAGTGTTCAACTCCATGAGCTGAATGCAAACATCACAGAGAAGTTTCTGAGAATGCTTCTGTTTGATTTTATATGAAGAAATTCCCGTTTCCAACGAAATCTTCAGAGCTCTCCACATATCCACCTGCAGATTCTACAAAAGGAGTGTTTCCAAAATGCTGTATCAAAACAAAGGTTCAACTCTGTTAGTTGAGGACACACATCACAAATAAGTTTCTGAGAATGCTTCTGTCTAGATTTTATATGAAGATATCCCCTTTCCAACGAATCCCTCTAAGCTATCCAAATATCCACCTGCAGATTCTACAAAAAGAGTGTTTCCAAAATGCTGTATCAAAACAAAGTTTCAACTGCTGTTAGTTGAGGACACACATCACAAATAAGTTTGAGGATGCTTCAGTCTAGTTTTTATTTGAAGATATTTCCTTTCTCACCATAGGCCTGAAAGCGCTTGAAATGTCCACTTCCAGATACTACAGAATGAGTGTTTCAAACCTGCTCTATAAAAGTGAATGTTCAATTCTGTGACTTCAATGCAAACATCACAAAGAAGTTCCTGAGAATGCTTCTCTCTAGATTTTATACGTAATCCCGCTTCCAACGAAATCCTCAGAGCCATCCGAATATCCACTTTCTGATTCCACAAAAAGAGTGTTTTAAAACGGCTCTGTAAAAACAAAAGTTCAACTCTGTTAGTTGAATACACACATCACAAACAAGTTTCTGAGAATGCTTCTGTCTAGTTTTTATGGGAAGATATTTCCTTTTTCACCATAGGCCTCAAAGCGCTCGAAATGTCCGCTTCCAGATAGTGCAGAAAGAGTGTTTCAAACGTGCTCTATAAAAGGGAATATTCAACTCTGTGACTTGAATGGAAACATCACAAAGCAGTTTCTGAGAATGCTTCCCTCTAGATTTTATATGGAGATATTCCCTTTTCCAACGAAATCTTCAAATCTATCTAAATATCAACTTGCAGATTCTACTCAAGGAATGTTTCCAAAATGCTGTATCCAGGCAATGGTTCAACTCTGTTAATTGAGGACATACAGCACAAAGAAGTTTCTGAGAATGCTTCTGTCTAGATTTTATATGAAGATATCCCGTTTCCAACGAAATCCTCAAAGCTATCCAAATATCCACTTGCAGATTCTACAAAAAGATTGTTTCAAAACTGCTGTGTCAAAAGGAAGGTTCAACTCTGTTACTTGAGTACACACATCAAAAAGAAGTTTCTGAGAATGCTTGTTTCTGGTTTTTATGAGAAGATATTTCCTTTTTCACCATAGGCCTCAAAGCGCTGCAAATGTCCACTTCCAAATATTACAAAAAGAGTGTTTCAAACCTGCTCTATGAAAGGAAGTTTTCAACTCTATGAGTGGAATGCAAACATCACAGAGAAGTTTCTGAGAATGCATCTGTCTTGAGTTTATATGCAGAAATTCCCGTTTCCAACGAAATCTTAAAATCTATCCAAATATCCACCTGCAGATCCTACAAAAGGAGTGTTTCCAAAATGCTGTATCAAAACAAAGGTTCAACTGTGTTCGTTTAGGACACACATCACAAATAAGTTTCTGAGAATCCTTCTGTCTAGTTTTTATTTGAAGATATTTCCTTTCTCCCCGTAGGCCTGAAAGCGCTTGAAATGTCCACTTCCAGATACTACAGAAAGAGTGTTTCAAACCTGCACTCTGAAAAGGAATGTCAATTCTGTGACTTGAATGCAAACATCAGAAAGAAGTTCCTGAGAATGCTTCTCTCTAGATTTTATACGTCATCCCGTTTCCAACGAAATCCACAAAGCTACCCAATTATCCACTTTCAGATTCCACAAAAAGAGTGTTTTAAAATTGCTCTGTAACAGAAATGTTCAACTCTGTTAGTTGAATACACACATCACAAACAAGTTTCTGAGACGGCTTCTGTCTAGTTTTTATGGGAAGATATTTCCTTTTAACCATAGGCCTCAAAGAGCTCGAAATATCCACTTCCAGGTAGTGCCGAAAGAGTGTTTCAAACCTACTCTATAAAAGGGAATATTCAACTCTGTGACTTGAATGCAAACATCACAAAGCAGTTTCTGAGAATGCTTCCGTCTAGATTTTCTATGAAGATATTCCCGTTTCCAACGAAATCTTCAAAGCTATCTAAATATCAACTTGCAGATTCTACTAAAGGAATGTCTCCAAAATGCTGTATCCAAACAAAGGTTCAGCTCTGTGAATTGAGGACATACAGCACAAAGAAGTTTCTGAGAATGCTCCTGTCTGGATTTTATATGAAGATAACCCGTTTCCAACGAAATCCTCAAAGCTATCCAAATATCCACTTGCAGATTCTACCAAAAGAGTGTTTCAAAACTGCTCTGTCAAAAGGAAGGTTCAACACTGTTACTTGAGTACACACAACACAAAGAAGTTTCTGAGAATGCTTCTTTCTGGTTTTTATGAGAAGATATTTCCTTTTTCACCATAGGCCTCAAAGCGCTCGAAATGTCCGCTTCCAGGTAGTGCAGAAAGAGTGTTTCAAACCTGCTCTATGAAAGGAAGTGTTCAACTCTACTGAGTTGAATGCAAACATCACAGAGATGTTTCCGAGAATGCTTCTGTCTTGATTTTATATGAAGATATTCCGGTTTCCAACGAAATCTTCAAAGCTATCCAAATATCCACCTGCAGATTCTACAAAAGGAGTGTTTCCAAAATGCTGTATCAAAACAAAGGTTCAACTCTGTTAGTTGAGGACACACATCACAAATAAGTTTCTGAGAATGCTTCTGTCTAGTTTTTATTTGAAGGTATTTCCTTTCTCTCCATAGGCCTGAAAGCGCTTGAAATGCCCACTTCCAGATACTAGAGAAAGAGTGTTTCAAACCTGCTCTATGAAAGGGAATGTTCAATTCTGTGACTTGAATGCAAACATCACAAAGAAGTTCCTGAGAATGCTTCTCTCTAGATATTATATGTCATCCCGTTTCCAACGAAATCCTCAAAGCTATCCAAATATCCACTTGCAGATTCTACAAAAAGAGTGTTTCAAAACTGCTCTGTCAAAAGGATGGTTCAACACTGTTACATGAGTACACACAACACAAAGAAGTTTCTGAGAATGCTTCTTTCTGGTTTCTATGAGAAGATATTTCCTTTTTCACCATAGGACTCAAAGCGCTCGAAATGTCCTCTTCCAGGTAGTGCAGAAAGAGTGTTTCAAACTTGCTCTATGAAAGGAAGTGTACAACTCCATGAGCTGAATGCAAACATCACTGAGAAGTTTCTGAGAATGCTTCTGTTTGATTTTATATGAAGAAATTCCCGTTTCCAACGAAATCTTCAGAGCTATCCACATATCCACCTGCAGATTCTACAAAAGGAGTGTTTCCAAAATGCTGTATCAAAACCAAGGTTCAACTCTGTTAGTTGAGGACACACATCACAAATAAGTTTCTGAGAATGCTTCTGTCTAGATTTTATATGAAGATATCCCCTTTCCAACGAATCCCTCTAAGCTATCCAAATATCCACCTGCAGATTCTACAAAAAGAGTGTTTCCAAAATGCTGTATCAAAACAAAGTTTCAACTCTGTTAGTTGAGGACACACATCACAAATAAGTTTGAGGATGCTTCTGTCTAGTTTTTATTCGAAGATATTTCCTTTCTCACCATAGGCCTGAAAGCGCTTGAAATGTCCACTTCCAGATACTACAGAATGAGTGTTTCAAACCTGCTCTATCAAAGTGAATGTTCAATTCTGTGACTTCAATGCAAACATCACAAAGAAGTTCCTGAGAATGCTTCTCTCTAGATTTTATACGTAATCCCGCTTCCAACGAAATCCTCAGAGCCATCCGAATATCCACTTTCTGATTCCACAAAAAGAGTGTTTTAAAACGGCTCTGTAAAAACAAAAGTTCAACTCTGTTAGTTGAATACACACATCACAAACAAGTTTCTGAGAATGCTTCTGTCTAGTTTTTATGGGAAGATATTTCCTTTTTCACCATAGGCCTCAAAGCGCTCGAAATGTCCGCTTCCAGATAGTGCAGAAAGAGTGTTTCAAACGTGCTCTATAAAAGGGAATATTCAACTCTGTGACTTGAATGGAAACATCACAAAGCAGTTTCTGAGAATGCTTCCCTCTAGATTTTATATGGAGATATTCCCTTTTCCAACGAAATCTTCAAATCTATCTAAATATCAACTTGCAGATTCTACTCAAGGAATGTTTCCAAAATGCTGTATCCAGGCAATGGTTCAACTCTGTTAATTGAGGACATACAGCACAAAGAAGTTTCTGAGAATGCTTCTGTCTAGATTTTATATGAAGATATCCCGTTTCCAACAAAATCCTCAAAGCTATCCAAATATCCACTTGCAGATTCTACAAAAAGATTGTTTCAAAACTGCTGTGTCAAGAGGAAGGTTCAACTCTGTTACTTGAGTACACACATCAAAAAGAAGTTTCTGAGAATGCTTGTTTCTGGTTTTTATGAGAAGATATTTCCTTTTTCACCATAGGCCTCAAAGCGCTGCAAATGTCCACTTCCAAATATTACAAAAAGAGTGTTTCAAACCTGCTCTATGAAAGGAAGTTTTCAACTCTATGAGTGGAATGCAAACATCACAGAGAAGTTTCTGAGAATGCATCTGTCTTGAGTTTATATGAAGAAATTCCCGTTTCCAATGAAATCTTAAAATCTATCCAAATATCCACCTGCAGATTCTACAAAAGGAGTGTTTCCAAAATGCTGTATCAAAACAAAGGTTCAACTGTGTTCGTTTAGGACACACATCACAAATAAGTTTCTGAGAATCCTTCTGTCTAGTTTTTATTTGAAGATATTTCCTTTCTCCCCGTAGGCCTGAAAGCGCTTGAAATGTCCACTTCCAGATACTACAGAAAGAGTGTTTCAAACCTGCACTCTGAAAAGGAATGTTCAATTCTGTGACTTGAATGCAAACATCAGAAAGAAGTTCCTGAGAATGCTTCTCTCTAGATTTTATACGTCATCCCGTTTCCAACGAAATCCACAAAGCTATCCAATTATCCACTTTCAGATTCCACAGAAAGAGTGTTTTAAAATTGCTCTGTAACAGAAATGTTCAACTCTGGTAGTTGAATACACACATCACAAACAAGTTTCTGAGACGGCTTCTGTCTAGTTTTTATGGGAAGATATTTCCTTTTAACCATAGGCCTCAAAGAGCTCGAAATATCCACTTCCAGGTAGTGCCGAAAGAGTGTTTCAAACCTACTCTATAAAAGGGAATATTCAACTCTGTGACTTGAATGCAAACATCACAAAGCAGTTTCTGAGAATGCTTCCGTCTAGATTTTCTATGAAGATATTCCCGTTTCCAACGAAATCTTCAAAGCTATCTAAATATCAACTTGCAGATTCTACTAAAGGAATGTCTCCAAAATGCTGTATCCAAACAAAGGTTCAGCTGCTGTGAATTGAGGACATACAGCACAAAGAAGTTTCTGAGAATGCTCCTGTCTGGATTTTATATGAAGATAACCCGTTTCCAACGAAATCCTCAAAGCTATCCAAATATCCACTTGCAGATTCTACCAAAAGAGTGTTTCAAAACTACTCTGTCAAAAGGAAGGTTCAACACTGTTACTTGAGTACACACAACACAAAGAAGTTTCTGAGAATGCTTCTTTCTGGTTTTTATGAGAAGATATTTCCTTTTTCACCATAGGCCTCAAAGCGCTCGAAATGTCCGCTTCCAGGTAGTGCAGAAAGAGTGTTTCAAACCTGCTCTATGAAAGGAAGTGTTCAACTCTACTGAGTTGAATGCAAACATCACAGAGATGTTTCCGAGAATGCTTCTGTCTTGATTTTATATGAAGATATTCCGGTTTCCAACGAAATCTTCAAAGCTATCCAAATATCCACCTGCAGATTCTACAAAAGGAGTGTTTCCAAAATGCTGTATCAAAACAAAGGTTCAACTCTGTTAGTTGAGGACACACATCACAAATAAGTTTCTGAGAATGCTTCTGTCTAGTTTTTATTTGAAGGTATTTCCTTTCTCTCCATAGGCCTGAAAGCGCTTGAAATGCCCACTTCCAGATACTAGAGAAAGAGTGTTTCAAACCTGCTCTATGAAAGGGAATGTTCAATTCTGTGACTTGAATGCAAACATCACAAAGAAGTTCCTGAGAATGCTTCTCTCTAGATATTATATGTCATCCCGTTTCCAACGAAATCCTCAAAGCTATCCAAATATCCACTTGCAGATTCTACCAAAAGAGTGTTTCAAAACTACTCTGTCAAAAGGAAGGTTCAACACTGTTACTTGAGTACACACAACACAAAGAAGTTTCTGAGAATGCTTCTTTCTGGTTTTTATGAGAAGATATTTCCTTTTTCACCATAGGCCTCAAAGCGCTCGAAATGTCCACTTCCTGGTAGTGCAGAAAGAGTGTTTCAAAGCTGCTCTATGAAAGGAAGTGTTCAACTCCATGAGCTGAATGCAAACATCACAGAGAAGTTTCTGAGAATGCTTCTGTTTGATTTTATATGAAGAAATTCCCGTTTCCAACGAAATCTTCAAAGCTATCCACATATCCACCTGCAGATTCTACAAAAGGAGTGTTTCCAAAATGCTGTATCAAAACCAAGGTTCCACTCTGTTAGTTGAGGACACACATCACAAATAAGTTTCTGAGAATGCTTCTGTCTAGATTTTATATGAAGATATCCCCTTTCCAACGAATCCCTCTAAGCTATCCAAATATCCACCTGCAGATTCTACAAAAAGAGTGTTTCCAAAATGCTGTATCAAAACAAAGTTTCAACTCTGTTAGTTGAGGACACACATCACAAATAAGTTTCTGAGGATGCTTCTGTCTAGTTTTTATTCGAAGATATTTCCTTTCTCACCATAGGCCTGAAAGCGCTTGAAATGTCCACTTCCAGATACTACAGAATGAGTGTTTCAAACCTGCTCTATAAAAGTGAATGTTCAATTCCGTGACTTCAATGCAAACATCAGAAAGAAGTTCCTGAGAATGCTTCTCTCTAGATTTTATACGTAATCCCGCTTCCAACGAAATCCTCAGAGCCATCCGAATATCCACTTTCTGATTCCACAAAAAGAGTGTTTTAAAACGGCTCTGTAAAAACAAAAGTTCAACTCTGTTAGTTGAATACACACATCACAAACAAGTTTCTGAGAATGCTTCCGTCTAGTTTTTATGGGAAGATATTTCCTTTTTCACCATAGGCCTCAAAGCGCTCGAAATCTCCACTTCCAGGGAGTGCAGAAAGAGTGTTTCAAACCTGCTCTATAAAAGAATATTTAACTCTGTGACTTGAATGCAAACATCACAGAGCAGTTTCTGACAATGCTTCCGTCTAGATTTTTTATGAAGATATTCCCGTTTCCAACGAAATCTTCAAAGCTATCTAAATATCAACTTGCAGATTCTACTAAAGGAATGTTTCCAAAATGCTGTATCCAAACAAAGGTTCAACTCTGTGAATTGAGGACATACAGCACAAAGAAGTTTCTGAGAATGCTTCTGTCTAGATTTAATATGAAGATAACCCGTTTCCAACGAAATCCTCAAAGCTATCCAAATATCCACTGGCAGATTCTACAAAAAGAGTGTTTCAAAACTGCTCTGTCAAAAGGATGGTTCAACACTGTTACATGAGTACACACAACACAAAGAAGTTTCTGAGAACG
The DNA here is from genome assembly GCF_000001405.40 of Homo sapiens. Taxonomy (NCBI): domain Eukaryota; kingdom Metazoa; phylum Chordata; class Mammalia; order Primates; family Hominidae; genus Homo; species Homo sapiens. Next base: position 50,769,312 of record NC_000004.12, on the reverse strand, counting down.
CTTCTTTCTGGTTTTTATGAGAGGATATTTCCTTTTTCACCATAGGCCTCAAAGCGCTCGAAATGTCCACTTCCAGGTAGTGCAGAAAGAGTGTTTCAAACCTGCTCTATGAAAGGAAGTGTTCAACTCCATGAGCTGAATGCAAACATCACAGAGAAGTTCCTGAGAATGCTTCTGTTTGATTCTATATGAAGAAATTCCCGTTTCCAACGAAATCTTCAAAGCTATCCACATATCCACCTGCAGATTCTTCAAAAGGAGTGTTTCCAAAATGCTGTATCAAAACCAAGGTTCAACTCTGTTAGTTGAGGACACACATCACAAATAAGTTTCTGAGAATGCTTCTGTCTAGATTTTATATGAATTTATCCCCTTTCCAACGAATCCCTCTAAGCTATCCAAGTATCCACCTGCAGATTCTACAAAAAGAGTGTTTCCAAAATGCTGTATCAAAACAAAGTTTCAACTCTGTTAGTTGAGGACACACATCACAAATAAGTTTCTGAGGATGCTTCTGTCTAGTTTTAATTTGAAGATATTTCCTTTCTCCCCATAGGCCTGAAAGCGCTTGAAATGTCCACTTCCAGATACTACAGAATGAGTGTTTCAAACCTGCTCTATCAAAGTGAATGTTCAATTCTGTGACTTCAATGCAAACATCACAAAGTAGATCCTGAGAATGCTTCTCTCTACATTTTATATGTAATCCCGCTTCCAACGAAATCCTCAAAGCCATCCGAATATCCACTTTCTGATTCCACAAAAAGATTGTTTTCAAACTGCTCTGTAAAAACAAAAGTTCAAGTCTGTTAGTTGAATACACACATCACAAACAAGTGTCTGAGAATGCTTCTGTCTAGTTTTTATGGGAAGATATTTCCTTTTTCACCATAGGCCTCAAAGCGCTCGAAATGTCCACTTCCAGATAGTGCAGAAAGAGTGTTTCAAACGTGCTCTATAAAAGAGAATATTCAACTCTGTGACTTGAATGGAAACATCACAAAGCAGTTTCTGAGAATGCCTCCGTCTAGAATTTTATATGAAGATATTCCCGTTTCCAACGAAATCTTCAATGCTATCTAAATATCAACTTGCAGATTCTACTAAAGGAATGTTTCCAAAATGCTGTATCCAAGCAATGGTTCAACTCTGTTAATTGAGGACATACAGCACAAAGAAGTTTCTGAGAATGCTTCTGTCTAGATTTTATATGAAGATATCCCGTTTCCAACGAAATCCTCAAAGCTATCCAAATATCCACTTGCAGATTCTACAAAAAGATTGTTTCAAAACTGCTGTGTCAAAAGGAAGGTTCAACTCTGTTACTTGAGTACACACATCAAAAAGCAGTTTCTGAGAATGCTTGTTTCTGGTTTTTATGAGAAGATATTTCCTTTTTCACCATAGGCCTCAAAGCGCTGCAAATGTCCACTTCCAAATATTACAAAAAGAGTGTTTCAAACCTGCTCTATGAAAGGAAGTTTTCAACTCTATGAGTGGAATGCAAACATCACAGTAGAAGTTTCTGAGAATGCATCTGTCTTGAGTTTCTATGAAGAAATTCCCGTTTCCAACGAAATCTTAAAATCTATCCAAATATCCACCTGCAGATTCTACAAAAGGAGTGTTTCCAAAAGGCTGTATCAAAACAAAGGTTCAACTGTGTTCGTTTAGGACACACATCACCAATAAGTTTCTGAGAATCCTTCTGTCTAGTTTTTATTTGAAGATATTTCCTTTCTCCCCATAGGCCTGAAAGCGCTTGAAATGTCCACTTCCAGATGCTACAGAAAGAGCGTTTCAAACCTGCACTATGAAAAGGAATGTTCAATTCTGTGACTTGAATGCAAACATCAGAAAGAAGTTCCTGAGAATGCTTCTCTCTAGATTTTATACGTCATCCCGTTTCCAACGAAATCCACAAAGCTATCCAATTATCCACTTTCAGATTTCACAGAAAGAGTGTTTTAAAATTGCTCTGTAACAGAAATGTTCAACTCCGTTAGTTGAATACACACATCACAAACAAGTTTCTGAGACGGCTTCTGTCTAGTTTTTATGGGAAGATATTTCCTTTTAAGCATAGGCCTCAAAGAGCTCGAAATATCCACTTCCAGGTAGTGCCGAAAGAGTGTTTCAAACCTACTCTATAAAAGGGAATATTCAACTCTGTGACTTGAATGCAAACATCACAAAGCAGTTTATGAGAATGCTTCCGTCTAGATTTTCTATGAAGATATTCCCGTTTCCAATGAAATCTTCAAAGCTATCTAAATATCAACTTGCAGATTCTACTAAAGGAATGTTTCCAAAATGCTGTATCCAAACAAAGGTTCAGCTCTGTGAATTGAGGACATACAGCACAAAGAAGTTTCTGTGAATGCTCCTGTCTGGATTTTATATGAAGATAACCCGTTTCCAACGAAATCCTCAAAGCTATCCAAATATCCACTTGCAGATTCTACCAAAAGAGTGTTTCAAACCTGCTCTGTCAAAAGGAAGGTTCAACACTGTTACTTGAGTACACACAACACAAAGAAGTTTCTGAGAATGCGTCTTTCTGGTTTTTATGAGAAGATATTTCCTTTTTCACCATAGGCCTCAAAGCGCTCGAAATGTCCGCTTCCAGGTAGTGCAGAAAGAGTGTTTCAAACCTGCTCTATGAAAGGAAGTGTTCAACTCCATGAGCTGAATGCAAACATCACAGAGAAGTTTCTGAGAATGCTTCTGTCTTGATTTTATATGAAGATATTCCGGTTTCCAACGAAATCTTCAAAGCTATCCAAATATCCACCTGCAGATTCTACAAAAGGAGTGTTTCCAAAATGCTGTATCAAAACAAAGGTTCAACTCTGTTAGTTGAGGACACACATCACAAGTAAGTTTCTGAGAATGCTTCTGTCTAGTTTTTATTTGAAGGTATTTCCTTTCTCTCCATAGGCCTGAAAGCGCTTGAAATGCCCACTTCCAGATACTAGAGAAAGAGTGTTTCAAACCTGCTCTATGAAAGGGAATGTTCAATTCTGTGACTTGAATGCAAACATCACAAAGAAGTTCCTGAGAATGCTTCTCTCTAGATATTATATGTCATCCCGTTTCCAACGAAATCCTCAAAGCTATCCAAATATCCACTTGCAGATTCTACAAAAAGAGTGTTTCAAAACTCCTCTGTCAAAAGGATGGTTCAACACTGTTACATGAGTACACACAACACAAAGAAATTTCTGAGAATGCTTCTTTCTGGTTTCTATGAGAAGATATTTCCTTTTTCACCATAGGACTCAAAGCGCTCGAAATGTCCTCTTCCAGGTAGTGCAGAAAGAGTGTTTCAAACCGGCTCTATGAAAGGAAGTGTTCAACTCCATGAACTGAATGCAAACATCACTGAGAAGTTTCTGAGAATGCTTCTGTTTGATTTTATATGAAGAAATTCCCGTTTCCAACGAAATCTTCAGAGCTATCCACATATCCACCTGCAGATTCTACAAAAGGAGTGTTTCCAAAATGCTGTATCAAAACCAAAGTTCAACTCTGTTAGTTGAGGACACACATCACAAATAAGTTTCTGAGAATGCTTCTGTCTAGATTCTATATGAAGATATCCCCTTTCCAACGAATCCCTCTAAGCTATCCAAATATCCACCTGCAGATTCTACAAAAAGAGTGTTTCCAAAATGCTGTATCAAAACAAAGTTTCAACTCTGTTAGTTGAGGACACACATCACAAATAAGTTTGAGGATGCTTCTGTCTAGTTTTTATTCGAAGATATTTCCTTTCTCACCATAGGCCTGAAAGCGCTTGAAATGTCCACTTCCAGATCCTACAGAATGAGTGTTTCAAACCTGCTCTATCAAAGTGAATGTTCAATTCTGTGACTTCAATGCAAACATCACAAAGAAGTTCCTGAGAATGCTTCTCTCTAGATTTTTTACGTAATCCCGCTTCCAACGAAATCCTCAGAGCCATCCGAATATCCACTTTCTGATTCCACAAAAAGAGTGTTTTAAAACGGCTCTGTAAAAACAAAAGTTCAACTCTGTTAGTTGAATACACACATCACAAACAAGTTTCTGAGAATGCTTCTGTCTAGTTTTTATGGGAAGATATTTCCTTTTTCACCATAGGCCTCAAAGCGCTCGAAATGTCCGCTTCCAGATAGTGCAGAAAGAGTGTTTCAAACGTGCTCTATAAAAGGGAATATTCAACTCTGTGACTTGAATGGAAACATCACAAAGCAGTTTCTGAGAATGCTTCCCTCTAGATTTTATATGGAGATATTCCCGTTTCCAACGAAATCTTCAAATCTATCTAAATATCAACTTGCAGATTCTACTCAAGGAATGTTTCCAAAATGCTGTATCCAGGCAATGGTTCAACTCTGTTAATTGAGGACATACAGCACAAAGAAGTTTCTGAGAATGCTTCTGTCTAGATTTTATATGAAGATATCCCGTTTCCAATGAAATCCTCAAAGCTATCCAAATATCCACTTGCAGATTCTACAAAAAGATTGTTTCAAAACTGCTGTGTCAAAAGGAAGGTTCAACTCTGTTACTTGAGTACACACATCAGAAAGAAGTTTCTGAGAATGCTTGTTTCTGGTTTTTATGAGAAGATATTTCCTTTTTCACCATAGGCCTCAAAGCGCTGCAAATGTCCACTTCCAAATATTACAAAAAGAGTGTTTCAAACCTGCTCTATGAAAGGAAGTTTTCAACTCTATGAGTGGAATGCAAACATCACAGAGAAGTTTCTGAGAATGCATCTGTCTTGAGTTTATATGCAGAAATTCCCGTTTCCAACGAAATCTTAAAATCTATCCAAATATCCACCTGCAGATCCTACAAAAGGAGTGTTTCCAAAATGCTGTATCAAAACAAAGGTTCAACTGTGTTCGTTTAGGACACACATCACAAATAAGTTTCTGAGAATCCTTCTGTCTAGTTTTTATTTGAAGATATTTCCTTTCTCCCCGTAGGCCTGAAAGCGCTTGAAATGTCCACTTCCAGATACTACAGAAAGAGTGTTTCAAACCTGCACTCTGAAAAGGAATGTTCAATTCTGTGACTTGAATGCAAACATCAGAAAGAAGTTCCTGAGAATGCTTCTCTCTAGATTTTATACGTCATCCCGTTTCCAACGAAATCCACAAAGCTATCCAATTATCCACTTTCAGATTCCACAGAAAGAGTGTTTTAAAATTGCTCTGTAACAGAAATGTTCAACTCTGTTAGTTGAATACACACATCACAAACAAGTTTCTGAGACGGCTTCTGTCTAGTTTTTATGGGAAGATATTTCCTTTTAACCATAGGCCTCAAAGAGCTCGAAATATCCACTTCCAGGTAGTGCCGAAAGAGTGTTTCAAACCTACTCTATAAAAGGGAATATTCAACTCTGTGACTTGAATGCAAACATCACAAAGCAGTTTCTGAGAATGCTTCCGTCTAGATTTTCTATGAAGATATTCCCGTTTCCAACGAAATCTTCAAAGCTATCTAAATATCAACTTGCAGATTCTACTAAAGGAATGTCTCCAAAATGCTGTATCCAAACAAAGGTTCAGCTCTGTGAATTGAGGACATACAGCACAAAGAAGTTTCTGAGAATGCTCCTGTCTGGATTTTATAGGAAGATAACCCGTTTCCAACGAAATCCTCAAAGCTCTCCAAATATCCACTTGCAGATTCTACCAAAAGAGTGTTTCAAAACTGCTCTGTCAAAAGGAAGGTTCAACACTGTTACTTGAGTACACACAACACAAAGAAGTTTCTGAGAATGCTTCTTTCTGGTTTTTATGAGAAGATATTTCCTTTTTCACCATAGGCCTCAAAGCGCTCGAAATGTCCGCTTCCAGGTAGTGCAGAAAGAGTGTTTCAAACCTGCTCTATGAAAGGAAGTGTTCAACTCTACTGAGTTGAATGCAAACATCACAGAGATGTTTCCGAGAATGCTTCTGTCTTGATTTTATATGAAGATATTCCGGTTTCCAACGAAATCTTCAAAGCTATCCAAATATCCACCTGCAGATTCTACAAAAGGAGTGTTTCCAAAATGCTGTATCAAAACAAAGGTTCAACTCTGTTAGTTGAGGACACACATCACAAATAAGTTTCTGAGAATGCTTCTGTCTAGTTTTTATTTGAAGGTATTTCCTTTCTCTCCATAGGCCTGAAAGCGCTTGAAATGCCCACTTCCAGATACTAGAGAAAGAGTGTTTCAAACCTGCTCTATGAAAGGGAATGTTCAATTCTGTGACTTGAATGCAAACATCACAAAGAAGTTCCTGAGAATGCTTCTCTCTAGATATTATATGTCATCCCGTTTCCAACGAAATCCTCAAAGCTATCCAAATATCCACTTGCAGATTCTACAAAAAGAGTGTTTCAAAACTCCTCTGTCAAAAGGATGGTTCAACACTGTTACATGAGTACACACAACACAAAGAAGTTTCTGAGAATGCTTCTTTCTGGTTTCTATGAGAAGATATTTCCTTTTTCACCATAGGACTCAAAGCGCTCGAAATGTCCTCTTCCAGGTAGTGCAGAAAGAGTGTTTCAAACCTGCTCTATGAAAGGAAGTGTACAACTCCATGAGCTGAATGCAAACATCACTGAGAAGTTTCTGAGAATGCTTCTGTTTGATTTTATATGAAGAAATTCCCGTTTCCAACGAAATCTTCAGAGCTATCCACATATCCACCTGCAGATTCTACAAAAGGAGAGTTTCCAAAATGCTGTATCAAAACCAAGGTTCAACTCTGTTAGTTGAGGACACACATCACAAATAAGTTTCTGAGAATGCTTCTGTCTAGATTTTATATGAAGATATCCCCTTTCCAACGAATCCCTCTAAGCTATCCAAATATCCACCTGCAGATTCTACAAAAAGAGTGTTTCCAAAATGCTGTATCAAAACAAAGTTTCAACTCTGTTAGTTGAGGACACACATCACAAATAAGTTTGAGGATGCTTCTGTCTAGTTTTTATTCGAAGATATTTCCTTTCTCACCATAGGCCTGAAAGCGCTTGAAATGTCCACTTCCAGATACTGCAGAATGAGTGTTTCAAACCTGCTCTATCAAAGTGAATGTTCAATTCTGTGACTTCAATGCAAACATCACAAAGAAGTTCCTGAGAATGCTTCTCTCTAGATTTTATACGTAATCCCGCTTCCAACGAAATCCTCAGAGCCATCCGAATATCCACTTTCTGATTCCACAAAAAGAGTGTTTTAAAACGGCTCTGTAAAAACAAAAGTTCAACTCTGTTAGTTGAATACACACATCACAAACAAGTTTCTGAGAATGCTTCTGTCTAGTTTTTATGGGAAGATATTTCCTTTTTCACCATAGGCCTCAAAGCGCTCGAAATGTCCGCTTCCAGATAGTGCAGAAAGAGTGTTTCAAACGTGCTCTATAAAAGGGAATATTCAACTCTGTGACTTGAATGGAAACATCACAAAGCAGTTTCTGAGAATGCTTCCCTCTAGATTTTATATGGAGATATTCCCTTTTCCAACGAAATCTTCAAATCTATCTAAATATCAACTTGCAGATTCTACTCAAGGAATGTTTCCAAAATGCTGTATCCAGGCAATGGTTCAACTCTGTTAATTGAGGACATACAGCACAAAGAAGTTTCTGAGAATGCTTCTGTCTAGATTTTATATGAAGATATCCCGTTTCCAACGAAATCCTCAAAGCTATCCAAATATCCACTTGCAGATTCTACAAAAAGATTGTTTCAAAACTGCTGTGTCAAGAGGAAGGTTCAACTCTGTTACTTGAGTACACACATCAAAAAGAAGTTTCTGAGAATGCTTGTTTCTGGTTTTTATGAGAAGATATTTCCTTTTTCACCATAGGCCTCAAAGCGCTGCAAATGTCCACTTCCAAATATTACAAAAAGAGTGTTTCAAACCTGCTCTATGAAAGGAAGTTTTCAACTCTATGAGTGGAATGCAAACATCACAGAGAAGTTTCTGAGAATGCATCTGTCTTGAGCTTCTATGAAGAAATTCCCGTTTCCAACGAAATCTTAAAATCTATCCAAATATCCACCTGCAGATCCTACAAAAGGAGTGTTTCCAAAATGCTGTATCAAAACAAAGGTTCAACTGTGTTCGTTTAGGACACACATCACAAATAAGTTTCTGAGAATCCTTCTGTCTAGTTTTTATTTGAAGATATTTCCTTTCTCCCCGTAGGCCTGAAAGCGCTTGAAATGTCCACTTCCAGATACTACAGAAAGAGTGTTTCAAACCTGCACTCTGAAAAGGAATGTTCAATTCTGTGACTTGAATGCAAACATCAGAAAGAAGTTCCTGAGAATGCTTCTCTCTAGATTTTATACGTCATCCCGTTTCCAACGAAATCCACAAAGCTATCCAATTATCCACTTTCAGATTCCACAAAGAGTGTTTTAAAATTGCTCTGTAACAGAAATGTTCAACTCTGTTAGTTGAATACACACATCACAAACAAGTTTCTGAGACGGCTTCTGTCTAGTTTTTATGGGAAGATATTTCCTTTTAACCATAGGCCTCAAAGAGCTCGAAATATCCACTTCCAGGTAGTGCCGAAAGAGTGTTTCAAACCTACTCTATAAAAGGGAATATTCAACTCTGTGACTTGAATGCAAACATCACAAAGCAGTTTCTGAGAATGCTTCCGTCTAGATTTTCTATGAAGATATTCCCGTTTCCAACGAAATCTTCAAAGCTATCTAAATATCAACTTGCAGATTCTACTAAAGGAATGTCTCCAAAATGCTGTATCCAAACAAAGGTTCAGCTCTGTGAATTGAGGACATACAGCACAAAGAAGTTTCTGAGAATGCTCCTGTCTGGATTTTATAGGAAGATAACCCGTTTCCAACGAAATCCTCAAAGCTATCCAAATATCCACTTGCAGATTCTACCAAAAGAGTGTTTCAAAACTGCTCTGTCAAAAGGAAGGTTCAACACTGTTACTTGAGTACACACAACACAAAGAAGTTTCTGAGAATGCTTCTTTCTGGTTTTTATGAGAAGATATTTCCTTTTTCACCATAGGCCTCAAAGCGCTCGAAATGTCCGCTTCCAGGTAGTGCAGAAAGAGTGTTTCAAACCTGCTCTATGAAAGGAAGTGTTCAACTCTACTGAGTTGAATGCAAACATCACAGAGATGTTTCCGAGAATGCTTCTGTCTTGATTTTATATGAAGATATTCCGGTTTCCAACGAAATCTTCAAAGCTATCCAAATATCCACCTGCAGATTCTACAAAAGGAGTGTTTCCAAAATGCTGTATCAAAACAAAGGTTCAACTCTGTTAGTTGAGGACACACATCACAAATAAGTTTCTGAGAATGCTTCTGTCTAGTTTTTATTTGAAGGTATTTCCTTTCTCTCCATAGGCCTGAAAGCGCTTGAAATGCCCACTTCCAGATACTAGAGAAAGAGTGTTTCAAACCTGCTCTATGAAAGGGAATGTTCAATTCTGTGACTTGAATGCAAACATCACAAAGAAGTTCCTGAGAATGCTTCTCTCTAGATATTATATGTCATCCCGTTTCCAACGAAATCCTCAAAGCTATCCAAATATCCACTTGCAGATTCTACAAAAAGAGTGTTTCAAAACTGCTCTGTCAAAAGGATGGTTCAACACTGTTACATGAGTACACACAACACAAAGAAGTTTCTGAGAATGCTTCTTTCTGGTTTCTATGAGAAGATATATCCTTTTTCACCATAGGACTCAAAGCGCTCGAAATGTCCTCTTCCAGGTAGTGCAGAAAGAGTGTTTCAAACCTGCTCTATGAAAGGAAGTGTACAACTCCATGAGCTGAATGCAAACATCACTGAGAAGTTTCTGAGAATGCTTCTGTTTGATTTTATATGAAGAAATTCCCGTTTCCAACGAAATCTTCAGAGCTATCCACATATCCACCTGCAGATTCTACAAAAGGAGTGTTTCCAAAATGCTGTATCAAAACCAAGGTTCAACTCTGTTAGTTGAGGACACACATCACAAATAAGTTTCTGAGAATGCTTCTGTCTAGATTTTATATGAAGATATCCCCTTTCCAACGAATCCCTCTAAGCTATCCAAATATCCACCTGCAGATTCTACAAAAAGAGTGTTTCCAAAATGCTGTATCAAAACAAAGTTTCAACTCTGTTAGTTGAGGACACACATCACAAATAAGTTTGAGGATGCTTCTGTCTAGTTTTTATTCGAAGATATTTCCTTTCTCACCATAGGCCTGAAAGCGCTTGAAATGTCCACTTCCAGATACTACAGAATGAGTGTTTCAAACCTGCTCTATCAAAGTGAATGTTCAATTCTGTGACTTCAATGCAAACATCAGAAAGAAGTTCCTGAGAATGCTTCTCTCTAGATTTTATACGTAATCCCGCTTCCAACGAAATCCTCAGAGCCATCCGAATATCCACTTTCTGATTCCACAAAAAGAGTGTTTTAAAACGGCTCTGTAAAAACAAAAGTTCAACTCTGTTAGTTGAATACACACATCACAAACAAGTTTCTGAGAATGCTTTTTCCAACGAAATCTTCAAATCTATCTAAATATCAACTTGCAGATTCTACTCAAGGAATGTTTCCAAAATGCTGTATCCAGGCAATGGTTCAACTCTGTTAATTGAGGACATACAGCACAAAGAAGTTTCTGAGAATGCTTCTGTCTAGATTTTATATGAAGATATCCCGTTTCCAACGAAATCCTCAAAGCTATCCAAATATCCACTTGCAGATTCTACAAAAAGATTGTTTCAAAACTGCTGTGTCAAAAGGAAGGTTCAACTCTGTTACTTGAGTACACACATCAAAAAGAAGTTTCTGAGAATGCTTGTTTCTGGTTTTTATGAGAAGATATTTCCTTTTTCACCATAGGCCTCAAAGCGCTGCAAATGTCCACTTCCAAATATTACAAAAAGAGTGTTTCAAACCTGCTCTATGAAAGGAAGTTTTCAACTCTATGAGTGGAATGCAAACATCACAGAGAAGTTTCTGAGAATGCATCTGTCTTGAGTTTATATGCAGAAATTCCCGTTTCCAACGAAATCTTAAAATCTATCCAAATATCCACCTGCAGATCCTACAAAAGGAGTGTTTCCAAAATGCTGTATCAAAACAAAGGTTCAACTGTGTTCGTTTAGGACACACATCACAAATAAGTTTCTGAGAATCCTTCTGTCTAGTTTTTATTTGAAGATATTTCCTTTCTCCCCGTAGGCCTGAAAGCGCTTGAAATGTCCACTTCCAGATACTACAGAAAGAGTGTGTTTCAAACCTGCACTCTGAAAAGGAATGTTCAATTCTGTGACTTGAATGCAAACATCAGAAAGAAGTTCCTGAGAATGCTTCTCTCTAGATTTTATACGTCATCCCGTTTCCAACGAAATCCACAAAGCTATCCAATTATCCACTTTCAGATTCCACAAAAAGAGTGTTTTAAAATTGCTCTGTAACAGAAATGTTCAACTCTGGTAGTTGAATACACACATCACAAACAAGTTTCTGAGACGGCTTCTGTCTAGTTTTTATGGGAAGATATTTCCTTTTAACCATAGGCCTCAAAGAGCTCGAAATATCCACTTCCAGGTAGTGCCGAAAGAGTGTTTCAAACCTACTCTATAAAAGGGAATATTCAACTCTGTGACTTGAATGCAAACATCACAAAGCAGTTTCTGAGAATGCTTCCGTCTAGATTTTCTATGAAGATATTCCCGTTTCCAACGAAATCTTCAAAGCTATCTAAATATCAACTTGCAGATTCTACTAAAGGAATGTCTCCAAAATGCTGTATCCAAACAAAGGTTCAGCTCTGTGAATTGAGGACATACAGCACAAAGAAGTTTCTGAGAATGCTTCTGTCTAGATTTAATATGAAGATAACCCGTTTCCAACGAAATCCTCAAAGCTATCCAAATATCCACTTGCAGATTCTACAAAAAGACTGTTTCAAAACTGCTCTGTCAAAAGGAAGGTTCAACACTGTTACTTGAGTACACACAACACAAAGAAGTTTCTGAGAATGCTTCTTTCTGGTTTTTATGTGAAGATATTTCCTTTTTCACCATAGGCCTCAAAGCGCTCGAAATGTCCGCTTCCAGGTAGTGCAGAAAGAGTGTTTCAAACCTGCTCTATGAAAGGAAGTGTTCAACTCTACTGAGTTGAATGCAAACATCACAGAGATGTTTCCGAGAATGCTTCTGTCTTGATTTTATATGAAGATATTCCGGTTTCCAACGAAATCTTCAAAGCTATCCAAATATCCACCTGCAGATTCTACAAAAGGAGTGTTTCCAAAATGCTGTATCAAAACAAAGGTTCAACTCTGTTAGTTGAGGACACACATCACAAATAAGTTTCTGAGAATGCTTCTGTCTAGTTTTTATTTGAAGGTATTTCCTTTCTCTCCATAGGCCTGAAAGCGCTTGAAATGCCCACTTCCAGATACTAGAGAAAGAGTGTTTCAAACCTGCTCTATGAAAGGGAATGTTCAATTCTGTGACTTGAATGCAAACATCACAAAGAAGTTCCTGAGAATGCTTCTCTCTAGATTTTATACGTAATCCCGCTTCCAACGAAATCCTCAGAGCCATCGGAATATCCACTTTCTGATTCCACAAAAAGAGTGTTTCAAAACTGCTCTGTCAAAAGGATGGTTCAACACTGTTACATGAGTACACACAACACAAAGAAGTTTCTGAGAATGCTTCTTTCTGGTTTCTATGAGAAGATATTTCCTTTTTCACCATAGGACTCAAAGCGCTCGAAATGTCCTCTTCCAGGTAGTGCAGAAAGAGTGTTTCAAACCTGCTCTATGAAAGGAAGTGTACAACTCCATGAGCTGAATGCAAACATCACTGAGAAGTTTCTGAGAATGCTTCTGTTTGATTTTATATGAAGAAATTCCCGTTTCCAACGAAATCTTCAGAGCTATCCACATATCCACCTGCAGATTCTACAAAAGGAGTGTTTCCAAAATGCTGTATCAAAACCAAGGTTCAACTCTGTTAGTTGAGGACACACATCACAAATTAGTTTCTGAGAATGCTTCTGTCTAGATTTTATATGAAGATATCCCCTTTCCAACGAATCCCTCTAAGCTATCCAAATATCCACCTGCAGATTCTACAAAAAGAGTGTTTCCAAAATGCTGTATCAAAACAAAGTTTCAACTCTGTTAGTTGAGGACACACATCACAAATAAGTTTGAGGATGCTTCTGTCTAGTTTTTATTTGAAGATATTTCCTTTCTCACCATAGGCCTGAAAGCGCTTGAAATGTCCACTTCCAGATACTACAGAATGAGTGTTTCAAACCTGCTCTATAAAAGTGAATGTTCAATTCTGTGACTTCAATGCAAACATCACAAAGAAGTTCCTGAGAATGCTTCTCTCTAGATTTTATATGTAATCCCGCTTCCAACGAAATCCTCAGAGCCATCCGAATATCCACTTTCTGATTCCACAAAAAGAGTGTTTTAAAACGGCTCTGTAAAAACAAAAGTTCAACTCTGTTAGTTGAATACACACATCACAAACAAGTTTCTGAGAATGCTTCTGTCTAGTTTTTATGGGAAGATATTTCCTTTTTCACCATAGGCCTCAAAGCGCTCGAAATGTCCACTTCCAGATAGTGCAGAAAGAGTGTTTCAAACGTGCTCTATAAAAGGGAATATTCAACTCTGTGACTTGAATGGAAACATCACAAAGCAGTTTCTGAGAATGCTTCCCTCTAGATTTTATATGGAGATATTCCATTTTCGAACGAAATCTTCAAATCTATCTAAATATCAACTTGCAGATTCTACTCAAGGAATGTTTCCAAAATGCTGTATGCAAGCAATGGTTCAACTCTGTTAATTGAGGTCATACAGCACAAAGAAGTTTCTGAGAATGCTTCTGTCTAGATTTTATATGAAGATATCCCGTTTCCAACGAAATCCTCAAAGCTATCCAAATATCCACTTGCAGATTCTACAAAAAGATTGTTTCAAAACTGCTGTGTCAAGAGGAAGGTTCAACTCTGTTACTTGAGTACACACATCAAAAAGAAGTTTCTGAGAATGCTTGTTTCTGGTTTTTATGAGAAGATATTTCCTTTTTCACCATAGGCCTCAAAGCGCTGCAAATGTCCACTTCCAAATATTACAAAAAGAGTGTTTCAAACCTGCTCTATGAAAGGAAGTTTTCAACTCTATGAGTGGAATGCAAACATCACAGAGAAGTTTCTGAGAACGCATCTGTCTTGAGCTTCTATGAAGAAATTCCCGTTTCCAACGAAATCTTAAAATCTATCCAAATATCCACCTGCAGATCCTACAAAAGGAGTGTTTCCAAAATGCTGTATCAAAACAAAGGTTCAACTGTGTTCGTTTAGGACACACATCACAAATAAGTTTCTGAGAATCCTTCTGTCTGGTTTTTATTTGAAGAGATTTCCTTTCTCCCCGTAGGCCTGAAAGCGCTTGAAATGTCCACTTCCAGATACTACAGAAAGAGTGTTTCAAACCTGCACTCTGAAAAGGAATGTTCAATTCTGTGACTTGAATGCAAACATCAGAAAGAAGTTCCTGAGAATGCTTCTCTCTAGATTTTATACGTCATCCCGTTTCCAACGAAATCCACAAAGCTATCCAATTATCCACTTTCAGATTTCACAGAAAGAGTGTTTTAAAATTGCTCTGTAACAGAAATGTTCAACTCTGTTAGTTGAATACACACATCACAAACAAGTTTCTGAGACGGCTTCTGTCTAGTTTTTATGGGAAGATATTTCCTTTTAAGCATAGGCCTCAAAGAGCTCGAAATATCCACTTCCAGGTAGTGCCGAAAGAGTGTTTCAAACCTACTCTATAAAAGGGAATATTCAACTCTGTGACTTGAATGCAAACATCACAAAGCAGTTTATGAGAATGCTTCCGTCTAGATTTTCTATGAAGATATTCCCGTTTCCAATGAAATCTTCAAAGCTATCTAAATATCAACTTGCAGATTCTACTAAAGGAATGTTTCCAAAATGCTGTATCCAAACAAAGGTTCAGCTCTGTGAATTGAGGACATACAGCACAAAGAAGTTTCTGTGAATGCTCCTGTCTGGATTTTATATGAAGATAACCCGTTTCCAACGAAATCCTCAAAGCTATCCAAATATCCACTTGCAGATTCTACCAAAAGAGTGTTTCAAACCTGCTCTGTCAAAAGGAAGGTTCAACACTGTTACTTGAGTACACACAACACAAAGAAGTTTCTGAGAATGCTTCTTTCTGGTTTTTATGAGAAGATATTTCCTTTTTCACCATAGGCCTCAAAGCGCTCGAAATGTCCGCTTCCAGGTAGTGCAGAAAGAGTGTTTCAAACCTGCTCTATGAAAGGAAGTGTTCAACTCCATGAGCTGAATGCAAACATCACAGAGAAGTTTCTGAGAATGCTTCTGTTTGATTTTATATGAAGAAATTCCCGTTTCCAACGAAATCTTCAAAGCTATCCACATATCCACCTGCAGATTCTACAAAAGGAGTGTTTCCAAAATGCTGTATCAAAACCAAGGTTCAACTCTGTTAGTTGAGGACACACATCAAAAATAAGTTTCTGAGAATGCTTCTGTCTAGATTTTATATGAAGATATCCCCTTTCCAACGAATCCCTCTAAGCTATCCAAATATGCACCTGCAGATTCTACAAAAAGAGTGTTTCCAAAAGGCTGTATCAAAACAAAGTTTCAACTCTGTTAGTTGAGGACACACATCACAAATAAGTTTCTGACGATGCTTCTGTCTAGTTTTTATTTGAAGATATTTCCTTTCTCACCATAGGCCTGAAAGCGCTTGAAATGTCCACTTCCAGATACTACAGAATGAGTGTTTCAAACCTGCTCTATCAAAGTGAATGTTCAATTCTGTGACTTCAATGCAAACATCACAAAGAAGTTCCTGAGAATGCTTCTCTCTAGATTTTATATGTAATCCCGCTTCCAACGAAATCCTCAGAGCCATCCGAATATCCACTTTCTGATTCCACAAAAAGAGTGTTTTAAAACTGCTCTGTAGAAACAAAAGTTCAACTCAGTTAAATACACACATCACAAACAAGTTTCTGAGAATGCTTCTGTCTAGTTTTTATGGGAAGATATTTCCTTTTTCACCATAGGCCTCAAAGCGCTCGAAATGTCCACTTCCAGGTAGTGCAGAAAGAGTGTTTCAAACGTGCTCTATAAAAGAGAATATTCAACTCTGTGACTTGAATGGAAACATCCCAAAGCAGTTTCTGAGAATGCTTCCGTCTAGATTTTATATGAAGATATTCCCGTTTCCAACGAAATCTTCAAATCTATCTAAATATCAACTTGCAGATTCTACTAAAGGAATGTTTCCAAAATGCTGTATCCAAGCAATGGTTCAACTCTGTTAATTGAGGACATACAGCACAAAGAAGTTTCTGAGAATGCTTCTGTCTAGATTTTATATGAAGATATCCCGTTTCCAACGAAATCCTCAAAGCTATCCAAATATCCACTTGCAGATTCTACAAAAAGATTGTTTCAAAACTGCTGTGTCAAAAGGAAGGTTCAACTCTGTTACTCGAGTACACACATCAAAAAGAAGTTTCTGAGAATGCTTGTTTCTGGTTTTTATGAGAAGATATTTCCTTTTTCACCATAGGCCTCAAAGCGCTGCAAATGTCCACTTCCAAATATTACAAAAAGAGTGTTTCAAACCTGCTCTATGAAAGGAAGTTTTCAACTCTATGAGTGGAATGCAAACATCACAGAGAAGTTTCGGAGAATGCATCTGTCTTGAGTTTATATGAAGAAATTCCCGTTTCCAACGAAATCTTAAAATCTATCCAAATATCCACCTGCAGATTCTACAAAGGGAGTGTTTCCAAAATGCTGTATCAAAACAAAGGTTCAACTGCGTTCGTTTAGGACACACATCACCAATAAGTTTCTGAGAATCCTTCTGTCTAGTTTTTATTTGAAGATATTTCCTTTCTCCCCATAGGCCTGAAAGCGCTTGAAATGTCCACTTCCAGATACTACAGAAAGAGTGTTTCAAACCTGCACTATGAAAAGGAATGTTCAATTCTGTGACTTGAATGCAAACCTCAGAAAGAAGTTCCTGAGAATGCTTCTCTCTAGATTTTATACGTCATCCCGTTTCCAACGAAATCCACAAAGCTATCTAATTATCCACTTTCAGATTCCACAAAAAGAGTGTTTTAAAACTGCTCTGTAAAAAGAAATGTTCAACGCTCTTAGTTGAATACACACATCTCAAACAAGTTTCTGAGAAGGCTTCCGTCTAGTTTTTATGGGAAGATATTTCCTTTTTCACCATAGGCCTCAAAGCGCTCGAAATCTCCACTTCCAGGGAGTGCAGAAAGAGTGTTTCAAACCTGCTCTGTAAAAGAATATTTAACTCTGTGACTTCAATGCAAACATCACAAAGCAGTTTCTGACAATGCTTCCGTCTAGATTTTTTATGAAGATATTCCCGTTTCCAACGAAATCTTCAAAGCTATCTAAATATCAACTTGCAGATTCTACTAAAGGAATGTTTCCAAAATGCTGTATCCAAACAAAGGTTCAACTCTGTGAATTGAGGACATACAGCACAAAGAAGTTTCTGAGAATGCTTCTGTCTAGATTTAATATGAAGATAACCCGTTTCCAACGAAATCCTCAAATCTATCCAAATATCCACTTGCAGATTCTACAAAAAGAGTGTTTCAAAACTGCTCTGTCAAAAGGATGGTTCAACACTGTTACATGAGTACACACAACACAAAGAAGTTTCTGAGAACGCTCTTTCTGGTTTTTATGAGAAGATATTTCCTTTTTCACCATAGGCCTCAAAGCGCTCGAAATGTCCACTTCCTGGTAGTGCAGAAAGAGTGTTTCAAACCTGCTCTATGAAAGGAAGTGTTCAACTCCATGAGCTGAATGCAAACATCACAGAGAAGTTTCTGAGAATGCTTTCTGTTTGATTTTATATGAAGAAATTCCCGTTTCCAACGAAATCTTCAAAGCTATCCACATATCCACCAGCAGATTCTTCAAAAGGAGTGTTTCCAAAATGCCGTATCAAAACCAAGGTTCAACTCTGTTAGTTGAGGACACACATCACAAATAAGTTTCTGAGAATGCTTCTGTCTAGGATTTTATATGAAGATATCCCCTTTCCAACGAATCCCTCTAAGCTATCCAAATATCCACCTGCAGATTCTACAAAAAGAGTGTTTCCAAAATGCTGTATCAAAACAAAGTTTCAACTCTGTTAGTTGAGGACACACATCACAAATAAGTTTGAGGATGCTTCTGTCTAGTTTTTATTCGAAGATATTTCCTTTCTCACCATAGGCCTGAAAGCGCTTGAAATGTCCACTTCCAGATACTACAGAATGAGTGTTTCAAACCTGCTCTATCAAAGTGAATGTTCAATTCTGTGACTTCAATGCAAACATCACAAAGAAGTTCCTGAGAATGCTTCTCTCTAGATTTTATATGTAATCCCGCTTCCAACGAAATCCTCAGAGCCATCCGAATATCCACTTTCTGATTCCACAAAAAGAGTGTTTTAAAACGGCTCTGTAAAAACAAAAGTTCAACTCTGTTAGTTGAATACACACATCACAAACAAGTTTCTGAGAATGCTTCTGTCTAGTTTTTATGGGAAGATATTTCCTTTTTCACCATAGGCCTCAAAGCGCTCGAAATGTCCACTTCTAGATAGTGCAGAAAGAGTGTTTCAAAAGTGCTCTATAAAAGAGAATATTCAACTCTGTGACTTGAATGGAAACATCACAAAGCAGTTTCTGAGAATGCCTCCGTCTAGATTTTATATGAAGATATTCCCGTTTCCAACGAAATCTTCAAATCTATCTAAATATCAACTTGCAGATTCTACTAAAGGAATGTTTCCAAAATGCTGTATCCAAGCAATGGTTCAACTCTGTTAATTGAGGACATACAGCACAAAGAAGTTTCTGAGAATGCTTCTGTCTAGATTTTATATGAAGATATCCCGTTTCCAACGAAATCCTCAAAGCTATCCAAATATCCACTTGCAGATTCTACAAAAAGATTGTTTCAAAACTGCTGTGTCAAAAGGAAGGTTCAACTCTGTTACTTGAGTACACACATCAAAAAGCAGTTTCTGAGAATGCTTGTTTCTGGTTTTTATGAGAAGATATTTCCTTTTTCACCATAGGCCTCAAAGCGCTGCAAATGTCCACTTCCAAATATTACAAAAAGAGTGTTTCAAACCTGCTCTATGAAAGAAAGTTTTCAACTCTGTGAGTGGAATGCAAACATCACAGAGAAGTTTCTGAGAATGCATCTGTCTTGAGTTTATATGAAGAAATTCCCGTTTCCAATGAAATCTTAAAATCTATCCAAATATCCACCTGCAGATTCTACAAAAGGAGTGTTTCCAAAATGCTGTATCAAAACAAAGGTTCAACTGTGTTCGTTTAGGACACACATCACAAATAAGTTTCTGAGAATCCTTCTGTCTAGTTTTTATTTGAAGATATTTCCTTTCTCCCCATAGGCCTGAAAGCGCTTGAAATGTCCACTTCCAGATACTACAGAAAGAGTGTTTCAAACCTGCACTCTGAAAAGGAATGTTCAATTCTGTGACTTGAATGCAAACATCAGAAAGAAGTTCCTGAGAATGCTTCTCTCTAGATTTTATACGTCATCCCGTTTCCAACGAAATCCACAAAGCTATCCAATTATCCACTTTCAGATTCCACAAAAAGAGTGTTTTAAAATTGCTCTGTAACACAAATGTTCCACTCTGGTAGTTGAATACACACATCACAAACAAGTTTCTGAGACGGCTTCTGTCTAGTTTTTATGGGAAGATATTTCCTTTTAACCATAGGCCTCAAAGAGCTCGAAATATCCACTTCCAGGTAGTGCCGAAAGAGTGTTTCAAACCTACTCTATAAAAGGGAATATTCAACTCTGTGACTTGAATGCAAACATCACAAAGCAGTTTCTGAGAATGCTTCCGTCTAGATTTTCTATGAAGATATTCCCGTTTCCAACGAAATCTTCAAAGCTATCTAAATATCAACTTGCAGATTCTACTAAAGGAATGTCTCCAAAATGCTGTATCCAAACAAAGGTTCAGCTCTGTGAATTGAGGACATACAGCACAAAGAAGTTTCTGAGAATGCTCCTGTCTGGATTTTATAGGAAGATAACCCGTTTCCAACGAAATCCTCAAAGCTATCCAAATATCCACTTGCAGATTCTACCAAAAGAGTGTTTCAAAACTGCTCTGTCAAAAGGAAGGTTCAACACTGTTACTTGAGTACACACAACACAAAGAAGTTTCTGAGAATGCTTCTTTCTGGTTTTTATGAGAAGATATTTCCTTTTTCACCATAGGCCTCAAAGCGCTCGAAATGTCCGCTTCCAGGTAGTGCAGAAAGAGTGTTTCAAACCTGCTCTATGAAAGGAAGTGTTCAACTCTACTGAGTTGAATGCAAACATCACAGAGATGTTTCCGAGAATGCTTCTGTCTTGATTTTATATGAAGATATTCCGGTTTCCAACGAAATCTTCAAAGCTATCCAAATATCCACCTGCAGATTCTACAAAAGGAGTGTTTCCAAAATGCTGTATCAAAACAAAGGTTCAACTCTGTTAGTTGAGGACACACATCACAAATAAGTTTCTGAGAATGCTTCTGTCTAGTTTTTATTTGAAGGTATTTCCTTTCTCTCCATAGGCCTGAAAGCGCTTGAAATGCCCACTTCCAGATACTAGAGAAAGAGTGTTTCAAACCTGCTCTATGAAAGGGAATGTTCAATTCTGTGACTTGAATGCAAACATCACAAAGAAGTTCCTGAGAATGCTTCTCTCTAGATATTATATGTCATCCCGTTTCCAACGAAATCCTCAAAGCTATCCAAATATCCACTTGCAGATTCTACAAAAAGAGTGTTTCAAAACTGCTCTGTCAAAAGGATGGTTCAACACTGTTACATGAGTACACACAACACAAAGAAGTTTCTGAGAATGCTTCTTTCTGGTTTCTATGAGAAGATATTTCCTTTTTCACCATAGGACTCAAAGCGCTCGAAATGTCCTCTTCCAAGTAGTGCAGAAAGAGTGTTTCAAACCTGCTCTATGAAAGGAAGTGTACAACTCCATGAGCTGAATGCAAACATCACTGAGAAGTTTCTGAGAATGCTTCTGTTTGATTTTATATGAAGAAATTCCCGTTTCCAACGAAATCTTCAGAGCTATCCACATATCCACCTGCAGATTCTACAAAAGGAGTGTTTCCAAAATGCTGTATCAAAACCAAGGTTCAACTCTGTTAGTTGAGGACACACATCACAAATAAGTTTCTGAGAATGCTTCTGTCTAGATTTTATATGAAGATATCCCCTTTCCAACGAATCCCTCTAAGCTATCCAAATATCCACCTGCAGATTCTACAAAAAGAGTGTTTCCAAAATGCTGTATCAAAACCAAGGTTCAACTCTGTTAGTTGAGGACACACATCACAAATAAGTTTCTGAGGATGCTTCTGTCTAGTTTTTATTCGAAGATATTTCCTTTCTCACCATAGGCCTGAAAGCGCTTGAAATGTCCACTTCCAGATCCTACAGAATGAGTGTTTCAAACCTGCTCTATCAAAGTGAATGTTCAATTCTGTGACTTCAATGCAAACATCACAAAGAAGTTCCTGAGAATGCTTCTCTCTAGATTATATATGTAATCCCGCTTCCAACGAAATCCTCAAAGCCATCCGAATATCCACTTTCTGATTCCACAAAAAGATTGTCTTAAAACTGCTCTGTAAAAACAAAAGTTCAAGTCTGTTAGTTGAATACACACATCATAAACAAGTTTCTGAGAATGCTTCTGTCTAGTTTTTATGGGAAGATATTTCCTTTTTCACCATAGGCCTCACAGCGCTCGAAATGTCCACTTCCAGATAGTGCAGAAAGAGTGTTTCAAACGTGCTCTATAAAAGAGAATATTCAACTCTGTGACTTCAATGGAAACATCACAAAGCAGTTTCTGAGAATGCCTCCGTCTAGATTTTATATGAAGATATTCCCGTTTCCAACGAAATCTTCAAATCTATCTAAATATCAACTTGCAGATTCTACTAAAGGAATGTTTCCAAAATGCTGTGTCCAAGCAATGGTTCAACTCTGTTAATTGAGGACATACAGCACAAAGAAGTTTCTGAGAATGCTTCTGTCTAGATTTTATATGAAGATATCCCGTTTCCAACGAAATCCTCAAAGCTATCCAAATATCCACTTGCAGATTCTACAAAAAGATTGTTTCAAAACTGCTGTGTCAAAAGGAAGGTTCAACTCTGTTACTTGAGTACACACATCAAAAAGCAGTTTCTGAGAATGCTTGTTTCTGGTTTTTATGAGAAGATATTTCCTTTTTCACCATAGGCCTCAAAGCGCTGCAAATGTCCACTTCCAAATATTACAAAAAGAGTGTTTCAAACCTGCTCTATGAAAGGAAGTTTTCAACTCTATGAGTGGAATGCAAACATCACAGAGAAGTTTCTGAGAATGCATCTGTCTTGAGTTTATATGAAGAAATTCCCGTTTCCAATGAAATCTTAAAATCTATCCAAATATCCACCTGCAGATTCTACAAAAGGAGTGTTTCCAAAATGCTGTATCAAAACAAAGGTTCAACTGTGTTCGTTTAGGACACACATCACAAATAAGTTTCTGAGAATCCTTCTGTCTAGTTTTTATTTGAAGATATTTCCTTTCTCCCCGTAGGCCTGAAAGCGCTTGAAATGTCCACTTCCAGATACTACAGAAAGAGTGTTTCAAACCTGCACTCTGAAAAGGAATGTTCAATTCTGTGACTTGAATGCAAACATCAGAAAGAAGTTCCTGAGAATGCTTCTCTCTAGATTTTATACGTAATCCCGCTTCCAACGAAATCCTCAGAGCCATCCGAATATCCACTTTCTGATTCCACAAAAAGAGTGTTTTAAAACGGCTCTGTAAAAACAAAAGTTCAACTCTGTTAGTTGAATACACACATCACAAACAAGTTTCTGAGAATGCTTCTGTCTAGTTTTTATGGGAAGATATTTCCTTTTTCACCATAGGCCTCAAAGCGCTCGAAATGTCCGCTTCCAGATAGTGCAGAAAGAGTGTTTCAAACGTGCTCTATAAAAGGGAATATTCAACTCTGTGACTTGAATGGAAACATCACAAAGCAGTTTCTGAGAATGCTTCCCTCTAGATTTTATATGGAGATATTCCCTTTTCCAACGAAATCTTCAAATCTATCTAAATATCAACTTGCAGATTCTACTCAAGGAATGTTTCCAAAATGCTGTATCCAGGCAATGGTTCAACTCTGTTAATTGAGGACATACAGCACAAAGAAGTTTCTGAGAATGCTTCTGTCTAGATTTTATATGAAGATATCCCGTTTCCAACGAAATCCTCAAAGCTATCCAAATATCCACTTGCAGATTCTACAAAAAGATTGTTTCGAAACTGCTGTGTCAAGAGGAAGGTTCAACTCTGTTACTTGAGTACACACATCAAAAAGAAGTTTCTGAGAATGCTTGTTTCTGGTTTTTATGAGAAGATATTTCCTTTTTCACCATAGGCCTCAAAGCGCTGCAAATGTCCACTTCCAAATATTACAAAAAGAGTGTTTCAAACCTGCTCTATGAAAGGAAGTTTTCAACTCTATGAGTGGAATGCAAACATCACAGAGAAGTTTCTGAGAATGCATCTGTCTTGAGCTTCTATGAAGAAATTCCCGTTTCCAACGAAATCTTAAAATCTATCCAAATATCCACCTGCAGATCCTACAAAAGGAGTGTTTCCAAAATGCTGTATCAAAACAAAGGTTCAACTGTGTTCGTTTAGGACACACATCACAAATAAGTTTCTGAGAATCCTTCTGTCTAGTTTTTATTTGAAGATATTTCCTTTCTCCCCGTAGGCCTGAAAGCGCTTGAAATGTCCACTTCCAGATACTACAGAAAGAGTGTTTCAAACCTGCACTCTGAAAAGGAATGTTCAATTCTGTGACTTGAATGCAAACATCAGAAAGAAGTTACCTGAGAATGCTTCTCTCTAGATTTTATATGTCATCCCGTTTCCAACGAAATCCACAAAGCTATCCAATTATCCACTTTCAGATTCCACAAAAAGAGCGTTTTAAAATTGCTCTGTAACAGAAATGTTCAACTCTGGTAGTTGAATACACACATCACAAACAAGTTTCTGAGACGGCTTCTGTCTAGTTTTTATGGGAAGATATTTCCTTTTAACCATAGGCCTCAAAGAGCTCGAAATATCCACTTCCAGGTAGTGCCGAAAGAGTGTTTCAAACCTACTCTATAAAAGGGAATATTCAACTCTGTGACTTGAATGCAAACATCACAAAGCAGTTTCTGAGAATGCTTCCGTCTAGATTTTCTATGAAGATATTCCCGTTTCCAACGAAATCTTCAAAGCTATCTAAATATCAACTTGCAGATTCTACTAAAGGAATGTCTCCAAAATGCTGTATCCAAACAAAGGTTCAGCTCTGTGAATTGAGGACATACAGCACAAAGAAGTTTCTGAGAATGCTCCTGTCTGGATTTTATATGAAGATAACCCGTTTCCAACGAAATCCTCAAAGCTATCCAAATATCCACTTGCAGATTCTACCAAAAGAGTGTTTCAAAACTGCTCTGTCAAAAGGAAGGTTCAACACTGTTACTTGAGTACACACAACACAAAGAAGTTTCTGAGAATGCTTCTTTCTGGTTTTTATGAGAAGATATTTCCTTTTTCACCATAGGCCTCAAAGCGCTCGAAATGTCCGCTTCCAGGTAGTGCAGAAAGAGTGTTTCAAACCTGCTCTATGAAAGGAAGTGTTCAACTCTACTGAGTTGAATGCAAACATCACAGAGATGTTTCCGAGAATGCTTCTGTCTTGATTTTATATGAAGATATTCCGGTTTCCAACGAAATCTTCAAAGCTATCCAAATATCCACCTGCAGATTCTACAAAAGGAGTGTTTCCAAAATGCTGTATCAAAACAAAGGTTCAACTCTGTTAGTTGAGGACACACATCACAAATAAGTTTCTGAGAATGCTTCTGTCTAGTTTTTATTTGAAGGTATTTCCTTTCTCTCCATAGGCCTGAAAGCGCTTGAAATGCCCACTTCCAGATACTAGAGAAAGAGTGTTTCAAACCTGCTCTATGAAAGGGAATGTTCAATTCTGTGACTTGAATGCAAACATCACAAAGAAGTTCCTGAGAATGCTTCTCTCTAGATATTATATGTCATCCCGTTTCCAACGAAATCCTCAAAGCTATCCAAATATCCACTTGCAGATTCTACAAAAAGAGTGTTTCAAAACTCCTCTGTCAAAAGGATGGTTCAACACTGTTACATGAGTACACACAACACAAAGAAGTTTCTGAGAATGCTTCTTTCTGGTTTCTATGAGAAGATATTTCCTTTTTCACCATAGGACTCAAAGCGCTCGAAATGTCCTCTTCCAGGTAGTGCAGAAAGAGTGTTTCAAACCTGCTCTATGAAAGGAAGTGTACAACTCCATGAGCTGAATGCAAACATCACTGAGAAGTTTCTGAGAATGCTTCTGTTTGATTTTATATGAAGAAATTCCCGTTTCCAACGAAATCTTCAGAGCTATCCACATATCCACCTGCAGATTCTACAAAAGGAGTGTTTCCAAAATGCTGTATCAAAACCAAGGTTCAACTCTGTTAGTTGAGGACACACATCACAAATAAGTTTCTGAGAATGCTTCTGTCTAGATTTTATATGAAGATATCCCCTTTCCAACGAATCCCTCTAAGCTATCCAAATATCCACCTGCAGATTCTACAAAAAGAGTGTTTCCAAAATGCTGTATCAAAACAAAGTTTCAACTCTGTTAGTTGAGGACACACATCACAAATAAGTTTGAGGATGCTTATCTGTCTAGTTTTAATTTGAAGATATTTCCTTTCTCCCCATAGGCCTGAAAGCGCTTGAAATGTCCACTTCCAGATACTACAGAATGAGTGTTTCAAACCTGCTCTATCAAAGTGAATGTTCAATTCCGTGACTTCAATGCAAACATCACAAAGTAGTTCCTGAGAATGCTTCTCTCTAGATTTTATATGTAATCCCGCTTCCAACGAAATCCTCAAAGCCATCCGAATATCCACTTTCTGATTCCACAAAAAGATTGTTTTAAAACTGCTCTGTAAAAACAAAAGTTCAAGTCTGTTAGTTGAATACACACATCACAAACAAGTTTCTGAGAATACTTCTGTCTAGTTTTTATGGGAAGATACTTCCTTTTTCACCATAGGCCTCAAAGCGCTCGAAATGTCCACTTCCAGATAGTGCAGAAAGAGTGTTTCAAACGTGCTCTATAAAAGAGAATATTCAACTCTGTGACTTGAATGGAAACATCACAAAGCAGTTTCTGAGAATGCCTCCGTCTAGATTTTATATGAAGATATTCCCGTTTCCAACGAAATCTTCAAAGCTATCTAAATATCAACTTGCAGATTCTACTAAAGGAATGTTTCCAAAATGCTGTATCCAAGCAATGGTTCAACTCTGTTAATTGAGGACATACAGCACAAAGAAGTTTCTGAGAATGCTTCTGTCTAGATTTTATATGAAGATATCCCGTTTCCAACGAAATCCTCAAAGCTATCCAAATATCCACTTGCAGATTCTACAAAAAGATTGTTTCAAAACTGCTGTGTCAAGAGGAAGGTTCAACTCTGTTACTTGAGTACACACATCAAAAAGAAGTTTCTGAGAATGCTTGTTTCTGGTTTTTATGAGAAGATATTTCCTTTTTCACCATAGGCCTCAAAGCGCTGCAAATGTCCACTTCCAAATATTACAAAAAGAGTGTTTCAAACCTGCTCTATGAAAGGAAGTTTTCAACTCCATGAGTGGAATGCAAACATCACAGAGAAGTTTCTGAGAATGCATCTGTCTTGAGCTTCTATGAAGAAATTCCCGTTTCCAACGAAATCTTAAAATCTATCCAAATATCCACCTGCAGATCCTACAAAAGGAGTGTTTCCAAAATGCTGTATCAAAACAAAGGTTCAACTGTGTTCGTTTAGGACACACATCACAAATAAGTTTCTGAGAATCCTTCTGTCTAGTTTTTATTTGAAGATATTTCCTTTCTCCCCGTAGGTCTGAAAGCGCTTGAAATGTCCACTTCCAGATATTACAGAAAGAGTGTTTCAAACCTGCACTCTGAAAAGGAATGTTCAATTCTGTGACTTGAATGCAAACATCAAAAAGAAGTTCCTGAGAATGCTTCTCTCTAGATTTTATACGTCATCCCGTTTCCAACGAAATCCACAAAGCTATCCAATTATCCACTTTCAGATTCCACAAAGAGTGTTTTAAAATTGCTCTGTAACAGAAATGTTCAACTCTGTTAGTTGAATACACACATCACAAACAAGTTTCTGAGACGGCTTCTGTCTAGTTTTTATGGGAAGATATTTCCTTTTAACCATAGGCCTCAAAGAGCTCGAAATATCCACTTCCAGGTAGTGCCCAAAGAGTGTTTCAAACCTACTCTATAAAAGGGAATATTCAACTCTGTGACTTGAATGCAAACATCACAAAGCAGTTTCTGAGAATGCTTCCGTCTAGATTTTCTATGAAGATATTCCCGTTTCCAACGAAATCTTCAAAGCTATCTAAATATCAACTTGCAGATTCTACTAAAGGAATGTCTCCAAAATGCTGTATCCAAACAAAGGTTCAGCTCTGTGAATTGAGGACATACAGCACAAAGAAGTTTCTGAGAATGCTCCTGTCTGGATTTTATATGAAGATAACCCGTTTCCAACGAAATCCTCAAAGCTATCCAAATATCCACTTGCAGATTCTACCAAAAGAGTGTTTCAAAACTGCTCTGTCAAAAGGAAGGTTCAACACTGTTACTTGAGTACACACAACACAAAGAAGTTTCTGAGAATGCTTCTTTCTGGTTTTTATGAGAAGATATTTCCTTTTTCACCATAGGCCTCAAAGCGCTCGAAATGTCCGCTTCCAGGTAGTGCAGAAAGAGTGTTTCAAACCTGCTCTATGAAAGGAAGTGTTCAACTCTACTGAGTTGAATGCAAACATCACAGAGATGTTTCCGAGAATGCTTCTGTCTTGATTTTATATGAAGATATTCCGGTTTCCAACGAAATCTTCAAAGCTATCCAAATATCCACCTGCAGATTCTACAAAAGGAGTGTTTCCAAAATGCTGTATCAAAACAAAGGTTCAACTCTGTTAGTTGAGGACACACATCACAAATAAGTTTCTGAGAATGCTTCTGTCTAGTTTTTATTTGAAGGTATTTCCTTTCTCTCCATAGGCCTGAAAGCGCTTGAAATGCCCACTTCCAGATACTAGAGAAAGAGTGTTTCAAACCTGCTCTATGAAAGGGAATGTTCAATTCTGTGACTTGAATGCAAACATCACAAAGAAGTTCCTGAGAATGCTTCTCTCTAGATATTATATGTCATCCCGTTTCCAACGAAATCCTCAAAGCTATCCAAATATCCACTTGCAGATTCTACAAAAAGAGTGTTTCAAAACTGCTCTGTCAAAAGGATGGTTCAACACTGTTACATGAGTACACACAACACAAAGAAGTTTCTGAGAATGCTTCTTTCTGGTTTCTATGAGAAGATATTTCCTTTTTCACCATAGGACTCAAAGCGCTCGAAATGTCCTCTTCCAGGTAGTGCAGAAAGAGTGTTTCAAACCGGCTCTATGAAAGGAAGTGTTCAACTCCATGAACTGAATGCAAACATCACTGAGAAGTTTCTGAGAATGCTTCTGTTTGATTTTATATGAAGAAATTCCCGTTTCCAACGAAATCTTCAGAGCTATCCACATATCCACCTGCAGATTCTACAAAAGGAGTGTTTCCAAAATGCTGTATCAAAACCAAGGTTCAACTCTGTTAGTTGAGGACACACATCACAAATAAGTTTCTGAGAATGCTTCTGTCTAGATTTTATATGAAGATATCCCCTTTCCAACGAATCCCTCTAAGCTATCCAAATATCCACCTGCAGATTCTACAAAAAGAGTGTTTCCAAAATGCTGTATCAAAACAAAGTTTCAACTGCTGTTAGTTGAGGACACACATCACAAATAAGTTTGAGGATGCTTCTGTCTAGTTTTTATTCGAAGATATTTCCTTTCTCACCATAGGCCTGAAAGCGCTTGAAATGTCCACTTCCAGATACTACAGAATGAGTGTTTCAAACCTGCTCTATAAAAGTGAATGTTCAATTCTGTGACTTCAATGCAAACATCAGAAAGAAGTTCCTGAGAATGCTTCTCTCTAGATTTTATACGTAATCCCGCTTCCAACGAAATCCTCAGAGCCATCC
This sequence comes from Homo sapiens, assembly GCF_000001405.40. Classification (NCBI taxonomy): domain Eukaryota; kingdom Metazoa; phylum Chordata; class Mammalia; order Primates; family Hominidae; genus Homo; species Homo sapiens. Next base: position 50,739,871 of record NC_000004.12, on the reverse strand, counting down.
GAATATCCACTTTCTGATTCCACAAAAAGAGTGTTTTAAAACGGCTCTGTAAAAACAAAAGTTCAACTCTGTTAGTTGAATACACACATCACAAACAAGTTTCTGAGAATGCTTCTGTCTAGTTTTTATGGGAAGATATTTCCTTTTTCACCATAGGCCTCAAAGCGCTCGAAATGTCCGCTTCCAGATAGTGCAGAAAGAGTGTTTCAAACGTGCTCTATAAAAGGGAATATTCAACTCTGTGACTTGAATGGAAACATCACAAAGCAGTTTCTGAGAATGCTTCCCTCTAGATTTTATATGGAGATATTCCCTTTTCCAACGAAATCTTCAAATCTATCTAAATATCAACTTGCAGATTCTACTCAAGAAATGTTTCCAAAATGCTGTATCCAGGCAATGGTTCAACTCTGTTAATTGAGGACATACAGCACAAAGAAGTTTCTGAGAATGCTTCTGTCTAGATTTTATATGAAGATATCCCGTTTCCAACGAAATCCTCAAAGCTATCCAAATATCCACTTGCAGATTCTACAAAAAGATTGTTTCAAAACTGCTGTGTCAAAAGGAAGGTTCAACTCTGTTACTTGAGTACACACATCAAAAAGAAGTTTCTGAGAATGCTTGTTTCTGGTTTTTATGAGAAGATATTTCCTTTTTCACCATAGGCCTCAAAGCGCTGCAAATGTCCACTTCCAAATATTACAAAAAGAGTGTTTCAAACCTGCTCTATGAAAGGAAGTTTTCAACTCTATGAGTGGAATGCAAACATCACAGAGAAGTTTCTGAGAATGCATCTGTCTTGAGTTTCTATGCAGAAATTCCCGTTTCCAACGAAATCTTAAAATCTATCCAAATATCCACCTGCAGATCCTACAAAAGGAGTGTTTCCAAAATGCTGTATCAAAACAAAGGTTCAACTGTGTTCGTTTAGGACACACATCACAAATAAGTTTCTGAGAATCCTTCTGTCTAGTTTTTATTTGAAGATATTTCCTTTCTCCCCGTAGGCCTGAAAGCGCTTGAAATGTCCACTTCCAGATACTACAGAAAGAGTGTTTCAAACCTGCACTCTGAAAAGGAATGTTCAATTCTGTGACTTGAATGCAAACATCAGAAAGAAGTTCCTGAGAATGCTTCTCTCTAGATTTTATACGTCATCCCGTTTCCAACGAAATCCACAAAGCTATCCAATTATCCACTTTCAGATTCCACAGAAAGAGTGTTTTAAAATTGCTCTGTAACAGAAATGTTCAACTCTGGTAGTTGAATACACACATCACAAACAAGTTTCTGAGACGGCTTCTGTCTAGTTTTTATGGGAAGATATTTCCTTTTAACCATAGGCCTCAAAGAGCTCGAAATATCCACTTCCAGGTAGTGCCGAAAGAGTGTTTCAAACCTACTCTATAAAAGGGAATATTCAACTCTGTGACTTGAATGCAAACATCACAAAGCAGTTTCTGAGAATGCTTCCGTCTAGATTTTCTATGAAGATATTCCCGTTTCCAACGAAATCTTCAAAGCTATCTAAATATCAACTTGCAGATTCTACTAAAGGAATGTCTCCAAAATGCTGTATCCAAACAAAGGTTCAGCTCTGTGAATTGAGGACATACAGCACAAAGAAGTTTCTGAGAATGCTCCTGTCTGGATTTTATAGGAAGATAACCCGTTTCCAACGAAATCCTCAAAGCTATCCAAATATCCACTTGCAGATTCTACCAAAAGAGTGTTTCAAAACTGCTCTGTCAAAAGGAAGGATCAACACTGTTACTTGAGTACACACAACACAAAGAAGTTTCTGAGAATGCTTCTTTCTGGTTTTTATGAGAAGATATTTCCTTTTTCACCATAGGCCTCAAAGCGCTCGAAATGTCCGCTTCCAGGTAGTGCAGAAAGAGTGTTTCAAACCTGCTCTATGAAAGGAAGTGTTCAACTCTACTGAGTTGAATGCAAACATCACAGAGATGTTTCCGAGAATGCTTCTGTCTTGATTTTATATGAAGATATTCCGGTTTCCAACGAAATCTTCAAAGCTATCCAAATATCCACCTGCAGATTCTACAAAAGGAGTGTTTCCAAAATGCTGTATCAAAACAAAGGTTCAACTCTGTTAGTTGAGGACACACATCACAAATAAGTTTCTGAGAATGCTTCTGTCTAGTTTTTATTTGAAGGTATTTCCTTTCTCTCCATAGGCCTGAAAGCGCTTGAAATGCCCACTTCCAGATACTAGAGAAAGAGTGTTTCAAACCTGCTCTATGAAAGGGAATGTTCAATTCTGTGACTTGAATGCAAACATCACAAAGAAGTTCCTGAGAATGCTTCTCTCTAGATATTATATGTCATCCCGTTTCCAACGAAATCCTCAAAGCTATCCAAATATCCACGTGCAGATTCTACAAAAAGAGTGTTTCAAAACTCCTCTGTCAAAAGGATGGTTCAACACTGTTACATGAGTACACACAACACAAAGAAGTTTCTGAGAATGCTTCTTTCTGGTTTCTATGAGAAGATATTTCCTTTTTCACCATAGGACTCAAAGCGCTCGAAATGTCCTCTTCCAGGTAGTGCAGAAAGAGTGTTTCAAACCTGCTCTATGAAAGGAAGTGTTCAACTCCATGAGCTGAATGCAAACATCACTGAGAAGTTTCTGAGAATGCTTCTGTTTGATTTTATATGAAGAAATTCCCGTTTCCAATGAAATCTTCAGAGCTATCCACATATCCACCTGCAGATTCTACAAAAGGAGTGTTTCCAAAATGCTGTATCAAAACCAAGGTTCAACTCTGTTAGTTGAGGACACACATCACAAATAAGTTTCTGAGAATGCTTCTGTCTAGATTTTATATGAAGATATCCCCTTTCCAACGAATCCCTCTAAGCTATCCAAATATCCACCTGCAGATTCTACAAAAAGAGTGTTTCCAAAATGCTGTATCAAAACAAAGTTTCAACTCTGTTAGTTGAGGACACACATCACCAATTAGTTTGAGGATGCTTCTGTCTAGTTTTTATTCGAAGATATTTCCTTTCTCACCATAGGCCTGAAAGCGCTTGAAATGTCCACTTCCAGATACTACAGAATGAGTGTTTCAAACCTGCTCTATCAAAGTGAATGTTCAATTCTGTGACTTCAATGCAAACATCAGAAAGAAGTTCCTGAGAATGCTTCTCTCTAGATTTTATACGTAATCCCGCTTCCAACGAAATCCTCAGAGCCATCCGAATATCCACTTTCTGATTCCACAAAAAGAGTGTTTTAAAACGGCTCTGTAAAAACAAAAGTTCAACTCTGTTAGTTGAATACACACATCACAAACAAGTTTCTGAGAATGCTTCTGTCTAGTTTTTATGGGAAGATATTTCCTTTTTCACCATAGGCCTCACAGCGCTCGAAATGTCCACTAACAGATAGTGCAGAAAGAGTGTTTCAAACGTGCACTACAAAAGAGAATATTCAACTCTGTGACTTGAATGGAAACATCACAAAGCAGTTTCTGAGAATGCCTCCGTCTAGATTTTATATGAAGATATTCCCGTTTCCAACGAAATCTTCAAATCTATCTAAATATCAACTTGCAGATTCTACTAAAGGAATGTTTCCAAAATGCTGTATCCAAGCAATGGTTCAACTCTGTTAATTGAGGACATACAGCACAAAGAAGTTTCTGAGAATGCTTCCTGTCTAGATTTTATATGAAGATATCCCGTTTCCAACGAAATCCTCAAAGCTATCCAAATATCCACTTGCAGATTCTACAAAAAGATTGTTTCAAAACTGCTGTGTCAAAAGGAAGGTTCAACTCTGTTACTTGAGTACACACATCAAAAAGCAGTTTCTGAGAATGCTCGTTTCTGGTTTTTATGAGAAGATATTTCCTTTTTCACCATAGGCCTCAAAGCGCTGCAAATGTCCACTTCCAAATATTACAGAAAGAGTGTTTCAAACCTGCTCTATGAAAGGAAGTTTTCAACTGCTATGAGTGGAATGCAAACATCACAGAGAAGTTTCTGAGAATGCATTCTGTCTTGAGTTTCTATGAAGAAATTCCCGTTTCCAACGAAATCTTAAAATCTATCCAAATATCCACCTGCAGATTCTACAAAAGGAGTGTTTCCAAAAGGCTGTATCAAAACAAAGGTTCAACTGTGTTCGTTTAGGACACACATCACCAATAAGTTTCTGAGAATCCTTCTCTCTAGTTTTTATTTGAAGATATTTCCTTTCTCCCCGTAGGCCTGAAAGCGCTTGAAATGTCCACTTCCAGATACTACAGAAAGAGTGTTTCAAACCTGCACTCTGAAAAGGAATGTTCAATTCTGTGACTTGAATGCAAACATCAGAAAGAAGTTCCTGAGAATGCTTCTCTCTAGATTTTATACGTCATCCCGTTTCCAACGAAATCCACAAAGCTATCCAATTATCCACTTTCAGATTCCACAAAAAGAGTGTTTTAAAATTGCTCTGTAACAGAAATGTTCAACTCTGTTAGTTGAATACACACATCACAAACAAGTTTCTGAGACGGCTTCTGTCTAGTTTTTATGGGAAGATATTTCCTTTTAACCATAGGCCTCAAAGAGCTCGAAATATCCACTTCCAGGTAGTGCCGAAAGAGTGTTTCAAACCTACTCTATAAAAGGGAATATTCAACTCTGTGACTTGAATGCAAACATCACAAAGCAGTTTCTGAGAATGCTTCCGTCTAGATTTTCTATGAAGATATTCCCGTTTCCAACGAAATCTTCAAAGCTATCTAAATATCAACTTGCAGATTCTACTAAAGGAATGTCTCCAAAATGCTGTATCCAAACAAAGGTTCAGCTCTGTGAATTGAGGACATACAGCACAAAGAAGTTTCTGAGAATGCTCCTGTCTGGATTTTATAGGAAGATAACCCGTTTCCAACGAAATCCTCAAAGCTCTCCAAATATCCACTTGCAGATTCTACCAAAAGAGTGTTTCAAAACTGCTCTGTCAAAAGGAAGGTTCAACACTGTTACTTGAGTACACACAACACAAAGAAGTTTCTGAGAATGCTTCTTTCTGGTTTTTATGAGAAGATATTTCCTTTTTCACCATAGGCCTCAAAGCGCTCGAAATGTCCGCTTCCAGGTAGTGCAGAAAGAGTGTTTCAAACCTGCTCTATGAAAGGAAGTGTTCAACTCTACTGAGTTGAATGCAAACATCACAGAGATGTTTCCGAGAATGCTTCTGTCTTGATTTTATATGAAGATATTCCGGTTTCCAACGAAATCTTCAAAGCTATCCAAATATCCACCTGCAGATTCTACAAAAGGAGTGTTTCCAAAATGCTGTATCAAAACAAAGGTTCAACTCTGTTAGTTGAGGACACACATCACAAATAAGTTTCTGAGAATGCTTCTGTCTAGTTTTTATTTGAAGGTATTTCCTTTCTCTCCATAGGCCTGAAAGCGCTTGAAATGCCCACTTCCAGATACTAGAGAAAGAGAGTTTCAAACCTGCTCTATGAAAGGGAATGTTCAATTCTGTGACTTGAATGCAAACATCACAAAGAAGTTCCTGAGAATGCTTCTCTCTAGATATTATATGTCATCCCGTTTCCAACGAAATCCTCAAAGCTATCCAAATATCCACTTGCAGATTCTACCAAAAGAGTGTTTCAAAACTACTCTGTCAAAAGGAAGGTTCAACACTGTTATTTGAGTACACACAACACAAAGAAGTTTCTGAGAATGCTTCTTTCTGGTTTTTATGAGAAGATATTTCCTTTTTCACCATAGGCCTCAAAGCGCTCGAAATGTCCGCTTCCAGGTAGGGCAGAAAGAGTGTTTCAAACCTGCTCTATGAAAGGAAGTGTTCAACTCTACTGAGTTGAATGCAAACATCACAGAGATGTTTCCGAGAATGCTTCTGTCTTGATTTTATATGAAGATATTCCGGTTTCCAACGAAATCTTCAAAGCTATCCAAATATCCACCTGCAGATTCTACAAAAGGAGTGTTTCCAAAATGCTGTATCAAAACAAAGGTTCAACTCTGTTAGTTGAGGACACACATCACAAATAAGTTTCTGAGAATGCTTCTGTCTAGTTTTTATTTGAAGGTATTTCCTTTCTCTCCATAGGCCTGAAAGCGCTTGAAATGCCCACTTCCAGATACTAGAGAAAGAGTGTTTCAAACCTGCTCTATGAAAGGGAATGTTCAATTCTGTGACTTGAATGCAAACATCACAAAGAAGTTCCTGAGAATGCTTCTCTCTAGATATTATATGTCATCCCGTTTCCAACGAAATCCTCAAAGCTATCCAAATATCCACTTGCAGATTCTACAAAAAGAGTGTTTCAAAACTGCTCTGTCAAAAGGATGGTTCAACACTGTTACATGAGTACACACAACACAAAGAAGTTTCTGAGAATGCTTCTTTCTGGTTTCTATGAGAAGATATTTCCTTTTTCACCATAGGACTCAAAGCGCTCGAAATGTCCTCTTCCAGGTAGTGCAGAAAGAGTGTTTCAAACCTGCTCTATGAAAGGAAGTGTTCAACTCCATGAGCTGAATGCAAACATCACTGAGAAGTTTCTGAGAATGCTTCTGTTTGATTTTATATGAAGAAATTCCCGTTTCCAACGAAATCTTCAGAGCTATCCACATATCCACCTGCAGATTCTACAAAAGGAGTGTTTCCAAAATGCTGTATCAAAACCAAGGTTCAACTCTGTTAGTTGAGGACACACATCACAAATAAGTTTCTGAGAATGCTTCTGTCTAGATTTTATATGAAGATATCCCCTTTCCAACGAATCCCTCTAAGCTATCCAAATATCCACCTGCAGATTCTACAAAAAGAGTGTTTCCAAAATGCTGTATCAAAACAAAGTTTCAACTCTGTTAGTTGAGGACACACATCACAAATAAGTTTGAGGATGCTTCTGTCTAGTTTTTATTCGAAGATATTTCCTTTCTCACCATAGGCCTGAAAGCGCTTGAAATGTCCACTTCCAGATACTACAGAATGAGTGTTTCAAACCTGCTCTATAAAAGTGAATGTTCAATTCTGTGACTTCAATGCAAACATCAGAAAGAAGTTCCTGAGAATGCTTCTCTCTAGATTTTATACGTAATCCCGCTTCCAACGAAATCCTCAGAGCCATCCGAATATCCACTTTCTGATTCCACAAAAAGAGTGTTTTAAAACGGCTCTGTAAAAACAAAAGTTCAACTCTGTTAGTTGAATACACACATCACAAACAAGTTTCTGAGAATGCTTTCTGTCTAGTTTTTATGGGAAGATATTTCCTTTTTCACCATAGGCCTCAAAGCGCTCGAAATGTCCGCTTCCAGATAGTGCAGAAAGAGTGTTTCAAACGTGCTCTATAAAAGGGAATATTCAACTCTGTGACTTGAATGGAAACATCACAAAGCAGTTTCTGAGAATGCTTCCCTCTAGATTTTATATGGAGATATTCCCTTTTCCAACGAAATCTTCAAATCTATCTAAATATCAACTTGCAGATTCTACTCAAGGAATGTTTCCAAAATGCTGTATCCAGGCAATGGTTCAACTCTGTTAATTGAGGACATACAGCACAAAGAAGTTTCTGAGAATGCTTCTGTCTAGATTTTATATGAAGATATCCCGTTTCCAACGAAATCCTCAAAGCTATCCAAATATCCACTTGCAGATTCTACAAAAAGATTGTTTCAAAACTGCTGTGTCAAGAGGAAGGTTCAACTCTGTTACTTGAGTACACACATCAAAAAGAAGTTTCTGAGAATGCTTGTTTCTGGTTTTTATGAGAAGATATTTCCTTTTTCACCATAGGCCTCAAAGCGCTGCAAATGTCCACTTCCAAATATTACAAAAAGAGTGTTTCAAACCTGCTCTATGAAAGGAAGTTTTCAACTCTATGAGTGGAATGCAAACATCACAGAGAAGTTTCTGAGAATGCATCTGTCTTGAGCTTCTATGAAGAAATTCCCGTTTCCAACGAAATCTTAAAATCTATCCAAATATCCACCTGCAGATCCTACAAAAGGAGTGTTTCCAAAATGCTGTATCAAAACAAAGGTTCAACTGTGTTCGTTTAGGACACACATCACAAATAAGTTTCTGAGAATCCTTCTGTCTAGTTTTTATTTGAAGATATTTCCTTTCTCCCCGTAGGCCTGAAAGCGCTTGAAATGTCCACTTCCAGATACTACAGAAAGAGTGTGTTTCAAACCTGCACTCTGAAAAGGAATGTTCAATTCTGTGACTTGAATGCAAACATCAGAAAGAAGTTCCTGAGAATGCTTCTCTCTAGATTTTATACGTCATCCCGTTTCCAACGAAATCCACAAAGCTATCCAATTATCCACTTTCAGATTCCACAAAAAGAGTGTTTTAAAATTGCTCTGTAACAGAAATGTTCAACTCTGTTAGTTGAATACACACATCACAAACAAGTTTCTGAGACGGCTTCTGTCTAGTTTTTATGGGAAGATATTTCCTTTTAACCATAGGCCTCAAAGAGCTCGAAATATCCACTTCCAGGTAGTGCCGAAAGAGTGTTTCAAACCTACTCTATAAAAGGGAATATTCAACTCTGTGACTTGAATGCAAACATCACAAAGCAGTTTCTGAGAATGCTTCCGTCTAGATTTTTTATGAAGATATTCCCGTTTCCAACGAAATCTTCCAAGCTATCTAAATATCAACTTGCAGATTCTACTAAAGGAATGTTTCCAAAATGCTGTATCCAAACAAAGGTTCAACTCTGTGAATTGAGGACATACAGCACAAAGAAGTTTCTGAGAATGCTTCTGTCTAGATTTAATATGAAGATAACCCGTTTCCAACGAAATCCTCAAAGCTATCCAAATATCCACTTGCAGATTCTACAAAAAGAGTGTTTCAAAACTGCTCTGTCAAAAGGATGGTTCAACACTGTTACATGAGTACACACAACACAAAGAAGTTTCTGAGAACGCTTCTTTCTGGTTTTTATGAGAAGATATTTCCTTTTTCACCATAGGCCTCAAAGCGCTCCAAATGTCCACTTCCTGGTAGTGCAGAAAGAGTGTTTCAAACCTGCTCTATGAAAGGAAGTGTTCAACTCCATGAGCTGAATGCAAACATCACAGAGAAGTTTCTGAGAATGCTTCTGTTTGATTTTATATGAAGAAATTCCCGTTTCCAACGAAATCTTCAAAGCTATCCACATATCCACCTGCAGATTCTACAAAAGGAGTGTTTCCAAAATGCCGTATCAAAACCAAGGTTCAACTCTGTTAGTTGAGGACACACATCACAAATAAGTTTCTGAGAATGCTTCTGTCTAGATTTTATATGAAGATATCCCCTTTCCAACGAATCCCTCTAAGCTATCCAAATATCCACCTGCAGATTCTACAAAAAGAGTGTTTCCAAAATGCTGTATCAAAACAAAGTTTCAACTCTGTTAGTTGAGGACACACATCACAAATAAGTTTCTGAGGATGCTTCTGTCTAGTTTTTATTTGAAGATATTTCCTTTCTCCCCATAGGCCTGAAAGCGCTTGAATTGTCCGCTTCCAGATACTACAGAATGAGTGTTTCAAACCTGATCTGTCAAAGTGAATGTTCAATTCTGTGACTTCAATGCAAACATCACAAAGTAGTTCCTGAGAATGCTTCTCTCTAGATTTTATACGTAATCCCGCTTCCAACGAAATCCTCAGAGCCATCCGAATATCCACTTTCTGATTCCACAAAAAGAGTGTTTTTAAACGGCTCTGTAAAAACAAAAGTTCAACTCTGTTAGTTGAATACACACATCACAAACAAGTTTCTGAGAATGCTTCTGTCTAGTTTTTATGGGAAGATATTTCCTTTTTCACCATAGGCCTCAAAGCGCTCGAAATGTCCGCTTCCAGATAGTGCAGAAAGAGTGTTTCAAACGTGCTCTATAAAAGGGAATATTCAACTCTGTGACTTGAATGGAAACATCACAAAGCAGTTTCTGAGAATGCTTCCCTCTAGATTTTATATGGAGATATTCCCTTTTCCAACGAAATCTTCAAATCTATCTAAATATCAACTTGCAGATTCTACTCAAGGAATGTTTCCAAAATGCTGTATCCAGGCAATGGTTCAACTCTGTTAATTGAGGACATACAGCACAAAGAAGTTTCTGAGAATGCTTCTGTCTAGATTTTATATGAAGATATCCCGTTTCCAACGAAATCCTCAAAGCTATCCAAATATCCACTTGCAGATTCTACAAAAAGATTGTTTCAAAACTGCTGTGTCAAGAGGAAGGTTCAACTCTGTTACTTGAGTACACACATCAAAAAGAAGTTTCTGAGAATGCTTGTTTCTGGTTTTTATGAGAAGATATTTCCTTTTTCACCATAGGCCTCAAAGCGCTGCAAATGTCCACTTCCAAATATTACAAAAAGAGTGTTTCAAACCTGCTCTATGAAAGGAAGTTTTCAACTCTATGAGTGGAATGCAAACATCACAGAGAAGTTTCTGAGAATGCATCTGTCTTGAGCTTCTATGAAGAAATTCCCGTTTCCAACGAAATCTTAAAATCTATCCAAATATCCACCTGCAGATCCTACAAAAGGAGTGTTTCCAAAATGCTGTATCAAAACAAAGGTTCAACTGTGTTCGTTTAGGACACACATCACAAATAAGTTTCTGAGAATCCTTCTGTCTAGTTTTTATTTGAAGATATTTCCTTTCTCCCCATAGGCCTGAAAGCGCTTGAAATGTCCACTTCCAGATACTACAGAAAGAGTGTTTCAAACCTGCACTCTGAAAAGGAATGTTCAATTCTGTGACTTGAATGCAAACATCAGAAAGAAGTTCCTGAGAATGCTTCTCTCTAGATTTTATACGTCATCCCGTTTCCAACGAAATCCACAAAGCTATCCAATTATCCACTTTCAGATTCCACAAAGAGTGTTTTAAAATTGCTCTGTAACAGAAATGTTCAACTCTGTTAGTTGAATACACACATCACAAACAAGTTTCTGAGACGGCTTCTGTCTAGTTTTTATGGGAAGATATTTCCTTTTAACCATAGGCCTCAAAGAGCTCGAAATATCCACTTCCAGGTAGTGCCGAAAGAGTGTTTCAAACCTACTCTATAAAAGGGAATATTCAACTCTGTGACTTGAATGCAAACATCACAAAGCAGTTTCTGAGAATGCTTCCGTCTAGATTTTCTATGAAGATATTCCCGTTTCCAACGAAATCTTCAAAGCTATCTAAATATCAACTTGCAGATTCTACTAAAGGAATGTCTCCAAAATGCTGTATCCAAACAAAGGTTCAGCTCTGTGAATTGAGGACATACAGCACAAAGAAGTTTCTGAGAATGCTTCTGTCTAGTATTTAATATGAAGATAACCCGTTTCCAACGAAATCCTCAAAGCTATCCAAATATCCACTTGCAGATTCTACAAAAAGAGTGTTTCAAAACTGCTCTGTCAAAAGGATGGTTCAACACTGTTACATGAGTACACACAACACAAAGAAGTTTCTGAGAACGCTTCTTTCTGGTTTTTATGAGAGGATATTACCTTTTTCACCATAGGCCTCAAAGCGCTCGAAATGTCCACTTCCAGGTAGTTCAGAAAGAGTGTTTCAAACCTGCTCTATGAAAGGAAGTGTTCAACTCCATGAGCTGAATGCAAACATCACAGAGAAGTTTCTGAGAATGCTTCTGTTTGATTTTATATGAAGAAATTCCCGTTTCCAACGAAATCTTCAAAGCTATCCACATATCCACCTGCAGATTCTTCAAAAGGAGTGTTTCCAAAATGCTGTATCAAAACCAAGGTTCAACTCTGTTAGTTGAGGACACACATCACAAATAAGTTTCTGAGAATGCTTCTGTCTAGATTTTATATGAATTTATCCCCTTTCCAACGAATCCCTCTAAGCTATCCAAGTATCCACCTGCAGATTCTACAAAAAGAGTGTTTCCAAAATGCTGTATCAAAACAAAGTTTCAACTCTGTTAGTTGAGGACACACATCACAAATAAGTTTCTGAGGATGCTTCTGTCTAGTTTTAATTTGAAGATATTTCCTTTCTCACCATAGGCCTGAAAGCGCTTGAAATGTCCACTTCCAGATAATACAGAATGAGTGTTTCAAACCTGCTCTATCAAAGTGAATGTTCAATTCTGTGACTTCAATGCAAACATCACAAAGTAGTTCCTGAGAATGCTTCTCTCTAGATTTTATATGTAATCCCGCTTCCAACGAAATCCTCAAAGCCATCCGAATATCCACTTTCTGATTCCACAAAAAGATTGTTTTAAAACTGCTCTGTAAAAACAAAAGTTCAAGTCTGTTAGTTGAATACACACATCACAAACAAGTTTCTGAGAATGCTTCTGTCTAGTTTTTATGGGAAGATATTTCCTTTTGCACCATAGGCCTCAAAGCGCTCGAAATGTCCACTTCCAGATAGTGCAGAAAGAGTGTTTCAAACGTGCTCTATAAAAGAGAATATTCAACTCTGTGACTTGAATGGAAACATCACAAAGCAGTTTCTGAGAATGCCTCCGTCTAGATTTTATATGAAGATATTCCCGTTTCCAACGAAATCTTCAAATCTATCTAAATATCAACTTGCAGATTCTACTAAAGGAATGTTTCCAAAATGCTGTATCCAAGCAATGGTTCAACTCTGTTAATTGAGGACATACAGCACAAAGAAGTTTCTGAGAATGCTTCTGTCTAGATTTTATATGAAGATATCCCGTTTCCAACGAAATCCTCAAAGCTATCCAAATATCCACTTGCAGATTCTACAAAAAGATTGTTTCAAAACTGCTGTGTCAAAAGGAAGGTTCAACTCTGTTACTTGAGTACACACATCAAAAAGAAGTTTCTGAGAATGCTTGTTTCTGGTTTTTATGAGAAGATATTTCCTTTTTCACCATAGGCCTCAAAGCGCTGCAAATGTCCACTTCCAAATATTACAATAAGAGTGTTTCAAACCTGCTCTATGAAAGGAAGTTTTCAACTCTATGAGTGGAATGCAAACATCACAGAGAAGTTTCTGAGAATGCATCTGTCTTGAGCTTCTATGAAGAAATTCCCGTTTCCAACGAAATCTTAAAATCTATCCAAATATCCACCTGCAGATCCTACAAAAGGAGTGTTTCCAAAATGCTGTATCAAAACAAAGGTTCAACTGTGTTCGTTTAGGACACACATCACAAATAAGTTTCTGAGAATCCTTCTCTCTAGTTTTTATTTGAAGATATTTCCTTTCTCCCTGTAGGCCTGAAAGCGCTTGAAATGTCCAATTCCAGATACTACAGAAAGAGTGTTTCAAACCTGCACTCTGAAAAGGAATGTTCAATTCTGTGACTTGAATGCAAACATCAGAAAGAAGTTCCTGAGAATGCTTCTCTCTATATTTTATACGTCATCCCGTTTCCAACGAAATCCACAAAGCTATCCAATTATCCACTTTCAGATTCCACAAAAAGAGTGTTTTGAATTGCTCTGTAACAGAAATGTTCAACTCTGTTAGTTGAATACACACATCACAAACAAGTTTCTGAGACGGCTTCTGTCTAGTTTTTATGGGAAGATATTTCCTTTTAACCATAGGCCTCAAAGAGCTCGAAATATCCACTTCCAGGTAGTGCCGAAAGAGTGTTTCAAACCTACTCTATAAAAGGGAATATTCAACTCTGTGACTTGAATGCAAACATCACAAAGCAGTTTCTGAGAATGCTTCCGTCTAGCATTTTCTATGAAGATATTCCCGTTTCCAACGAAATCTTCAAAGCTATCTAAATATCAACTTGCAGATTCTACTAAAGGAATGTCTCCAAAATGCTGTATCCAAACAAAGGTTCAGCTCTGTGAATTGAGGACATACAGCACAAAGAAGTTTCTGAGAATGCTCCTGTCTGGATTTTATATGAAGATAACCCGTTTCCAACGAAATCCTCAAAGCTATCCAAATATCCACTTGCAGATTCTACCAAAAGAGTGTTTCAAAACTGCTCTGTCAAAAGGAAGGTTCAACACTGTTACTTGAGTACACACAACACAAAGAAGTTTCTGAGAATGCTTCTTTCTGGTTTTTATGAGAAGATATTTCCTTTTTCACCATAGGCCTCAAAGCGCTCGAAATGTCCGCTTCCAGGTAGGGCAGAAAGAGTGTTTCAAACCTGCTCTATGAAAGGACGTGTTCAACTCTACTGAGTTGAATGCAAACATCACAGAGATGTTTCCGAGAATGCTTCTGTCTTGATTTTATAGGAAGATATTCCGGTTTCCAACGAAATCTTCAAAGCTATCCACATATCCACCTGCAGATTCTACAAAAGGAGTGTTTCCAAAATGCTGTATCAAAACAAAGGTTCAACTCTGTTAGTTGAGGACACACATCACAAATAAGTTTCTGAGAATGCTTCTGTCTAGTTTTTATTTGAAGGTATTTCCTTTCTCTCCATAGGCCTGAAAGCGCTTGAAATGCCCACTTCCAGATACTAGAGAAAGAGTGTTTCAAACCTGCTCTATGAAAGGGAATGTTCAATTCTGTGACTTGAATGCAAACATCACAAAGAAGTTCCTGAGAATGCTTCTCTCTAGATATTATATGTCATCCCGTTTCCAACGAAATCCTCAAAGCTATCCAAATATCCACTTGCAGATTCTACAAAAAGAGTGTTTCAAAACTCCTCTGTCAAAAGGATGGTTCAACACTGTTACATGAGTACACACAACACAAAGAAGTTTCTGAGAATGCTTCTTTCTGGTTTCTATGAGAAGATATTTCCTTTTTCACCATAGGACTCAAAGCGCTCGAAATGTCCTCTTCCAGGTAGTGCAGAAAGAGTGTTTCAAACCTGCTCTATGAAAGGAAGTGTACAACTCCATGAGCTGAATGCAAACATCACTGGGAAGTTTCTGAGAATGCTTCTGTTTGATTTTATATGAAGAAATTCCCGTTTCCAACGAAATCTTCAGAGCTATCCACATATCCACCTGCAGATTCTACAAAAGGAGTGTTTCCAAAATGCTGTATCAAAACCAAAGTTCAACTCTGTTAGTTGAGGACACACATCACAAATAAGTTTCTGAGAATGCTTCTGTCTAGATTCTATATGAAGATATCCCCTTTCCAACGAATCCCTCTAAGCTATCCAAATATCCACCTGCAGATTCTACAAAAAGAGTGTTTCCAAAATGCTGTATCAAAACAAAGTTTCAACTCTGTTAGTTGAGGACACACATCACAAATAAGTTTGAGGATGCTTCTGTCTAGTTTTTATTTGAAGATATTTCCTTTCTCACCATAGGCCTGAAAGCGCTTGAAATGTCCACTTCCAGATACTACAGCATGAGTGTTTCAAACCTGCTCTATCAAAGTGAATGTTCAATTCTGTGACTTTAATGCAAACATCACAAAGTAGTTCCTGAGAATGCTTCTCTCTAGATTTTATATGTAATCCCGCTTCCAACGAAATCCTCAAAGCCATCCGAATATCCACTTTCTGATTCCACAAAAAGATTGTTTTAAAACTGCTCTGTAAAAACAAAAGTTCAAGTCTGTTAGTTGAATACACACATCACAAACAAGTTTCTGAGAATGCTTCTGTCTAGTTTTTATGGGAAGATATTTCCTTTTTCACCATAGGCCTCACAGCGCTTGAAATGTCCACTTCCAGATAGTGCAGAAAGAGTGTTTCAAACGTGCTCTATAAAAGAGAATATTCAACTCTGTGACTTGAATGGAAACATCACAAAGCAGTTTCTGAGAATGCCTCCGTCTAGATTTTATATGAAGATATTCCCGTTTCCAACGAAATCTTCAAATCTATCTAAATATCAACTTGCACATTCTACTAAAGGAATGTTTCCAAAATGCTGTATCCAAGCAATGGTTCAACTCTGTTAATTGAGGACATACAGCACAAAGAAGTTTCTGAGAATGCTTCTGTCTAGATTTTATATGAAGATATCCCGTTTCCAACGAAATCCTCAAAGCTATCCAAATATCCACTTGCAGATTCTACAAAAAGATTGTTTCAAAACTGCTGTGTCAAAAGGAAGGTTCAACTCTGTTACTTGAGTACACACATCAAAATGAAGTTTCTGAGAATGCTTGTTTCTGGTTTTTATGAGAAGATATTTCCTTTTTCACCATAGGCCTCAAAGTGCTGCAAATGTCCACTTCCAAATATTACAAAAAGAGTGTTTCAAACCTGCTCTATGAAAGGAAGTTTTCAACTCTATGAGTGGAATGCAAACATCACAGAGAAGTTTCTGAGAATGCATCTGTCTTGAGTTTATATGAAGAAATTCCCGTTTCCAACGAAATCTTAAAATCTATCCAAATATCCACCTGCAGATTCTACAAAAGGAGTGTTTCCAAAACGCTGTATCAAAACAAAGGTTCAACTGTGTTCGTTTAGGACACACATCACCAAAAAGTTTCTGAGAATCCTTCTGTCTAGTTTTTATTTGAAGATATTTCCTTTCTCCCCATAGGCCTGAAAGCGCTTGAAATGTCCACTTCCAGATACTACAGAAAGAGTGTTTCAAACCTGCACTATGAAAAGGAATGTTCAATTCTGTGACTTGAATGCAAACATCAGAAAGAAGTTCCTGAGAATGCTTCTCTCTAGATTTTATACGTCATCCCGTTTCCAACGAAATCCACAAAGCTATCCAATTATCCACTTTCAGATTCCACAAAAAGAGTGTTTTAAAACTGCTCTGTAAAAAGAAATGTTCAACGCTCTTAGTTGAATACACACATCTCAAACAAGTTTCTGAGAAGGCTTCCGTCTAGTTTTTATGGGAAGATATTTCCTTTTTCACCATAGGCCTCAAAGCGCTCGAAATCTCCACTTCCAGGGAGTGCAGAAAGAGTGTTTCAAACCTGCTCTGTAAAAGAATATTTAACTCTGTGACTTGAATGCAAACATCACAAAGCAGTTTCTGACAATGCTTCCGTCTAGATTTTTTATGAAGATATTCCCGTTTCCAACGAAATCTTCAAAGCTATCTAAATATCAACTTGCAGATTCTACTAAAGGAATGTTTCCAAAATGCTGTATCCAAACAAAGGTTCAACTCTGTGAATTGAGGACATACAGCACAAAGAAGTTTCTGAGAATGCTCCTGTCTGGATTTTATAGGAAGATAACCCGTTCCCAACGAAATCCTCAAAGCTATCCAAATATCCACTTGCAGATTCTACCAAAAGAGTGTTTCAAAACTACTCTGTCAAAAGGAAGGTTCAACACTGTTACTTGAGTACACACAACACAAAGAAGTTTCTGAGAATGCTTCTTTCTGGTTTTTATGAGAAGATATTTCCTTTTTCACCATAGGCCTCAAAGCGCTCGAAATGTCCGCTTCCAGGTAGTGCAGAAAGAGTGTTTCAAACCTGCTCTATGAAAGGAAGTGTTCAACTCTACTGAGTTGAATGCAAACATCACAGAGATGTTTCCGAGAATGCTTCTGTCTTGATTTTATATGAAGATATTCCGGTTTCCAACGAAATCTTCAAAGCTATCCAAATATCCACCTGCAGATTCTACAAAAGGAGTGTTTCCAAAATGCTGTATCAAAACAAAGGTTCAACTCTGTTAGTTGAGGACACACATCACAAATAAGTTTCTGAGAATGCTTCTGTCTAGTTTTTATTTGAAGGTATTTCCTTTCTCTCCATAGGCCTGAAAGCGCTTGAAATGCCCACTTCCAGATACTAGAGAAAGAGTGTTTCAAACCTGCTCTATGAAAGGGAATGTTCAATTCTGTGACTTGAATGCAAACATCACAAAGAAGTTCCTGAGAATGCTTCTCTCTAGATATTATATGTCATCCCGTTTCCAACGAAATCCTCAAAGCTATCCAAATATCCACTTGCAGATTCTACAAAAAGAGTGTTTCAAAACTGCTCTGTCAAAAGGATGGTTCAACACTGTTACATGAGTACACACAACACAAAGAAGTTTCTGAGAATGCTCTTTCTGGTTTCTATGAGAAGATATTTCCTTTTTCACCATAGGACTCAAAGCGCTCGAAATGTCCTCTTCCAGGTAGTGCAGAAAGAGTGTTTCAAACCTGCTCTATGAAAGGAAGTGTACAACTCCATGAGCTGAATGCAAACATCACTGAGAAGTTTCTGAGAATGCTTTCTGTTTGATTTTATATGAAGAAATTCCCGTTTCCAACGAAATCTTCAGAGCTATCCACATATCCACCTGCAGATTCTACAAAAGGAGTGTTTCCAAAATGCTGTATCAAAACCAAGGTTCAACTCTGTTAGTTGAGGACACACATCACAAATAAGTTTCTGAGAATGCTTCTGTCTAGATTTTATATGAAGATATCCCCTTTCCAACGAATCCCTCTAAGCTATCAAAATATCCACCTGCAGATTCTACAAAAAGAGTGTTTCCAAAATGCTGTATCAAAACAAAGTTTCAACTCTGTTAGTTGAGGACACACATCACAAATAAGTTTCTGAGGATGCTTCTGTCTAGTTTTTATTCGAAGATATTTCCTTTCTCACCATAGGCCTGAAAGCGCTTGAAATGTCCACTTCCAGATCCTACAGAATGAGTGTTTCAAACCTGCTCTATCAAAGTGAATGTTCAATTCTGTGACTTCAATGCAAACATCACAAAGAAGTTCCTGAGAATGCTTCTCTCTAGATTTTATATGTAATCCCGCTTCCTACGAAATCCTCAGAGCCATCCGAATATCCACTTTCTGATTCCACAAAAAGAGTGTTTTAAAACGGCTCTGTAAAAACAAAAGTTCAACTCTGTTAGTTGAATACACACATCACAAACAAGTTTCTGAGACTGCTTCTGTCTAGTTTTTATGGGAAGATATTTCCTTTTTCACCATAGGCCTCAAAGCGCTCGAAATGTCCACTTCCAGATAGTGCAGAAAGAGTGTTTCAAACGTGCTCTATAAAAGGGAATATTCAACTCTGTGACTTGAATGGAAACATCACAAAGCAGTTTCTGAGAATGCTTCCCTCTAGATTTTATATGGAGATATTCCCTTTTCCAATGAAATCTTCAAATCTATCTAAATATCAACTTGCAGATTCTACTCAAGGAATGTTTCCAAAATGCTGTATCCAAGCAATGGTTCAACTCTGTTAATTGAGGACATACAGCACAAAGAAGTTTCTGAGAATGCTCCTGTCTGGTATTTTATATGAAGATAACCCGTTTCCAACGAAATCCTCAAAGCTATCCAAATATCCACTTGCAGATTCTACAAAAAGAGTGTTTCAAAACTGCTCTGTCAAAAGGAAGGTTCAACACTGTTACTTGAGTACACACAAAACAAAGAAGTTTCTGAGAATGCTTGTTTCTGGTTTTTATGAGAAGATATTTCCTTTTTCACCATAGGCCTCAAAGCGCTGCAAATGTCCACTTCCAAATATTACAAAAAGAGTGTTTCAAACCTGCTCTATGAAAGGAAGTTTTCAACTCTATGAGTGGAATGCAAACATCACAGAGAAGTTTCTGAGAATGCATCTGTCTTGAGCGTCTATGAAGAAATTCCCGTTTCCAACGAAATCTTAAAATCTATCCAAATATCCACCTGCAGATCCTACAAAAGGAGTGTTTCCAAAATGCTGTATCAAAACAAAGGTTCAACTGTGTTCGTTTAGGACACACATCACAAATAAGTTTCTGAGAATCCTTCTGTCTAGTTTTTATTTGAAGATATTTCCTTTCTCCCCGTAGGCCTGAAAGCGCTTGAAATGTCCACTTCCAGATACTACAGAAAGAGTGTTTCAAACCTGCACTCTGAAAAGGAATGTTCAATTCTGTGACTTGAATGCAAACATCAGAAAGAAGTTCCTGAGAATGCTTCTCTCTAGATTTTATACGTCATCCCGTTTCCAACGAAATCCACAAAGCTATCCAATTATCCACTTTCAGATTCCACAAAGAGTGTTTTAAAATTGCTCTGTAACAGAAATGTTCAACTCTGTTAGTTGAATACACACATCACAAACAAGTTTCTGAGACGGCTTCTGTCTAGTTTTTATGGGAAGATATTTCCTTTTAACCATAGGCCTCAAAGAGCTCGAAATATCCACTTCCAGGTAGTGCCGAAAGAGTGTTTCAAACCTACTCTATAAAAGGGAATATTCAACTCTGTGACTTGAATGCAAACATCACAAAGCAGTTTCTGAGAATGCTTCCGTCTAGATTTTCTATGAAGATATTCCCGTTTCCAACGAAATCTTCAAAGCTATCTAAATATCAACTTGCAGATTCTACTAAAGGAATGTCTCCAAAATGCTGTATCCAAACAAAGGTTCAGCTCTGTGAATTGAGGACATACAGCACAAAGAAGTTTCTGAGAATGCTCCTGTCTGGATTTTATAGGAAGATAACCCGTTTCCAACGAAATCCTCAAAGCTATCCAAATATCCACTTGCAGATTCTACCAAAAGAGTGTTTCAAAACTGCTCTGTCAAAAGGAAGGTTCAACACTGTTACTTGAGTACACACAACACAAAGAAGTTTCTGAGAATGCTTCTTTCTGGTTTTTATGAGAAGATATTTCCTTTTTCACCATAGGCCTCAAAGAGCTCGAAATGTCCGCTTCCAGGTAGGGCAGAAAGAGTGTTTCAAACCTGCTCTAGGAAAGGAAGTGTTCAACTCTACTGAGTTGAATGCAAACATCACAGAGATGTTTCCGAGAATGCTTCTGTCTTGATTTTATAGGAAGATATTCCGGTTTCCAACGAAATCTTCAAAGCTATCCAAATATCCACCTGCAGATTCTACAAAAGGAGTGTTTCCAAAATGCTGTATCAAAACAAAGGTTCAACTCTGTTAGTTGAGGACACACATCACAAATAAGTTTCTGAGAATGCTTCTGTCTAGTTTTTATTTGAAGGTATTTCCTTTCTCTCCATAGGCCTGAAAGCGCTTGAAATGCCCACTTCCAGATACTAGAGAAAGAGTGTTTCAAACCTGCTCTATGAAAGGGAATGTTCAATTCTGTGACTTGAATGCAAACATCACAAAGAAGTTCCTGAGAATGCTTCTCTCTAGATTTTATACGTAATCCCGCTTCCAACGAAATCCTCAGAGCCATCGGAATATCCACTTTCTGATTCCACAAAAAGAGTGTTTCAAAACTGCTCTGTCAAAAGGATGGTTCAACACTGTTACATGAGTACACACAACACAAAGAAGTTTCTGAGAATGCTTCTTTCTGGTTTCTATGAGAAGATATTTCCTTTTTCACCATAGGACTCAAAGCGCTCGAAATGTCCTCTTCCAAGTAGTGCAGAAAGAGTGTTTCAAACCTGCTCTATGAAAGGAAGTGTACAACTCCATGAGCTGAATGCAAACATCACTGAGAAGTTTCTGAGAATGCTTCTGTTTGATTTTATATGAAGAAATTCCCGTTTCCAATGAAATCTTCAGAGCTATCCACATATCCACCTGCAGATTCTACAAAAGGAGTGTTTCCAAAATGCTGTATCAAAACCAAGGTTCAACTCTGTTAGTTGAGGACACACATCACAAATAAGTTTCTGAGAATGCTTCTGTCTAGATTTTATATGAAGATATCCCCTTTCCAACGAATCCCTCTAAGCTATCCAAATATCCACCTGCAGATTCTACAAAAAGAGTGTTTCCAAAATGCTGTATCAAAACAAAGTTTCAACTCTGTTAGTTGAGGACACACATCACCAATTAGTTTGAGGATGCTTCTGTCTAGTTTTAATTTGAAGATATTTCCTTTCTCACCATAGGCCTGAAAGCGCTTGAAATGTCCACTTCCAGATACTACAGAATGAGTGTTTCAAACCTGCTCTATCAAAGTGAATGTTCAATTCTGTGACTTCAATGCAAACATCACAAAGTAGTTCCTGAGAATGCTTCTCTCTAGATTTTATATGTAATCCCGCTTCCAACGAAATCCTCAAAGCCATCCGAATATCCACTTTCTGATTCCACAAAAAGATTGTTTTAAAACTGCTCTGTAAAAACAAAAGTTCAAGTCTGTTAGTTGAATACACACATCACAAACAAGTTTCTGAGAATGCTTCTGTCTAGTTTTTATGGGAAGATATTTCCTTTTTCACCTTAGGCCTCAAAGCGCTCGAAATGTCCACTTCCAGATAGTGCAGAAAGAGTGTTTCAAACGTGCTCTATAAAAGAGAATATTCAACTCTGTGACTTGAATGGAAACATCACAAAGCAGTTTCTGAGAATGCCTCCGTCTAGATTTTATATGAAGATATTCCCGTTTCCAACGAAATCTTCAAATCTATCTAAATATCAACTTGCAGATTCTACTAAAGGAATGTTTCCAAAATGCTGTATCCAAGCAATGGTTCAACTCTGTTAATTGAGGACATACAGCACAAAGAAGTTTCTGAGAATGCTTCTGTCTAGATTTTATATGAAGATATCCCGTTTCCAACGAAATCCTCAAAGCTATCCAAATATCCACTTGCAGATTCTACAAAAAGATTGTTTCAAAACTGCTGTGTCAAAAGGAAGGTTCAACTCTGTTACTTGAGTACACACATCAAAAAGAAGTTTCTGAGAATGCTTGTTTCTGGTTTTTATGAGAAGATATTTCCTTTTTCACCATAGGCCTCAAAGCGCTGCAAATGTCCACTTCCAAATATTACAAAAAGAGTGTTTCAAACCTGCTCTATGAAAGGAAGTTTTCAACTCTATGAGTGGAATGCAAACATCACAGAGAAGTTTCTGAGAATGCATCTGTCTTGAGTTTCTATGCAGAAATTCCCGTTTCCAACGAAATCTTAAAATCTATCCAAATATCCACCTGCAGATCCTACAAAAGGAGTGTTTCCAAAATGCTGTATCAAAACAAAGGTTCAACTGTGTTCGTTTAGGACACACATCACAAATAAGTTTCTGAGAACCCTTCTGTCTAGTTTTTATTTGAAGATATTTCCTTTCTCCCCACAGGCCTGAAAGCGCTTGAAATGTCCACTTCCAGATACTACAGAAAGAGTGTTTCAAACCTGCACTATGAAAAGGAATGTTCAATTCTGTGACTTGAATGCAAACATCAGAAAGAAGTTCCTGAGAATGCTTCTCTCTAGATTTTATACGTCATCCCGTTTCCAACGAAATCCACAAAGCTATCCAATTATCCACTTTCAGATTCCACAGAAAGAGTGTTTTAAAATTGCTCTGTAACAGAAATGTTCAACTCTGGTAGTTGAATACACACATCACAAACAAGTTTCTGAGACGGCTTCTGTCTAGTTTTTATGGGAAGATATTTCCTTTTAACCATAGGCCTCAAAGAGCTCGAAATATCCACTTCCAGGTAGTGCCGAAAGAGTGTTTCAAACCTACTCTATAAAAGGGAATATTCAACTCTGTGACTTGAATGCAAACATCACAAAGCAGTTTCTGAGAATGCTTCCGTCTAGATTTTCTATGAAGATATTCCCGTTTCCAACGAAATCTTCAAAGCTATCTAAATATCAACTTGCAGATACTACTAAAGGAATGTCTCCAAAATGCTGTATCCAAACAAAGGTTCAGCTCTGTGAATTGAGGACATACAGCACAAAGAAGTTTCTGAGAATGCTCCTGTCTGGATTTTATATGAAGATAACCCGTTTCCAATGAAATCCTCAAAGCTATCCAAATATCCACTTGCAGATTCTACCAAAAGAGTGTTTCAAAACTACTCTGTCAAAAGGAAGGTTCAACACTGTTACTTGAGTACACACAACACAAAGAAGTTTCTGAGAATGCTTCTTTCTGGTTTTTATGAGAAGATATTTCCTTTTTCACCATAGGCCTCAAAGCGCTCGAAATGTCCGCTTCCAGGTAGTGCAGAAAGAGTGTTTCAAACCTGCTCTCTGAAAGGAAGTGTTCAACTCTACTGAGTTGAATGCAAACATCACAGAGATGTTTCCGAGAATGCTTCTGTCTTGATTTTATATGAAGATATTCCGGTTTCCAACGAAATCTTCAAAGCTATCCAAATATCCACCTGCAGATTCTACAAAAGGAGTGTTTCCAAAATGCTGTATCAAAACAAAGGTTCAACTCTGTTAGTTGAGGACACACATCACAAATAAGTTTCTGAGAATGCTTCTGTCTAGTTTTTATTTGAAGGTATTTCCTTTCTCTCCATAGGCCTGAAAGCGCTTGAAATGCCCACTTCCAGATACTAGAGAAAGAGTGTTTCAAACCTGCTCTATGAAAGGGAATGTTCAATTCTGTGACTTGAATGCAAACATCACAAAGAAGTTCCTGAGAATGCTTCTCTCTAGATATTATATGTCATCCCGTTTCCAACGAAATCCTCAAAGCTATCCAAATATCCACTTGCAGATTCTACAAAAAGAGTGTTTCAAAACTGCTCTGTCAAAAGGATGGTTCAACACTGTTACATGAGTACACACAACACAAAGAAGTTTCTGAGAATGCTTCTTTCTGGTTTCTATGAGAAGATATTTCCTTTTTCACCATAGGACTCAAAGCGCTCGAAATGTCCTCTTCCAAGTAGTGCAGAAAGAGTGTTTCAAACCTGCTCTATGAAAGGAAGTGTACAACTCCATGAGCTGAATGCAAACATCACTGAGAAGTTTCTGAGAATGCTTCTGTTTGATTTTATATGAAGAAATTCCCGTTTCCAACGAAATCTTCAGAGCTATCCACACATCCACCTGCAGATTCTACAAAAAGAGTGTTTCCAAAATGCTGTATCAAAACAAAGTTTCAACTCTGTTAGTTGAGGACACACATCACAAATAAGTTTCTGAGGATGCTTCTGTCTAGTTTTTATTCGAAGATATTTCCTTTCTCACCATAGGCCTGAAAGCGCTTGAAATGTCCACTTCCAGATACTACAGAATGAGTGTTTCAAACCTGCTCTATAAAAGTGAATGTTCAATTCCGTGACTTCAATGCAAACATCAGAAAGAAGTTCCTGAGAATGCTTCTCTCTAGATTTTATACGTAATCCCGCTTCCAACGAAATCCTCAGAGCCATCCGAATATCCACTTTCTGATTCCACAAAAAGAGTGTTTTAAAACGGCTCTGTAAAAACAAAAGTTCAACTCTGTTAGTTGAATACACACATCACAAACAAGTTTCTGAGAATGCTTCTGTCTAGTTTTTATGGGAAGATATTTCCTTTTTCACCATAGGCCTCAAAGCGCTCGAAATGTCCACTTCCAGATAGTGCAGAAAGATTGTTTCAAACGTGCTCTATAAAAGGGAATATTCAACTCTGTGACTTGAATGGAAACATCATAAAGCAGTTTCTGAGAATGCTTCCCTCTAGATTTTATATGGAGATATTCCCTTTTCCAACGAAATCTTCAAATCTATCTAAATATCAACTTGCAGATTCTACTCAAGGAATGTTTCCAAAATGCTGTATCCAAGCAATGGTTCAACTCTGTTAATTGAGGACATACAGCACAAAGAAGTTTCTGAGAATGCTTCTGTCTAGATTTTATATGAAGATATCCCGTTTCCAACGAAATCCTCAAAGCTATCCAAATATCCACTTGCAGATTCTACAAAAAGATTGTTTCAAAACTGCTGTGTCAAAAGGAAGGTTCAACTCTGTTACTTGAGTACACACATCAAAAAGAAGTTTCTGAGAATGCTTGTTTCTGGTTTTTATGAGAAGATATTTCCTTTTTCACCATAGGCCTCAAAGCGCTGCAAATGTCCACTTCCAAATATTACAAAAAGAGTGTTTCAAACCTGCTCTATGAAAGGAAGTTTTCAACTCTATGAGTGGAATGCAAACATCACAGAGAAGTTTCTGAGAATGCATCTGTCTTGAGTTTATATGCAGAAATTCCCGTTTCCAACGAAATCTTAAAATCTATCCAAATATCCACCTGCAGATCCTACAAAAGGAGTGTTTCCAAAATGCTGTATCAAAACAAAGGTTCAACTGTGTTCGTTTAGGACACACATCACAAATAAGTTTCTGAGAATCCTTCTGTCTAGTTTTTATTTGAAGATATTTCCTTTCTCCCCGTAGGCCTGAAAGCGCTTGAAATGTCCACTTCCAGATACTACAGAAAGAGTGTTTCAAACCTGCACTATGAAAAGGAATGTTCAATTCTGTGACTTGAATGCAAACATCAGAAAGAAGTTCCTGAGAATGCTTCTCTCTAGATTTTATACGTCATCCCGTTTCCAACGAAATCCACAAAGCTATCCAATTATCCACTTTCAGATTCCACAAAAAGAGTGTTTTAAAATTGCTCTGTAACAGAAATGTTCAACTCTGTTAGTTGAATACACACATCACAAACAAGTTTCTGAGACGGCTTCTGTCTAGTTTTTATGGGAAGATATTTCCTTTTAACCATAGGCCTCAAAGAGCTCGAAATATCCACTTCCAGGTAGTGCCGAAAGAGTGTTTCAAACCTACTCTATAAAAGGGAATATTCAACTCTGTGACTTGAATGCAAACATCACAAAGCAGTTTCTGAGAATGCTTCCGTCTAGATTTTCTATGAAGATATTCCCGTTTCCAACGAAATCTTCAAAGCTATCTAAATATCAACTTGCAGATTCTACTAAAGGAATGTCTCCAAAATGCTGTATCCAAACAAAGGTTCAGCTCTGTGAATTGAGGACATACAGCACAAAGAAGTTTCTGAGAATGCTCCTGTCTGGATTTTATAGGAAGATAACCCGTTTCCAACGAAATCCTCAAAGCTATCCAAATATCCACTTGCAGATTCTACCAAAAGAGTGTTTCAAAACTGCTCTGTCAAAAGGAAGGTTCAACACTGTTACTTGAGTACACACAACACAAAGAAGTTTCTGAGAATGCTTCTTTCTGGTTTTTATGAGAAGATATTTCCTTTTTCACCATAGGCCTCAAAGCGCTCGAAATGTCCGCTTCCAGGTAGTGCAGAAAGAGTGTTTCAAACCTGCTCTATGAAAGGAAGTGTTCAACTCTACTGAGTTGAATGCAAACATCACAGAGATGTTTCCGAGAATGCTTCTGTCTTGATTTTATATGAAGATATTCCGGTTTCCAACGAAATCTTCAAAGCTATCCAAATATCCACCTGCAGATTCTACAAAAGGAGTGTTTCCAAAATGCTGTATCAAAACAAAGGTTCAACTCTGTTAGTTGAGGACACACATCACAAATAAGTTTCTGAGAATGCTTCTGTCTAGTTTTTATTTGAAGGTATTTCCTTTCTCTCCATAGGCCTGAAGCGCTTGAAATGCCCACTTCCAGATACTAGAGAAAGAGTGTTTCAAACCTGCTCTATGAAAGGGAATGTTCAATTCTGTGACTTGAATGCAAACATCACAAAGAAGTTCCTGAGAATGCTTCTCTCTAGATATTATATGTCATCCCGTTTCCAACGAAATCCTCAAAGCTATCCAAATATCCACTTGCAGATTCTACAAAAAGAGTGTTTCAAAACTGCTCTGTCAAAAGGATGGTTCAACACTGTTACATGAGTACACACAACACAAAGAAGTTTCTGAGAATGCTTCTTTCTGGTTTCTATGAGAAGATATTTCCTTTTTCACCATAGGACTCAAAGCGCTCGAAATGTCCTCTTCCAGGTAGTGCAGAAAGAGTGTTTCAAACCGGCTCTATGAAAGGAAGTGTTCAACTCCATGAACTGAATGCAAACATCACTGAGAAGTTTCTGAGAATGCTTCTGTTTGATTTTATATGAAGAAATTCCCGTTTCCAACGAAATCTTCAGAGCTATCCACATATCCACCTGCAGATTCTACAAAAGGAGTGTTTCCAAAATGCTGTATCAAAACCAAAGTTCAACTCTGTTAGTTGAGGACACACATCACAAATAAGTTTCTGAGAATGCTTCTGTCTAGATTCTATATGAAGATATCCCCTTTCCAACGAATCCCTCTAAGCTATCCAAATATCCACCTGCAGATTCTACAAAAAGAGTGTTTCCAAAATGCTGTATCAAAACAAAGTTTCAACTCTGTTAGTTGAGGACACACATCACAAATAAGTTTGAGGATGCTTCTGTCTAGTTTTTATTCGAAGATATTTCCTTTCTCACCATAGGCCTGAAAGCGCTTGAAATGTCCACTTCCAGATACTACAGAATGAGTGTTTCAAACCTGCTCTATCAAAGTGAATGTTCAATTCTGTGACTTCAATGCAAACATCACAAAGAAGTTCCTGAGAATGCTTCTCTCTAGATTTTATATGTAATCCCGCTTCCAACGAAATCCTCAGAGCCATCCGAATATCCACTTTCTGATTCCACAAAAAGAGTGTTTTAAAACGGCTCTGTAAAAACAAAAGTTCAACTCTGTTAGTTGAATACACACATCACAAACAAGTTTCTGAGAATGCTTCTGTCTAGTTTTTATGGGAAGATATTTCCTTTTTCACCATAGGCCTCAAAGCGCTCGAAATGTCCACTTCCAGATAGCGCAGAAAGAGTGTTTCAAACGTGCTCTATAAAAGGGAATATTCAACTCTGTGACTTGAATGGAAACATCACAAAGCAGTTTCTGAGAATGCTTCCCTCTAGATTTTATATGGAGATATTCCGTTTTCGAACGAAATCTTCAAATCTATCTAAATATCAACTTGCAGATTCTACTCAAGGAATGTTTCCAAAATGCTGTATGCAAGCAATGGTTCAACTCTGTTAATTGAGGTCATACAGCACAAAGAAGTTTCTGAGAATGCTTCTGTCTAGATTTTATATGAAGATATCCCGTTTCCAACGAAATCCTCAAAGCTATCCAAATATCCACTTGCAGATTCTACAAAAAGATTGTTTCAAAACTGCTGTGTCAAAAGGAAGGTTCAACTCTGTTACTTGAGTACACACATCAAAAAGAAGTTTCTGAGAATGCTTGTTTCTGGTTTTTATGAGAAGATATTTCCTTTTTCACCATAGGCCTCAAAGCGCTGCAAATGTCCACTTCCAAATATTACAAAAAGAGTGTTTCAAACCTGCTCTATGAAAGGAAGTTTTCAACTCTATGAGTGGAATGGAAACATCACAGAGAAGTTTCGGAGAATGCATCTGTCTTGAGTTTATATGAAGAAATTCCCGTTTCCAACGAAATCTTAAAATCTATCCAAATATCCACCTGCAGATTCTACAAAGGGAGTGTTTCCAAAATGCTGTATCAAAACAAAGGTTCAACTGTGTTCGTTTAGGACACACATCACCAATAAGTTTCTGAGAATCCTTCTGTCTAGTTTTTATTTGAAGATATTTCCTTTCTCCCCATAAGGCCTGAAAGCGCTTGAAATGTCCACTTCCAGATACTACAGAAAGAGTGTTTCAAACCTGCACTATGAAAAGGAATGTTCAATTCTGTGACTTGAATGCAAACATCAGAAAGAAGTTCCTGAGAATGCTTCTCTCTAGATTTTATACGTCATCCCGTTTCCAACGAAATCCACAAAGCTATCCAATTATCCACTTTCAGATTCCACAAAGAGTGTTTTAAAATTGCTCTGTAACAGAAATGTTCAACTCTGTTAGTTGAATACACACATCACAAACAAGTTTCTGAGACGGCTTCTGTCTAGTTTTTATGGGAAGATATTTCCTTTTAACCATAGGCCTCAAAGAGCTCGAAATATCCACTTCCAGGTAGTGCCGAAAGAGTGTTTCAAACCTACTCTATAAAAGGGAATATTCAACTCTGTGACTTGAATGCAAACATCACAAAGCAGTTTCTGAGAATGCTTCCGTCTAGATTTTCTATGAAGATATTCCCGTTTCCAACGAAATCTTCAAAGCTATCTAAATATCAACTTGCAGATTCTACTAAAGGAATGTCTCCAAAATGCTGTATCCAAACAAAGGTTCAGCTCTGTGAATTGAGGACATACAGCACAAAGAAGTTTCTGAGAATGCTCCTGTCTGGATTTTATAGGAAGATAACCCGTTTCCAACGAAATCCTCAAAGCTATCCAAATATCCACTTGCAGATTCTACCAAAAGAGTGTTTCAAAACTACTCTGTCAAAAGGAAGGTTCAACACTGTTACTTGAGTACACACAACACAAAGAAGTTTCTGAGAATGCTTCTTTCTGGTTTTTATGAGAAGATATTTCCTTTTTCACCATAGGCCTCAAAGCGCTCGAAATGTCCGCTTCCAGGTAGTGCAGAAAGAGTGTTTCAAACCTGCTCTATGAAAGGAAGTGTTCAACTCTACTGAGTTGAATGCAAACATCACAGAGATGTTTCCGAGAATGCTTCTGTCTTGATTTTATATGAAGATATTCCCGTTTCCAACGAAATCTTCAAAGCTATCCAAATATCCACCTGCAGATTCTACAAAAGGAGTGTTTCCAAAATGCTGTATCAAAACAAAGGTTCAACTCTGTTACTTGAGGACACACATCACAAATAAGTTTCTGAGAATGCTTCTGTCTAGTTTTTATTTGAAGGTATTTCCTTTCTCTCCATAGGCCTGAAAGCGCTTGAAATGCCCACTTCCAGATACTAGAGAAAGAGTGTTTCAAACCTGCTCTATGAAAGGGAATGTTCAATACTGTGACTTGAATGCAAACATCACAAAGAAGTTCCTGAGAATGCTTCTCTCTAGATATTATATGTCATCCCGTTTCCAACGAAATCCTCAAAGCTATCCAAATATCCACTTGCAGATTCTACAAAAAGAGTGTTTCAAAACTCCTCTGTCAAAAGGATGGTTCAACACTGTTACATGAGTACACACAACACAAAGAAGTTTCTGAGAATGCTTCTTTCTGGTTTCTATGAGAAGATATTTCCATTTTTCACCATAGGACTCAAAGCGCTCGAAATGTCCTCTTCCAGGTAGTGCAGAAAGAGTGTTTCAAACCTGCTCTATGAAAGGAAGTGTACAACTCCATGAGCTGAATGCAAACATCACTGAGAAGTTTCTGAGAATGCTTCTGTTTGATTTTATATGAAGAAATTCCCGTTTCCAACGAAATCTTCAGAGCTATCCACATATCCACATGCAGATTCTACAAAAGGAGTGTTTCCAAAATGCTGTATCAAAACCAAGGTTCAACTCTGTTAGTTGAGGACACACATCACAAATAAGTTTCTGAGAATGCTTCTGTCTAGATTTTATATGAAGATATCCCCTTTCCAACGAATCCCTCTAAGCTATCCAAATATCCACCTGCAGATTCTACAAAAAGAGTGTTTCCAAAATGCTGTATCAAAACAAAGTTTCAAGTCTGTTAGTTGAGGACACACATCACAAATAAGTTTGAGGATGCTTCTGTCTAGTTTTTATTCGAAGATATTTCCTTTCTCACCATAGGCCTGAAAGCGCTTGAAATGTCCACTTCCAGATACTACAGAATGAGTGTTTCAAACCTGCTCTATCAAAGTGAATGTTCAATTCTGTGACTTCAATGCAAACATCAGAAAGAAGTTTCTGAGAATGCTTCTCTCTAGATTTTATACGTAATCCCGCTTCCAACGAAATCCTCAGAGCCATCCGAATATCCACTTTCTGATTCCACAAAAAGAGTGTTTTAAAACGGCTCTGTAAAAACAAAAGTTCAACTCTGTTAGTTGAATACACACATCACAAACAAGTTTCTGAGAATGCTTCTGTCTAGTTTTTATGGGAAGATATTTCCTTTTTCACCATAGGCCTCAAAGCGCTCGAAATGTCCGCTTCCAGATAGTGCAAAAAGAGTGTTTCAAACGTGCTCTATAAAAGGGAATATTCAACTCTGTGACTTGAATGGAAACATCACAAAGCAGTTTCTGAGAATGCTTCCCTCTAGATTTTATATGGAGATATTCCCTTTTCCAACGAAATCTTCAAATCTATCTAAATATCAACTTGCAGATTCTACTCAAGGAATGTTTCCAAAATGCTGTATCCAAGCAATGGTTCAACTCTGTTAATTGAGGACATACAGCACAAAGAAGTTTCTGAGAATGCTTCTGTCTAGATTTTATATGAAGATATCCCGTTTCCAACGAAATCCTCAAAGCTATCCAAATATCCACTTGCAGATTCTACAAAAAGATTGTTTCAAAACTGCTGTGTCAAGAGGAAGGTTCAACTCTGTTACTTGAGTACACACATCAAAAAGAAGTTTCTGAGAATGCTTGTTTCTGGTTTTTATGAGAAGATATTTCCTTTTTCACCATAGGCCTCAAAGCGCTGCAAATGTCCACTTCCAAATATTACAAAAAGAGTGTTTCAAACCTGCTCTATGAAAGGAAGTTTTCAACTCTATGAGTGGAATGCAAACATCACAGAGAAGTTTCTGAGAATGCATCTCTGTCTTGAGCTTCTATGAAGAAATTCCCGTTTCCAACGAAATCTTAAAATCTATCCAAATATCCACCTGCAGATCCTACAAAAGGAGTGTTTCCAAAATGCTGTATCAAAACAAAGGTTCAACTGTGTTCGTTTAGGACACACATCACAAATAAGTTTCTGAGAATCCTTCTGTCTAGTTTTTATTTGAAGATATTTCCTTTCTCCCCGTAGGCCTGAAAGCGCTTGAAATGTCCACTTCCAGATACTACAGAAAGAGTGTTTCAAACCTGCACTCTGAAAAGGAATGTTCCATTCTGTGACTTGAATGCAAACATCAGAAAGAAGTTCCTGAGAATGCTTCTCTCTAGATTTTATACGTCATCCCGTTTCCAACGAAATCCACAAAGCTATCCAATTATCCACATTCAGATTCCACAAAAAGAGTGTTTTAAAACTGCTCTGTAAAAAGAAATGTTCAACGCTCTTAGTTGAATACACACATCTCAAACAAGTTTCTGAGAAACCTTCTGTCTAGTTTTTATGGGAAGATATTTCCTTTTAACCATAGGCCTCAAAGAGCTCGAAATATCCACTTCCAGGTAGTGCCGAAAGAGTGTTTCAAACCTACTCTATAAAAGGGAATATTCAACTCTGTGACTTGAATGCAAACATCACAAAGCAGTTTCTGAGAATGCTTCCGTCTAGATTTTCTATGAAGATATTCCCGTTTCCAACGAAATCTTCAAAGCTATCTAAATATCAACTTGCAGATTCTACTAAAGGAATGTCTCCAAAATGCTGTATCCAAACAAAGGTTCAGCTGTGTGAATTGAGGACATACAGCACAAAGAAGTTTCTGAGAATGCTCCTGTCTGGATTTTATAGGAAGATAACCCGTTTCCAACGAAATCCTCAAAGCTATCCAAATATCCACTTGCAGATTCTACCAAAAGAGTGTTTCAAAACTACTCTGTCAAAAGGAAGGTTCAACACTGTTACTTGAGTACACACAACACAAAGAAGTTTCTGAGAATGCTTCTTTCTGGTTTTTATGAGAAGATATTTCCTTTTTCACCATAGGCCTCAAAGCGCTCGAAATGTCCGCTTCCAGGTAGTGCAGAAAGAGTGTTTCAAACCTGCTCTATGAAAGGAAGTGTTCAACTCTACTGAGTTGAATGCAAACATCACAGAGATGTTTCCGAGAATGCTTCTGTCTTGATTTTATATGAAGATATTCCGGTTTCCAACGAAATCTTCAAAGCTATCCAAATATCCACCTGCAGATTCTACAAAAGGAGTGTTTCCAAAATGCTGTATCAAAACAAAGGTTCAACTCTGTTAGTTGAGGACACACATCACAAATAAGTTTCTGAGAATGCTTCTGTCTAGTTTTTATTTGAAGGTATTTCCTTTCTCTCCATAGGCCTGAAAGCGCTTGAAATGCCCACTTCCAGATACTAGAGAAAGAGTGTTTCAAACCTGCTCTATGAAAGGGAATGTTCAATTCTGTGACTTGAATGCAAACATCACAAAGAAGTTCCTGAGAATGCTTCTCTCTAGATATTATATGTCATCCCGTTTCCAACGAAATCCTCAAAGCTATCCAAATATCCACTTGCAGATTCTACAAAAAGAGTGTTTCAAAACTGCTCTGTCAAAAGGATGGTTCAACACTGTTACATGAGTACACACAACACAAAGAAGTTTCTGAGAATGCTTCTTTCTGGTTTCTATGAGAAGATATTTCCTTTTTCACCATAGGACTCAAAGCGCTCGAAATGTCCTCTTCCAGGTAGTGCAGAAAGAGTGTTTCAAACCTGCTCTATGAAAGGAAGTGTACAACTCCATGAGCTGAATGCAAACATCACTGAGAAGTTTCTGAGAATGCTTCTGTTTGATTTTATATGAAGAAATTCCCGTTTCCAACGAAATCTTCAGAGCTATCCACATATCCACCTGCAGATTGTAGAAAAGGAGTGTTTCCAAAATGCTGTATCAAAACCAAGGTTCAACTCTGTTAGTTGAGGACACACATCACAAATAAGTTTCTGAGAATGCTTCTGTCTAGATTTTATATGAAGATATCCCCTTTCCAACGAATCCCTCTAAGCTATCCAAATATCCACCTGCAGATTCTACAAAAAGAGTGTTTCCAAAATGCTGTATCAAAACAAAGTTTCAACTCTGTTAGTTGAGGACACACATCACAAATAAGTTTCTGAGGATGCTTCTGTCTAGTTTTTATTCGAAGATATTTCCTTTCTCACCATAGGCCTGAAAGCGCTTGAAATGTCCACTTCCAGATACTACAGAATGAGTGTTTCAAACCTGCTCTATAAAAGTGAATGTTCAATTCCGTGACTTCAATGCAAACATCAGAAAGAAGTTCCTGAGAATGCTTCTCTCTAGATTTTATACGTAATCCCGCTTCCAACGAAATCCTCAGAGCCATCCGAATATCCACTTTCTGATTCCACAAAAAGAGTGTTTTAAAACGGCTCTGTAAAAACAAAAGTTCAACTCTGTTAGTTGAATACACACATCACAAACAAGTTTCTGAGAATGCTTCTGTCTAGTTTTTATGGGAAGATATTTCCTTTTTCACCATAGGCCTCAAAGCGCTCGAAATGTCCGCTTCCAGATAGTGCAGAAAGAGTGTTTCAAACGTGCTCTATAAAAGGGAATATTCAACTCTGTGACTTGAATGGAAACATCACAAAGCAGTTTCTGAGAATGCTTCCCTCTAGATTTTATATGGAGATATTCCCTTTTCCAACGAAATCTTCAAATCTATCTAAATATCAACTTGCAGATTCTACTCAAGGAATGTTTCCAAAATGCTGTATCCAGGCAATGGTTCAACTCTGTTAATTGAGGACATACAGCACAAAGAAGTTTCTGAGAATGCTTCTGTCTAGATTTTATATGAAGATATCCCGTTTCCAACGAAATCCTCAAAGCTATCCAAATATCCACTTGCAGATTCTACAAAAAGATTGTTTCAAAACTGCTGTGTCAAAAGGAAGGTTCAACTCTGTTACTTGAGTACACACATCAAAAAGAAGTTTCTGAGAATGCTTGTTTCTGGTTTTTATGAGAAGATATTTCCTTTTTCACCATAGGCCTCAAAGCACTGCAAATGTCCACTTCCAAATATTACAAAAAGAGTGTTTCAAACCTGCTCTATGAAAGGAAGTTTTCAACTCTATGAGTGGAATGCAAACATCACAGAGAAGTTTCTGAGAATGCATCTGTCTTGAGCTTCTATGAAGAAATTCCCGTTTCCAACGAAATCTTAAAATCTATCCAAATATCCACCTGCAGATCCTACAAAAGGAGTGTTTCCAAAATGCTGTATCAAAACAAAGGTTCAACTGTGTTCGTTTAGGACACACATCACAAATAAGTTTCTGAGAATCCTTCTCTCTAGTTTTTATTTGAAGATATTTCCTTTCTCCCCATAGGCCTGAAAGCGCTTGAAATGTCCACTTCCAGATACTACAGAAAGAGTGTTTCAAACCTGCACTCTGAAAAGGAATGTTCAATTCTGTGACTTGAATGCAAACATCAGAAAGAAGTTCCTGAGAATGCTTCTCTCTAGATTTTATACGTCATCCCGTTTCCAACGAAATCCACAAAGCTATCCAATTATCCACTTTCAGATTCCACAAAAAGAGTGTTTTAAATTGCTCTGTAACAGAAATGTTCAACTCTGTTAGTTGAATACACACATCACAAACAAGTTTCTGAGACGGCTTCTGTCTAGTTTTTATGGGAAGATATTTCCTTTTAACCATAGGCCTCAAAGAGCTCGAAATATCCACTTCCAGGTAGTGCCGAAAGAGTGTTTCAAACCTACTCTATAAAAGGGAATATTCAACTCTGTGACTTGAATGCAAACATCACAAAGCAGTTTCTGAGAATGCTTCCGTCTAGATTTTCTATGAAGATATTCCCGTTTCCAACGAAATCTTCAAAGCTATCTAAATATCAACTTGCAGATTCTACTAAAGGAATGTCTCCAAAATGCTGTATCCAAACAAAGGTTCAGCTCTGTGAATTGAGGACATACAGCACAAAGAAGTTTCTGAGAATGCTCCTGTCTGGATTTTATAGGAAGATAACCCGTTTCCAACGAAATCCTCAAAGCTATCCAAATATCCACTTGCAGATTCTACCAAAAGAGTGTTTCAAAACTGCTCTGTCAAAAGGAAGGTTCAACACTGTTACTTGAGTACACACAACACAAAGAAGTTTCTGAGAATGCTTCTTTCTGGTTTTTATGAGAAGATATTTCCTTTTTCACCATAGGCCTCAAAGCGCCCGAAATGTCCGCTTCCAGGTAGGGCAGAAAGAGTGTTTCAAACCTGCTCTATGAAAGGAAGTGTTCAACTCTACTGAGTTGAATGCAAACATCACAGAGATGTTTCCGAGAATGCTTCTGTCTTGATTTTATAGGAAGATATTCCGGTTTC
Organism: Homo sapiens; assembly: GCF_000001405.40. Classification (NCBI taxonomy): domain Eukaryota; kingdom Metazoa; phylum Chordata; class Mammalia; order Primates; family Hominidae; genus Homo; species Homo sapiens. Next base: position 50,703,155 of record NC_000004.12, on the reverse strand, counting down.
CAACGAAATCTTCAAAGCTATCCAAATATCCACCTGCAGATTCTACAAAAGGAGTGTTTCCAAAATGCTGTATCAAAACAAAGGTTCAACTCTGTTAGTTGAGGACACACATCACAAATAAGTTTCTGAGAATGCTTTCTGTCTAGTTTTTATTTGAAGGTATTTCCTTTCTCTCCATAGGCCTGAAAGCGCTTGAAATGCCCACTTCCAGATACTAGAGAAAGAGTGTTTCAAACCTGCTCTATGAAAGGGAATGTTCAATTCTGTGACTTGAATGCAAACATCACAAAGAAGTTCCTGAGAATGCTTCTCTCTAGATATTATATGTCATCCCGTTTCCAACGAAATCCTCAAAGCTATCCAAATATCCACTTGCAGATTCTACAAAAAGAGTGTTTCAAAACTGCTCTGTCAAAAGGATGGTTCAACACTGTTACATGAGTACACACAACACAAAGAAGTTTCTGAGAATGCTTCTTTCTGGTTTCTATGAGAAGATATTTCCTTTTTCACCATAGGACTCAAAGCGCTCGAAATGTCCTCTTCCAGGTAGTGCAGAAAGAGTGTTTCAAACCGGCTCTATGAAGGGAAGTGTTCAACTCCATGAACTGAATGCAAACATCACTGAGAAGTTTCTGAGAATGCTTCTGTTTGATTTTATATGAAGAAATTCCCGTTTCCAACGAAATCTTCAAAGCTATCCACATATCCACCTGCAGATTCTACAAAAGGAGTGTTTCCAAAATGCTGTATCAAAACCAAGGTTCCACTCTGTTAGTTGAGGACACACATCACAAATAAGTTTCTGAGAATGCTTCTGTCTAGATTTTATATGAAGATATCCCCTTTCCAACGAATCCCTCTAAGCTATCCAAATATCCACCTGCAGATTCTACAAAAAGAGTGTTTCCAAACTGCTGTATCAAAACAAAGTTTCAACTCTGTTAGTTGAGGACACACATCACAAATAAGTTTCTGAGGATGCTTCTGTCTAGTTTTTATTCGAAGATATTTCCTTTCTCACCATAGGCCTGAAAGCGCTTGAAATGTCCACTTCCAGATACTACAGAATGAGTGTTTCAAACCTGCTCTATAAAAGTGAATGTTCAATTCCGTGACTTCAATGCAAACATCAGAAAGAAGTTCCTGAGAATGCTTCTCTCTAGATTTTATACGTAATCCCGCTTCCAACGAAATCCTCAGAGCCATCCGAATATCCACTTTCTGATTCCACAAAAAGAGTGTTTTAAAACGGCTCTGTAAAAACAAAAGTTCAACTCTGTTAGTTGAATACACACATCACAAACAAGTTTCTGAGAATGCTTCTGTCTAGTTTTTATGGGAAGATATTTCCTTTTTCACCATAGGCCTCACAGCGCTCGAAATGTCCACTTCCAGATAGTGCAGAAAGAGTGTTTCAAACGTGCTCTATAAAAGAGAATATTCAACTCTGTGACTAGAATGGAAACATCACAAAGCAGTTTCTGAGAATGCCTCCGTCTAGATTTTATATGAAGATATTCCCGTTTCCAACGAAATCTTCAAATCTATCTAAATATCAACTTGCAGATTCTACTAAAGGAATGTTTCCAAAATGCTGTATCCAAGCAATGGTTCAACTCTGGTAATTGAGGACATACAGCACAAAGAAGTTTCTGAGAATGCTTCTGTCTAGATTTTATATGAAGATATCCCGTTTCCAACGAAATCCTCAAAGCTATCCAAATATCCACTTGCAGATTCTACAAAAAGATTGTTTCAAAACTGCTGTGTCAAAAGGAAGGTTCAACTCTGTTACTTGAGTACACACATCAAAAAGAAGTTTCTGAGAATGCTTGTTTCTGGTTTTTATGAGAAGATATTTCCTTTTTCACCATAGGCCTCAAAGCGCTGCAAATGTCCACTTCCAAATATTACAAAAAGAGTGTTTCAAACCTGCTCTATGAAAGGAAGTTTTCAACTCTATGAGTGGAATGCAAACATCACAGAGAAGTTTCTGAGAATGCATCTGTCTTGAGCTTCTATGAAGAAATTCCCGTTTCCAACGAAATCTTAAAATCTATCCAAATATCCACCTGCAGATCCTACAAAAGGAGTGTTTCCAAAATGCTGTATCAAAACAAAGGTTCAACTGTGTTCGTTTAGGACACACATCACAAATAAGTTTCTGAGAATCCTTCTGTCTAGTTTTTATTTGAAGATATTTCCTTTCTCCCCGTAGGCCTGAAAGCGCTTGAAATGTCCACTTCCAGATACTACAGAAAGAGTGTGTTTCAAACCTGCACTCTGAAAAGGAATGTTCAATTCTGTGACTTGAATGCAAACATCAGAAAGAAGTTCCTGAGAATGCTTCTCTCTAGATTTTATACGTCATCCCGTTTCCAACGAAATCCACAAAGCTATCCAATTATCCACTTTCAGATTCCACAAAAAGAGTGTTTTAAAATTGCTCTGTAACAGACATGTTCAACTCTGGTAGTTGAATACACACATCACAAACAAGTTTCTGAGACGGCTTCTGTCTAGTTTTTATGGGAAGATATTTCCTTTTAACCATAGGCCTCAAAGAGCTCGAAATATCCACTTCCAGGTAGTGCCGAAAGAGTGTTTCAAACCTACTCTATAAAAGGGAATATTCAACTCTGTGACTTGAATGCAAACATCACAAAGCAGTTTCTGAGAATGCTTCCGTCTAGATTTTCTATGAAGATATTCCCGTTTCCAACGAAATCTTCAAAGCTATCTAAATATCAACTTGCAGATTCTACGAAAGGAATGTCTCCAAAATGCTGTATCCAAACAAAGGTTCAGCTCTGTGAATTGAGGACATACAGCACAAAGAAGTTTCTGAGAATGCTCCTGTCTGGATTTTATATGAAGATAACCCGTTTCCAACGAAATCCTCAAAGCTATCCAAATATCCACTTGCAGATTCTACCAAAAGAGTGTTTCAAAACTGCTCTGTCAAAAGGAAGGTTCAACACTGTTACTTGAGTACACACAACACAAAGAAGTTTCTGAGAATGCTTCTTTCTGGTTTTTATGAGAAGATATTTCCTTTTTCACCATAGGCCTCAAAGCGCTCGAAATGTCCGCTTCCAGGTAGTGCAGAAAGAGTGTTTCAAACCTGCTCTATGAAAGGAAGTGTTCAACTCTACTGAGTTGAATGCAAACATCACAGAGATGTTTCCGAGAATGCTTCTGTCTTGATTTTATATGAAGATATTCCGGTTTCCAACGAAATCTTCAAAGCTATCCAAATATCCACCTGCAGATTCTACAAAAGGAGTGTTTCCAAAATGCTGTATCAAAACAAAGGTTCAACTCTGTTAGTTGAGGACACACATCACAAATAAGTTTCTGAGAATGCTTCTGTCTAGATTTTATATGAAGATATCCCCTTTCCAACGAATCCCTCTAAGCTATCAAAATATCCACCTGCAGATTCTACAAAAAGAGTGTTTCCAAAATGCTGTATCAAAACAAAGTTTTAACTCTGTTAGTTGAGGACACACATCACAAATAAGTTTCTGAGGATGCTTCTGTCTAGTTTTTATTCGAAGATATTTCCTTTCCCACCATAGGCCTGAAAGCGCTTGAAATGTCCACTTCCAGATACTACAGAATGAGTGTTTCAAACCTGCTCTATCAAAGTGAATGTTCAATTCTGTGACTTCAATGCAAACATCACAAAGAAGTTCCTGAGAATGCTTCTCTCTAGATTTTATATGTAATCCCGCTTCCAACGAAATCCTCAGAGCCATCCGAATATCCACTTTCTGATTCCACAAAAAGGGTGTTTTAAAACGGCTCTGTAAAAACAAAAGTTCAACTCTGTTAGTTGAATACACACATCACAAAAAAGTTTCTGAGAATGCTTCTGTCTAGTTTTTATGGGAAGATATTTCCTTTTTCACCATAGGCCTCAAAGCGCTCGAAATGTCCACTTCCACATAGTGCAGAAAGATTGTTTCAAACGTGCTCTATAAAAGGGAATATTCAACTCTGTGACTTGAAGGGAAACATCATAAAGCAGTTTCTGAGAATGCTTCCCTCTTGATTTTATATGGAGATATTCCCTTTTCCAACGAAATCTTCAAATCTATCTAAATATCAACTTGCAGATTCTACTCAAGGAATGTTTCCATAATGCTGTATCCAAGCAATGGTTCAACTCTGTTAATTGAGGACATACAGCACAAAGAAGTTCCTGAGAATGCTTCTGTCTAGATTTTATATGAAGATATCCCGTTTCCAACGAAATCATCAAAGCTATCCAAATGTCCACTTGCAGATTCTACAAAAAGATTGTTTCAAAACTGCTGTGTCAAAAGGAAGGTTCAACTCTGATATTTGAGTACACACATCAAAAAGAAGTTTCTGAGAATGCTTGTTTCTGGTTTTTATGAGAAGATATTTCCTTTTTCACCATAGGCCTCAAAGCGCTGCAAATGTCCACTTCCAAATATTACAAAAAGAGTGTTTCAAACCTGCTCTATGAAAGGAAGTTTTCAACTCTATGAGTGGAATGCAAACATCACAGAGAAGTTTCTGAGAATGCATCTGTCTTGAGTTTCTATGCAGAAATTCCCGTTTCCAATGAAATCTTAAAATCTATCCAAATATCCACCTGCAGATTCTACAAAAGGAGTGTTTCCAAAATGTTGTATCAAAACAAAGGTTCAACTGTGTTCGCTTAGGACACACATCACAAATAAGTTTCTGAGAATCCTTCTGTCTAGTTTTTATTTGAAGATATTTCCTTTCTCCCCATAGGCCTGAAAGCGCTTGAAATGTCCACTTCCAGATAATACAGAAAGAGTGTTTCAAACCTGCACTCTGAAAAGGAATGTCAATTCTGTGACTTGAATGCAAACATCAGAAAGAAGTTCCTGAGAATGCTTCTCTCTAGATTTTATACGTCATCCCGTTTCCAATGAAATCCACAAAGCTACCCAATTATCCACTTTCAGATTCCACAAAAAGAGTGTTTTAAAATTGCTCTGTAACAGAAATGTTCAACTCTGTTAGTTGAATACACACATCACAAACAAGTTTCTGAGACGGCTTCTGTCTAGTTTTTATGGGAAGATATTTCCTTTTAACCATAGGCCTCAAAGAGCTCGAAATATCCACTTCCAGGTAGTGCCGAAAGAGTGTTTCAAACCTACTCTATAAAAGGGAATATTCAACTCTGTGACTTGAATGCAAACATCACAAAGCAGTTTCTGAGAATGCTACCGTCTAGATTTTTTATGAAGATATTCCCGTTTCCAACGAAATCTTCAAAGCTATCTAAATATCAACTTGCAGATTCTACTAAAGGAATGTTTCCAAAATGCTGTATCCAAACAAAGGTTCAACTCTGTGAATTGAGGACATACAGCACAAAGAAGTTTCTGAGAATGCTTCTGTCTAGATTTAATATGAAGATAACCCGTTTCCAACGAAATCCTCAAAGCTATCCAAATATCCACTTGCAGATTCTACAAAAAGAGTGTTTCAAAACTGCTCTGTCAAAAGGATGGTTCAACACTGTTACATGAGTACACACAACACAAAGAAGTTTCTGAGAACGCTTCTTTCTGGTTTTTATGAGAAGATATTTCCTTTTTCACCATTGGCCTCAAAGCGCTCGAAATGTCCACTTCCTGGTAGTGCAGAAAGAGTGTTTCATACCTGCTCTATGAAAGGAAGTGTTCAACTCCATGAGCTGAATGCAAACATCACAGAGAAGTTTCTGAGAATGCTTCTGTTTGATTTTATATGAAGAAATTCCCGATTCCAACGAAATCTTCAAAGCTATCCACATATCCACCTGCAGATTCTACAAAAGGAGTGTTTCCAAAATGCTGTATCAAAACCAAGGTTCAACTCTGTTAGTTGAGGGCACACATCACAAATAAGTTTCTGAGAATGCTTCTGTCTAGATTTTATATGAAGATATCCCCTTTCCAACGAATCCCTCTAAGCTATCCAAATAGCCACCTGCAGATTCTACAAAAGGAGTGTTTCCAAAAGGCTGTATCAAAACAAAGTTTCAACTCTGTTAGTTGAGGACACACATCACAAATAAGTTTCTGAGGATGCTTCTGTCTAGTTTTTATTTGAAGATATCTCCTTTCTCACCATAGGCCTGAAAGCGCTTGAAATGTCCACTTCCAGATACTACAGAATGAGTGTTTCAAACCTGCTCTATAAAAGTGAATGTTCAATTCTGTGACTTCAATGCAAACATCACAAAGAAGTTCCTGAGAATGCTTCTCTCTAGATTTTATACGTAATCCCGCTTCCAACGAAATCCTCAGAGCCATCCGAATATCCACTTTCTGATTCCACAAAAAGAGTGTTTTAAAACGGCTCTGTAAAAACAAAAGTTCAACTCTGTTAGTTGAATACACACATCACAAACAAGTTTCTGAGAATGCTTCTGTCTAGTTTTTATGGGAAGATATTTCCTTTTTCACCATAGGCCTCAAAGCGCTCGAAATGTCCGCTTCCAGATAGTGCAGAAAGAGTGTTTCAAACGTGCTCTATAAAAGGGAATATTCAACTCTGTGACTTGAATGGAAACATCACAAAGCAGTTTCTGAGAATGCTTCCCTCTAGATTTTATATGGAGATATTCCTGTTTTCGAACGAAATCTTCAAATCTATCTAAATATCAACTTGCAGATTCTACTCAAGGAATGTTTCCAAAATGCTGTATGCAAGCAATGGTTCAACTCTGTTAATTGAGGTCATACAGCACAAAGAAGTTTCTGAGAATGCTTCTGTCTAGATTTTATATGAAGATATCCCGTTTCCAACGAAATCCTCAAAGCTATCCAAATATCCACTTGCAGATTCTACAAAAAGATTGTTTCAAAACTGCTTTGTCAAAAGGAAGGTTCAACTCTGTTACTTGAGTACACACATCAAAAAGAAGTTTCTGAGAATGCTTGTTTCTGGTTTTTATGAGAAGATATTTCCTTTTTCACCATAGGCCTCAAAGCGCTGCAAATGTCCACTTCCAAATATTACAAAAAGAGTGTTTCAAACCTGCTCTATGAAAGGAAGTTTTCAACTTTATGAGTGGAATGCAAACATCACAGAGAAGTTTCTGAGAATGCATCTGTCTTGAGTTTATATGAAGAAATTCCCGTTTCCAACGAAATCTTAAAATCTATCCAAATATCCACCTGCAGATTCTACAAAGGGAGTGTTTCCAAAATGCTGTATCAAAACAAAGGTTCAACTGTGTTCGTTTAGGACACACATCACCAATAAGTTTCTGAGAATCCTTCTGTCTAGTTTTTATTTGAAGATATTTCCTTTCTCCCCGTAGGCCTGAAAGCGCTTGAAATGTCCACTTCCAGATACTACGGAAAGAGTGTTTCAAACCTGCACTCTGAAAAGGAATGTTCAATTCTGTGACTTGAATGCAAACATCAGAAAGAAGTTCCTGAGAATGCTTCTCTCTAGATTTTATACGTCATCCCGTTTCCAACGAAATCCACAAAGCTATCCAATTATCCACTTTCAGATTCCACAAATAGTGTTTTAAAATTGCTCTGTAACAGAAATGTTCAACTCTGTTAGTTGAATACACACATCACAAACAAGTTTCTGAGACGGCTTCTGTCTAGTTTTTATGGGAAGATATTTCCTTTTAACCATAGGCCTCAAAGAGCTCGAAATATCCACTTCCAGGTAGTGCCGAAAGAGTGTTTCAAACCTACTCTATAAAAGGGAATATTCAACTCTGTGACTTGAATGCAAACATCACAAAGCAGTTTCTGAGAATGCTTCCGTCTAGATTTTTTATGAAGATATTCCCGTTTCCAACGAAATCTTCAAAGCTATCTAAATATCAACTTGCAGATTCTACTAAAGGAATGTTTCCAAAATGCTGTATCCAAACAAAGGTTCAACTCTGTGAATTGAGGACATACAGCACAAAGAAGTTTCTGAGAATGCTCCTGTCTGGATTTTATATGAAGATAACCCGTTTCCAACGAAATCCTCAAAGCTATCCAAATATCCACTTGCAGATTCTACCAAAAGAGTGTTTCAAAACTGCTCTGTCAAAAGGAAGGTTCAACACTGTTACTTGAGTACACACAACACAAAGAAGTTTCTGAGAATGCTTCTTTCTGGTTTTTATGAGAAGATATTTCCTTTTTCACCATAGGCCTCAAAGAGCTCGAAATGTCCGCTTCCAGGTAGGGCAGAAAGAGTGTTTCAAACCTGCTCTATGAAAGGAAGTGTTCAACTCTACTGAGTTGAATGCAAACATCACAGAGATGTTTCCGAGAATGCTTCTGTCTTGATTTTATAGGAAGATATTCCGGTTTCCAACGAAATCTTCAAAGCTATCCAAATATCCACCTGCAGATTCTACAAAAGGAGTGTTTCCAAAATGCTGTATCAAAACAAAGGTTCAACTCTGTTAGTTGAGGACACACATCACAAATAAGTTTCTGAGAATGCTTCTGTCTAGTTTTTATTTGAAGGTATTTCCTTTCTCTCCATAGGCCTGAAAGCGCTTGAAATGCCCACTTCCAGATACTAGAGAAAGAGTGTTTCAAACCTGCTCTATGAAAGGGAATGTTCAATTCTGTGACTTGAATGCAAACATCACAAAGAAGTTCCTGAGAATGCTTCTCTCTAGATATTATATGTCATCCCGTTTCCAACGAAATCCTCAAAGCTATCCAAATATCCACTTGCAGATTCTACAAAAAGAGTGTTTCAAAACTGCTCTGTCAAAAGGATGGTTCAACACTGTTACATGAGTACACACAACACAAAGAAGTTTCTGAGAATGCTTCTTTCTGGTTTCTATGAGAAGATATTTCCTTTTTCACCATAGGACTCAAAGCGCTCGAAATGTCCTCTTCCAGGTAGTGCAGAAAGAGTGTTTCAAACCGGCTCTATGAAAGGAAGTGTTCAACTCCATGAACTGAATGCAAACATCACTGAGAAGTTTCTGAGAATGCTTCTGTTTGATTTTATATGAAGAAATTCCCGTTTCCAACGAAATCTTCAGAGCTATCCACATATCCACCTGCAGATTCTACAAAAGGAGTGTTTCCAAAATGCTGTATCAAAACCAAAGTTCAACTCTGTTAGTTGAGGACACACATCACAAATAAGTTTCTGAGAATGCTTCTGTCTAGATTCTATATGAAGATATCCCCTTTCCAACGAATCCCTCTAAGCTATCCAAATATCCACCTGCAGATTCTACAAAAAGAGTGTTTCCAAAATGCTGTATCAAAACAAAGTTTCAACTCTGTTAGTTGAGGACACACATCACAAATAAGTTTGAGGATGCTTCTGTCTAGTTTTTATTCGAAGATATTTCCTTTCTCACCATAGGCCTGAAAGCGCTTGAAATGTCCACTTCCAGATACTACAGAATGAGTGTTTCAAACCTGCTCTATCAAAGTGAATGTTCAATTCTGTGACTTCAATGCAAACATCACAAAGAAGTTCCTGAGAATGCTTCTCTCTAGATTTTATATGTAATCCCGCTTCCAACGAAATCCTCAGAGCCATCCGAATATCCACTTTCTGATTCCACAAAAAGAGTGTTTTAAAACGGCTCTGTAAAAACAAAAGTTCAACTCTGTTAGTTGAATACACACATCACAAACAAGTTTCTGAGAATGCTTCTGTCTAGTTTTTATGGGAAGATATTTCCTTTTTCACCATAGGCCTCACAGCGCTCGAAATGTCCACTTCCAGATAGTGCAGAAAGAGTGTTTCAAACGTGCTCTATAAAAGGGAATATTCAACTCTGTGACTTGAATGGAAACATCACAAAGCAGTTTCTGAGAATGCTTCCCTCTAGATTTTATATGGAGATATTCCTGTTTTCGAACGAAATCTTCAAATCTATCTAAATATCAACTTGCAGATTCTACTCAAGGAATGTTTCCAAAATGCTGTATGCAAGCAATGGTTCAACTCTGTTAATTGAGGTCATACAGCACAAAGAAGTTTCTGAGAATGCTTCTGTCTAGATTTTATATGAAGATATCCCGTTTCCAACGAAATCCTCAAAGCTATCCAAATATCCACTTGCAGATTCTACAAAAAGATTGTTTCAAAACTGCTGTGTCAAAAGGAAGGTTCAACTCTGTTACTTGAGTACACACATCAAAAAGAAGTTTCTGAGAATGCTTGTTTCTGGTTTTTATGAGAAGATATTTCCTTTTTCACCATAGGCCTCAAAGCGCTGCAAATGTCCACTTCCAAATATTACAAAAAGAGTGTTTCAAACCTGCTCTGTGAAAGGAAGTTTTCAACTCTATGAGTGGAATGCAAACATCACAGAGAAGTTTCTGAGAATGCATCTGTCTTGAGCTTCTATGAAGAAATTCCCGTTTCCAACGAAATCTTAAAATCTATCCAAATATCCACCTGCAGATCCTACAAAAGGAGTGTTTCCAAAATGCTGTATCAAAACAAAGGTTCAACTGTGTTCGTTTAGGACACACATCACAAATAAGTTTCTGAGAATCCTTCTGTCTAGTTTTTATTTGAAGATATTTCCTTTCTCCCCGTAGGCCTGAAAGCGCTTGAAATGTCCACTTCCAGATACTACAGAAAGAGTGTTTCAAACCTGCACTCTGAAAAGGAATGTTCAATTCTGTGACTTGAATGCAAACATCAGAAAGAAGTTCCTGAGAATGCTTCTCTCTAGATTTTATACGTCATCCCGTTTCCAACGAAATCCACAAAGCTATCCAATTATCCACTTTCAGATTCCACAAAGAGTGTTTTAAAATTGCTCTGTAACAGAAATGTTCAACTCTGTTAGTTGAATACACACATCACAAACAAGTTTCTGAGACGGCTTCTGTCTAGTTTTTATGGGAAGATATTTCCTTTTAACCATAGGCCTCAAAGAGCTCGAAATATCCACTTCCAGGTAGTGCCGAAAGAGTGTTTCAAACCTACTCTATAAAAGGGAATATTCAACTCTGTGACTTGAATGCAAACATCACAAAGCAGTTTCTGAGAATGCTTCCGTCTAGATTTTCTATGAAGATATTCCCGTTTCCAACGAAATCTTCAAAGCTATCTAAATATCAACTTGCAGATTCTACTAAAGGAATGTCTCCAAAATGCTGTATCCAAACAAAGGTTCAGCTCTGTGAATTGAGGACATACAGCACAAAGAAGTTTCTGAGAATGCTCCTGTCTGGATTTTATAGGAAGATAACCCGTTTCCAACGAAATCCTCAAAGCTCTCCAAATATCCACTTGCAGATTCTACCAAAAGAGTGTTTCAAAACTGCTCTGTCAAAAGGAAGGTTCAACACTGTTACTTGAGTACACACAACACAAAGAAGTTTCTGAGAATGCTTCTTTCTGGTTTTTATGAGAAGATATTTCCTTTTTCACCATAGGCCTCAAAGCGCTCGAAATGTCCGCTTCCAGGTAGTGCAGAAAGAGTGTTTCAAACCTGCTCTATGAAAGGAAGTGTTCAACTCTACTGAGTTGAATGCAAACATCACAGAGATGTTTCCGAGAATGCTTCTGTCTTGATTTTATATGAAGATATTCCGGTTTCCAACGAAATCTTCAAAGCTATCCAAATATCCACCTGCAGATTTTACAAAAGGAGTGTTTCCAAAATGCTGTATCAAAACAAAGGTTCAACTCTGTTAGTTGAGGACACACATCACAAATAAGTTTCTGAGAATGCTTCTGTCTAGTTTTTATTTGAAGGTATTTCCTTTCTCTCCATAGGCCTGAAAGCGCTTGAAATGCCCACTTCCAGATACTAGAGAAAGAGTGTTTCAAACCTGCTCTATGAAAGGGAATGTTCAATTCTGTGACTTGAATGCAAACATCACAAAGAAGTTCCTGAGAATGCTTCTCTCTAGATTTTATACGTAATCCCGCTTCCAACGAAATCCTCAGAGCCATCCGAATATCCACTTTTTGATTCCACAAAAAGAGTGTTTTAAAACGGCTCTGTAAAAACAAAAGTTCAACTCTGTTAGTTGAATACACACATCACAAACAAGTTTCTGAGAATGCTTCTGTCTAGTTTTTATGGGAAGATATTTCCTTTTTCACCATAGGCCTCAAAGCGCTCGAAATGTCCGCTTCCAGATAGTGCAGAAAGAGTGTTTCAAACGTGCTCTATAAAAGGGAATATTCAACTCTGTGACTTGAATGGAAACATCACAAAGCAGTTTCTGAGAATGCTTCCCTCTAGATTTTATATGGAGATATTCCCTTTTCCAACGAAATCTTCAAATCTATCTAAATATCAACTTGCAGATTCTACTCAAGGAATGTTTCCAAAATGCTGTATCCAGGCAATGGTTCAACTCTGTTAATTGAGGACATACAGCACAAAGAAGTTTCTGAGAATGCTTCTGTCTAGATTTTATATGAAGATATCCCGTTTCCAACGAAATCCTCAAAGCTATCCAAATATCCACTTGCAGATTCTACAAAAAGATTGTTTCAAAACTGCTGTGTCAAGAGGAAGGTTCAACTCTGTTACTTGAGTACACACATCAAAAAGAAGTTTCTGAGAATGCTTGTTTCTGGTTTTTATGAGAAGATATTTCCTTTTTCACCATAGGCCTCAAAGCGCTGCAAATGTCCACTTCCAAATATTACAAAAAGAGTGTTTCAAACCTGCTCTATGAAAGGAAGTTTTCAACTCTATGAGTGGAATGCAAACATCACAGAGAAGTTTCTGAGAATGCATCTGTCTTGAGTTTATATGAAGAAATTCCCGTTTCCAACGAAATCTTAAAATCTATCCAAATATCCACCTGCAGATTCTACAAAGGGAGTGTTTCCAAAATGCTGTATCAAAACAAAGGTTCAACTGTGTTCGTTTAGGACACACATCACCAATAAGTTTCTGAGAATCCTTCTGTCTAGTTTTTATTTGAAGATATTTCCTTTCTCCCCATAGGCCTGAAAGCGCTGGAAATGTCCACTTCCAGATAGTACAGAAAGAGTGTTTCAAACCTGCACTATGAAAAGGAATGTTCAATTCTGTGACTTGAATGCAAACATCAGAAAGAAGTTTCTGAGAATGCTTCTCTCTAGATTTTATACGTCATCCCGTTTCCAACGAAATCCACAAAGCTATCCAATTATCCACTTTCAGATTCCACAAAAAGAGTGTTTTAAAATTGCTCTGTAACAGAAATGTTCAACTCTGGTAGTTGAATACACACATCACAAACAAGTTTCTGAGACGGCTTCTGTCTAGTTTTTATGGGAAGATATTTCCTTTTAACCATAGGCCTCAAAGAGCTCGAAATATCCACTTCCAGGTAGTGCCGAAAGAGTGTTTCAAACCTACTCTATAAAAGGGAATATTCAACTCTGTGACTTGAATGCAAACATCACAAAGCAGTTTCTGAGAATGCTTCCGTCTAGATTTTCTATGAAGATATTCCCGTTTCCAACGAAATCTTCAAAGCTATCTAAATATCAACTTGCAGATTCTACTAAAGGAATGTCTCCAAAATGCTGTATCCAAACAAAGGTTCAGCTCTGTGAATTGAGGACATACAGCACAAAGAAGTTTCTGAGAATGCTCCTGTCTGGATTTTATAGGAAGATAACCCGTTTCCAACGAAATCCTCAAAGCTATCCAAATATCCACTTGCAGATTCTTCCAAAAGAGTGTTTCAAAACTACTCTGTCAAAAGGAAGGTTCAACACTGTTACTTGAGTACACACAACACAAAGAAGTTTCTGAGAATGCTTCTTTCTGGTTTTTATGAGAAGATATTTCCTTTTTCACCATAGGCCTCAAAGCGCTCGAAATGTCCGCTTCCAGGTAGTGCAGAAAGAGTGTTTCAAACCTGCTCTATGAAAGGAAGTGTTCAACTCTACTGAGTTGAATGCAAACATCACAGAGATGTTTCCGAGAATGCTTCTGTCTTGATTTTATATGAAGATATTCCGGTTTCCAACGAAATCTTCAAAGCTATCCAAATATCCACCTGCAGATTCTACAAAAGGAGTGTTTCCAAAATGCTGTATGAAAACAAAGGTTCAACTCTGTTAGTTGAGGACACACATCACAAATAAGTTTCTGAGAATGCTTCTGTCTAGTTTTTATTTGAAGGTATTTCCTTTCTCTCCATAGGCCTGAAAGCGCTTGAAATGCCCACTTCCAGATACTAGAGAAAGAGTGTTTCAAACCTGCTCTATGAAAGGGAATGTTCAATTCTGTGACTTGAATGCAAACATCACAAAGAAGTTCCTGAGAATGCTTCTCTCTAGATATTATATGTCATCCCGTTTCCAACGAAATCCTCAAAGCTATCCAAATATCCACTTGCAGATTCTACAAAAAGAGTGTTTCAAAACTGCTCTGTCAAAAGGATGGTTCAACACTGTTACATGAGTACACACAACACAAAGAAGTTTCTGAGAATGCTTCTTTCTGGTTTCTATGAGAAGATATTTCCTTTTTCACCATAGGACTCAAAGCGCTCGAAATGTCCTCTTCCAGGTAGTGCAGAAAGAGTGTTTCAAACCTGCTCTATGAAAGGAAGTGTTCAACTCCATGAGCTGAATGCAAACATCACTGAGAAGTTTCTGAGAATGCTTCTGTTTGATTTTATATGAAGAAATTCCCGTTTCCAACGAAATCTTCAAAGCTATCCACATATCCACCTGCAGATTCTTCAAAAGCAGTGTTTCCAAAATGCTGTATCAAAACCAAGGTTCAACTCTGTTAGTTGAGGACACACATCACAAATAAGTTTCTGAGAATGCTTCTGTCTAGATTTTATATGAAGATATCCCCTTTCCAACGAATCCCTCTAAGCTATCCAAGTATCCACCTGCAGATTCTACAAAAAGAGTGTTTCCAAAATGCTGTATCAAAACAAAGTTTCAACTCTGTTAGTTGAGGACACACATCACAAATAAGTTTCTGAGGATGCTTCTGTCTAGTTTTAATTTGAAGATATTTCCTTTCTCCCCATAGGCCTGAAAGCGCTTGAAATGTCCACTTCCAGATACTACAGAATGAGTGTTTCAAACCTGCTCTATCAAAGTGAATGTTCAATTCTGTGACTTCAATGCAAACATCACAAAGTAGTTCCTGAGAATGCTTCTCTCTAGATTTTATATGTAATCCCGCTTCCAACGAAATCCTCAAAGCCAACCGAATATCCACTTTCTGATTCCACAAAAAGATTGTTTTAAAACTGCTCTGAAAAAAAAAAAAGTCAAGTCTGTTAGTTGAATACACACATCACAAACAAGTTTCTGAGAATGCTTCTGTCTAGTTTTTATGGGAAGATATTTCCTTTTTCACCATAGGCCTCAAAGCGCTCGAAATGTCCACTTCCAGATAGTGCAGAAAGAGTGTTTCAAACGTGCTCCATAAAAGAGAATATTCAACTCTGTGACTTGAATGGAAACATCACAAAGCAGTTTCTGAGAATGCCTCCGTCTAGATTTTATATGAAGATATTCCCGTTTCCAACGAAATCTTCAAATCTATCTAAATATCAACTTGCAGATTCTACTAAAGGAATGTTTCCAAAATGCTGTATCCAAGCAATGGTTCAACTCTGTTAATTGAGGACATACAGCACAAAGAAGTTTCTGAGAATGCTTCTGTCTGGATTTTATATGAAGATATCCCGTTTATAACGAAATCCTCAAAGCTATCCAAATATCCACTTGCAGATTCTACAAAAAGATTGTTTCAAAACTGTTGTGTCAAAAGGAAGGTTCAACTCTGTTACTTGAGTACACACATCAAAAAGAAGTTTCTGAGAATGCTTGTTTCTGGTTTTTATGAGAAGATATTTCCTTTTTCACCATAGGCCTCAAAGCGCTGCAAATGTCCACTTCCACATATTACAAAAAGAGTGTTTCAAACCTGCTCTATGAAAGGAAGTTTTCAACTCTATGAGTGGAATGCAAACATCACAGAGAAGTTTCTGAGAATGCATCTGTCTTGAGCTTCTATGAAGAAATTCCCGTTTCCAACGAAATCTTAAAATCTATCCAAATATCCACCTGCAGATCCTACAAAAGGAGTGTTTCCAAAATGCTGTATCAAAACAAAGGTTCAACTGTGTTCGTTTAGGACACACATCACAAATAAGTTTCTGAGAATCCTTCTGTCTAGTTTTTATTTGAAGATATTTCCTTTCTCCCCGTAGGCCTGAAAGCGCTTGAAATGTCCACTTCCAGATACTACAGAAAGAGTGTTTCAAACCTGCACTCTGAAAAGGAATGTTCAATTCTGTGACTTGAATGCAAACATCAGAAAGAAGTTCCTGAGAATGCTTCTCTCTAGATTTTATACGTCATCCCGTTTCCAACGAAATCCACAAAGCTATCCAATTATCCACTTTCAGATTCCACAAAAAGAGTGTTTTAAATTGCTCTGTAACAGAAATGTTCAACTCTGTTAGTTGAATACACACATCACAAACAAGTTTCTGAGACGGCTTCTGTCTAGTTTTTATGGGAAGATATTTCCTTTTAACCATAGGCCTCAAAGAGCTCGAAATATCCACTTCCAGGTAGTGCCGAAAGAGTGTTTCAAACCTACTCTATAAAAGGCAATATTCAACTCTGTGACTTGAATGCAAACATCACAAAGCAGTTTCTGAGAATGCTTCCGTCTAGATTTTCTATGAAGATATTCCCGTTTCCAACGAAATCTTCAAAGCTATCTAAATATCAACTTGCAGATTCTACTAAAGGAATGTCTCCAAAATGCTGTATCCAAACAAAGGTTCAGCTCTGTGAATTGAGTACATACAGCACAAAGAAGTTTCTGAGAATGCTCCTGTCTGGATTTTATAGGAAGATAACCCGTTTCCAACGAAATCCTCAAAGCTCTCCAAATACCCACTTGCAGATTCTACCAAAAGAGTGTTTCAAAACTGCTCTGTCAAAAGGAAGGTTCAACACTGTTACTTGAGTACACACAACACAAAGAAGTTTCTGAGAATGCTTCTTTCTGGTTTTTATGAGAAGATATTTCCTTTTTCACCATAGGCCTCAAAGCGCTCGAAATGTCCGCTTCCAGGTAGTGCAGAAAGAGTGTTTCAAACCTGCTCTATGAAAGGAAGTGTTCAACTCTACTGAGTTGAATGCAAACATCACAGAGATGTTTCCGAGAATGCTTCTGTCTTGATTTTATATGAAGATATTCCGGTTTCCAACGAAATCTTCAAAGCTATCCAAATATCCACCTGCAGATTCTACAAAAGGAGTGTTTCCAAAATGCTGTATCAAAACAAAGGTTCAACTCTGTTAGTTGAGGACACACATCACAAATAAGTTTCTGAGAATGCTTCTGTCTAGTTTTTATTTGAAGGTATTTCCTTTCTCTCCATAGGCCTGAAAGCGCTTGAAATGCCCACTTCCAGATACTAGAGAAAGAGTGTTTCAAACCTGCTCTATGAAAGGGAATGTTCAATTCTGTGACTTGAATGCAAACATCACAAAGCAAGTTCCTGAGAATGCTTCTCTCTAGATATTATATGTCATCCCGTTTCCAACGAAATCCTCAAAGCTATCCAAATATCCACTTGCAGATTCTACAAAAAGAGTGTTTCAAAACTGCTCTGTCAAAAGGATGGTTCAACACTGTTACATGAGTACACACAACACAAAGAAGTTTCTGAGAATGCTTCTTTCTGGTTTCTATGAGAAGATATTTCCTTTTTCACCATAGGACTCAAAGCGCTCGAAATGTCCTCTTCCAGGTAGTGCAGAAAGAGTGTTTCAAACCGGCTCTATGAAAGGAAGTGTTCAACTCCATGAACTGAATGCAAACATCACTGAGAAGTTTCTGAGAATGCTTCTGTTTGATTTTATATGAAGAAATTCCCGTTTCCAACGAAATCTTCAGAGCTATCCACATATCCACCTGCAGATTCTACAAAAGGAGTGTTTCCAAAATGCTGTATCAAAACCAAAGTTCAACTCTGTTAGTTGAGGACACACATCACAAATAAGTTTCTGAGAATGCTTCTGTCTAGATTCTATATGAAGATATCCCCTTTCCAACGAATCCCTCTAAGCTATCCAAATATCCACCTGCAGATTCTACAAAAAGAGTGTTTCCAAAATGCTGTATCAAAACAAAGTTTCAACTCTGTTAGTTGAGGACACACATCACAAATAAGTTTGAGGATGCTTCTGTCTAGTTTTTATTCGAAGATATTTCCTTTCTCACCATAGGCCTGAAAGCGCTTGAAATGTCCACTTCCAGATACTACAGAATGAGTGTTTCAAACCTGCTCTATCAAAGTGAATGTTCAATTCTGTGACTTCAATGCAAACATCACAAAGAAGTTCCTGAGAATGCTTCTCTCTAGATTTTATATGTAATCCCGCTTCCAACGAAGTCCTCAAAGCCATCCGAATATCCACTTTCTGATTCCACAAAAAGATTGTCTTAAAACTGCTCTGTAAAAACAAAAGTCCAAGTCTGTTAGTTGAATACACACATCACAAACAAGTTTCTGAGAATGCTTCTGTCTAGTTTTTATGGGAAGATATTTCCTTTTTCACCATAGGCCTCACAGCGCTTGAAATGTCCACTTCCAGATAGTGCAGAAAGAGTGTTTCAAACGTGCTCTATAAAAGAGAATATTCAACTCTGTGACTTGAATGGAAACATCACAAAGCAGTTTTCTGAGAATGCCTCCCTCTAGATTTTATATGGAGATATTCCCTTTTCCAACGAAATCTTCAAATCTATCTAAATATCAACTTGCAGATTCTACTCAAGGAATGTTTCCAAAATGCTGTATCCAAGCAATGGTTCAACTCTGTTAATTGAGGACATACAGCACAAAGAAGTTTCTGAGAATGCTTCTGTCTAGATTTTATATGAAGATATCCCGTTTCCAACGAAATCCTCAAAGCTATCCAAATATCCACTTGCAGATTCTACAAAAAGATTGTTTCAAAACTGCTGTGTCAAAAGGAAGGTTCAACTCTGTTACTTGAGTACACACATCAAAAAGAAGTTTCTGAGAATGCTTGTTTCTGGTTTTTATGAGAAGATATTTCCTTTTTCACCATAGGCCTCAAAGCGCTGCAAATGTCCACTTCCAAATATTACAAAAAGAGTGTTTCAAACCTGCTCTATGAAAGGAAGTTTTCAACTCTATGAGTGGAATGCAAACATCACAGAGAAGTTTCTGAGAATGCATCTGTCTTGAGCTTCTATGAAGAAATTCCCGTTTCCAACGAAATCTTAAAATCTATCCAAATATCCACCTGCAGATCCTACAAAAGGAGTGTTTCCAAAATGCTGTATCAAAACAAAGGTTCAACTGTGTTCGTTTAGGACACACATCACAAATAAGTTTCTGAGAATCCTTCTGTCTAGTTTTTATTTGAAGATATTTCCTTTCTCCCCGTAGGCCTGAAAGCGCTTGAAATGTCCACTTCCAGATACTACAGAAAGAGTGTTTCAAACCTGCACTCTGAAAAGGAATGTTCAATTCTGTGACTTGAATGCAAACATCAGAAAGAAGTTCCTGAGAATGCTTCTCTCTAGATTTTATACGTCATCCCGTTTCCAACGAAATCCACAAAGCTATCCAATTATCCACTTTCAGATTCCACAAAAAGAGTGTTTTAAATTGCTCTGTAACAGAAATGTTCAACTCTGTTAGTTGAATACACACATCACAAACAAGTTTCTGAGACGGCTTCTGTCTAGTTTTTATGGGAAGATATTTCCTTTTAACCATAGGCCTCAAAGAGCTCGAAATATCCACTTCCAGGTAGTGCCGAAAGAGTGTTTCAAACCTACTCTATAAAAGGGAATATTCAACTCTGTGACTTGAATGCAAACATCACAAAGCAGTTTCTGAGAATGCTTCCGTCTAGCATTTTTAATGAAGTTATTCCCGTTTCCAACGAAATCTTCAAAGCTATCTAAATATCAACTTGCAGATTCTACTAAAGGAATGTTTCCAGAATGCTGTATCCAAACAAAGGTTCAACTCTGTGAATTGAGGACTTACAGCACAAAGAAGTTTCTGAGAATGCTCCTGTCTGGATTTTATATGAAGATAACCCGTTTCCAATGAAATCCTCAAAGCTATCCAAATATCCACTTGCAGATTCTACCAAAAGAGTGTTTCAAAACTGCTCTGTCAAAAGGAAGGTTCAACACTGTTACTTGAGTACACACAACACAAAGAAGTTTCTGAGAATGCTTCTTTCTGGTTTTTATGAGAAGATATTTCCTTTTTCACCATAGGCCTCAAAGCGCTCGAAATGTCCGCTTCCAGGTAGTGCAGAAAGAGTGTTTCAAACCTGCTCTATGAAAGGAAGTGTTCAACTCTACTGAGTTGAATGCAAACATCACAGAGATGTTTCCGAGAATGCTTCTGTCTTGATTTTATATGAAGATATTCCGGTTTCCAACGAAATCTTCAAAGCTATCCAAATATCCACCTGCAGATTCTACAAAAGGAGTGTTTCCAAAATGCTGTATCAAAACAAAGGTTCAACTCTGTTAGTTGAGGACACACATCACAAATAAGTTTCTGAGAATGCTTCTGTCTAGTTTTTATTTGAAGGTATTTCCTTTCTCTCCATAGGCCTGAAAGCGCTTGAAATGCCCACTTCCAGATACTAGAGAAAGAGTGTTTCAAACCTGCTCTATGAAAGGGAATGTTCAATTCTGTGACTTGAATGCAAACATCACAAAGAAGTTCCTGAGAATGCTTCTCTCTAGATATTATATGTCATCCCGTTTCCAACGAAATCCTCAAAGCTATCCAAATATCCACTTGCAGATTCTACAAAAAGAGTGTTTCAAAACTGCTCTGTCAAAAGGATGGTTCAACACTGTTACATGAGTACACACAACACAAAGAAGTTTCTGAGAATGCTTCTTTCTGGTTTCTATGAGAAGATATTTCCTTTTTCACCATAGGACTCAAAGCGCTCGAAATGTCCTCTTCCAGGTAGTGCAGAAAGAGTGTTTCAAACCGGCTCTATGAAAGGAAGTGTTCAACTCCATGAACTGAATGCAAACATCACTGAGAAGTTTCTGAGAATGCTTCTGTTTGATTTTATATGAAGAAATTCCCGTTTCCAACGAAATCTTCAGAGCTATCCACATATCCACCTGCAGATTCTACAAAAGGAGTGTTTCCAAAATGCTGTATCAAAACCAAAGTTCAACTCTGTTAGTTGAGGACACACATCACAAATAAGTTTCTGAGAATGCTTCTGTCTAGATTCTATATGAAGATATCCCCTTTCCAACGAATCCCTCTAAGCTATCCAAATATCCACCTGCAGATTCTACAAAAAGAGTGTTTCCAAAATGCTGTATCAAAACAAAGTTTCAACTCTGTTAGTTGAGGACACACATCACAAATAAGTTTGAGGATGCTTCTGTCTAGTTTTTATTCGAAGGATATTTCCTTTCTCACCATAGGCCTGAAAGCGCTTGAAATGTCCACTTCCAGATACTACAGAATGAGTGTTTCAAACCTGCTCTATCAAAGTGAATGTTCAATTCTGTGACTTCAATGCAAACATCACAAAGAAGTTCCTGAGAATGCTTCTCTCTAGATTTTATATGTAATCCCGCTTCCAACGAAATCCTCAGAGCCATCCGAATATCCACTTTCTGATTCCACAAAAAGAGTGTTTTAAAACGGCTCTGTAAAAACAAAAGTTCAACTCTGTTAGTTGAATACACACATCACAAACAAGTTTCTGAGAATGCTTCTGTCTAGTTTTTATGGGAAGATATTTCCTTTTTCACCATAGGCCTCAAAGCGCTCGAAATGTCCACTTCCAGATAGTGCAGAAAGAGTGTTTCAAACGTGCTCTATAAAAGGGAATATTCAACTCTGTGACTTGAATGGAAACATCACAAAGCATTTTCTGAGAATGCTTCCCTCTAGATTTTATATGGAGATATTCCCTTTTCCAACGAAATCTTCAAATCTATCTAAATATCAACTTGCAGATTCTACTCAAGGAATGTTTCCAAAATGCTGTATCCAAGCAATGGTTCAACTCTGTTAATTGAGGACATACAGCACAAAGAAGTTTCTGAGAATGCTTCTGTCTAGATTTTATATGAAGATATCCCGTTTCCAACGAAATCCTCAAAGCTATCCAAATATCCACTTGCAGATTCTACAAAAAGATTGTTTCAAAACTGCTGTGTCAAAAGGAAGGTTCAACTCTGTTACTTGAGTACACACATCAAAAAGAAGTTTCTGAGAATGCTTGTTTCTGGTTTTTATGAGAAGATATTTCCTTTTTCACCATAGGCCTCAAAGCGCTGCAAATGTCCACTTCCAAATATTACAAAAAGAGTGTTTCAAACCTGCTCTATGAAAGGAAGTTTTCAACTCTATGAGTGGAATGCAAACATCACAGAGAAGTTTCTGAGAATGCATCTGTCTTGAGTTTATATGAAGAAATTCCCGTTTCCAATGAAATCTTAAAATCTATCCAAATATCCACCTGCAGATTCTACAAAAGGAGTGTTTCCAAAATGCTGTATCAAAACAAAGTTTCAACTGTGTTCGTTTAGGACACACATCACAAATAAGTTTCTGAGAATCCTTCTGTCTAGTTTTTATTTCAAGATATTTCCTTTCTCCCCATAGGCTTGAAAGCGCTTGAAATGTCCACTTCCAGATACTACAGAGTGTTTCAAACCTGCACTATGAAAAGGAATGTTCAATTCTGTGACTTGAATGCAAACATCAGAAAGAAGTTCCTGAGAATGCTTCTCTCTAGATTTTATACGTCATCCCGTTTCCAATGAAATCCACAAAGCTATCCAATTATCCACTTTCAGATTCCACAAAAGAGTGTTTTAAAACTGCTCTGTAAAAAGAAATGTTCAACGCTCTTAGTTGAATACACACATCTCAAACAAGTTTCTGAGAAGGCTTCCGTCTAGTTTTTATGGGAAGATATTTCCTTTTTCACCATAGGCCTCAAAGCGCTCGAAATCTCCACTTCCAGGGAGTGCAGAAAGAGTGTTTCAAACCTGCTCTGTAAAAGAATATTTAACTCTGTGACTTGAATGCAAACATCACAGAGCAGTTTCTGACAATGCTTCCGTCTAGATTTTTTATGAAGATATTCCCGTTTCCAACGAAATCTTCAAAGCTATCTAAATATCAACTTGCAGATTCTACTAAAGGAATGTTTCCAAAATGCTGTATCCAAACAAAGGTTCAGCTCTGTGAATTGAGGACATACAGCCCAAAGAAGTTTCTGAGAATGCTTCTGTCTAGATTTAATATGAAGATAACCCGTTTCCAACGAAATCCTCAAAGCTATCCAAATATCCACTTGCAGATTCTACAAAAAGAGTGTTTCAAAACTGCTCTGTCAAAAGGATGGTTCAACACTGTTACATGAGTACACACAACACAAAGAAGTTTCTGAGAACGCTTCTTTCTGGTTTTTATGAGAAGATATTTCCTTTTTCACCATAGGACTCAAAGCGCTCGAAATGTCCACTTCCTGGTAGTGCAGAAAGAGTGTTTCAAACCTGCTCTATGAAAGGAAGTGTTCAACTCCATGAGCTGAATGCAAACATCACAGAGAAGTTTCTGAGAATGCTTCTGTTTGATTTTATGTGAAGATATCCCCTTTCCAACGAATCCCTGTAAGCTATCCAAATATCCACCTGCAGATTCTACAAAAGGAGTGTTTCCAAAATGCTGTATCAAAACCAAGGTTCAACTTTGTTAGTTGAGGAAACACATCACAAATAAGTTTCTGAGAATGCTTCTGTCTAGATTTTATATGAAGATATTCCCGTTTCCAACGAAATCTTCAAATCTATCTAATTATCAACTTGCAGATTCTACTAAAGGAATGTTTCCAAAATGCTGTATCCAAGCAATGGTTCAACTCTGTTAATTGAGGACATACAGCACAAAGAAGTTTCTGAGAATGCTTCTGTCTAGATTTTATATGAAGATATCCCGTTTCCAACGAAATCCTCAAAGCTATCCAAATATCCACTTGCAGATTCTACAAAAAGATTGTTTCAAAACTGCTGTGTCAAAAGGAAGGTTCAACTCTGTTACTTGAGTACACACATCAAAAAGAAGTTTCTGAGAATGCTTGTTTCTGGTTTTTATGAGAAGATATTTCCTTTTTCACCATAGGCCTCAAAGCGCTGCAAATGTCCACTTCCAAATATTACAAAAAGAGTGTTTCAAACCTGCTCTATGAAAGGAAGTTTTCAACTCTATGAGTGGAATGCAAACATCACAGAGAAGTTTCTGAGAATGCATCTGTCTTGAGTTTATATGAAGAAATTCCCGTTTCCAATGAAATCTTAAAATCTATCCAAATATCCACCTGCAGATTCTACAAAAGGAGTGTTTCCAAAATGCTGTATCAAAACAAAGGTTCAACTGTGTTCGTTTAGGACACACATCACAAATAAGTTTCTGAGAATCCTTCTGTCTAGTTTTTATTTGAAGATATTTCCTTTCTCCCCGTAGGCCTGAAAGCGCTTGAAATGTCCACTTCCAGATACTACAGAAAGAGTGTTTCAAACCTGCACTCTGAAAAGGAATGTTCAATTCTGTGACTTGAATGCAAACATCAGAAAGAAGTTCCTGAGAATGCTTCTCTCTAGATTTTATACGTCATCCCGTTTCCAACGAAATCCACAAAGCTATCCAATTATCCACTTTCAGATTCCACAAAGAGTGTTTTAAAATTGCTCTGTAACAGAAATGTTCAACTCTGTTAGTTGAATACACACATCACAAACAAGTTTCTGAGACGGCTTCTGTCTAGTTTTTATGGGAAGATATTTCCTTTTAACCATAGGCCTCAAAGAGCTCGAAATATCCACTTCCAGGTAGTGCCGAAAGAGTGTTTCAAACCTACTCTATAAAAGGGAATATTCAACTCTGTGACTTGAATGCAAACATCACAAAGCAGTTTCTGAGAATGCTTCCGTCTAGATTTTCTATGAAGATATTCCCGTTTCCAACGAAATCTTCAAAGCTATCTAAATATCAACTTGCAGATTCTACTAAAGGAATGTCTCCAAAATGCTGTATCCAAACAAAGGTTCAGCTCTGTGAATTGAGGACATACAGCACAAAGAAGTTTCTGAGAATGCTCCTGTCTGGATTTTATATGAAGATAACCCGTTTCCAACGAAATCCTCAAAGCTCTCCAAATATCCACTTGCAGATTCTACCAAAAGAGTGTTTCAAAACTGCTCTGTCAAAAGGAAGGTTCAACACTGTTACTTGAGTACACACAACACAAAGAAGTTTCTGAGAATGCTTCTTTCTGGTTTTTATGAGAAGATATTTCCTTTTTCACCATAGGCCTCAAAGCGCTCGAAATGTCCGCTTCCAGGTAGTGCAGAAAGAGTGTTTCAAACCTGCTCTATGAAAGGAAGTGTTCAACTCTACTGAGTTGAATGCAAACATCACAGAGATGTTTCCGAGAATGCTTCTGTCTTGATTTTATATGAAGATATTCCGGTTTCCAACGAAATCTTCAAAGCTATCCAAATATCCACCTGCAGATTCTACAAAAGGAGTGTTTCCAAAATGCTGTATCAAAACAAAGGTTCAACTCTGTTAGTTGAGGACACACATCACAAATAAGTTTCTGAGAATGCTTCTGTCTAGTTTTTATTTGAAGGTATTTCCTTTCTCTCCATAGGCCTGAAAGCGCTTGAAATGCCCACTTCCAGATACTAGAGAAAGAGTGTTTCAAACCTGCTCTATGAAAGGGAATGTTCAATTCTGTGACTTGAATGCAAACATCACAAAGAAGTTCCTGAGAATGCTTCTCTCTAGATATTATATGTCATCCCGTTTCCAACGAAATCCTCAAAGCTATCCAAATATCCACTTGCAGATTCTACAAAAAGAGTGTTTCAAAACTGCTCTGTCAAAAGGATGGTTCAACACTGTTACATGAGTACACACAACACAAAGAAGTTTCTGAGAATGCTTCTTTCTGGTTTCTATGAGAAGATATTTCCTTTTTCACCATAGGACTCAAAGCGCTCGAAATGTCCTCTTCCAGGTAGTGCAGAAAGAGTGTTTCAAACCGGCTCTATGAAAGGAAGTGTTCAACTCCATGAGCTGAATGCAAACATCACTGAGAAGTTTCTGAGAATGCTTCTGTTTGATTTTATATGAAGAAATTCCCGTTTCCAACGAAATCTTCAGAGCTATCCACATATCCACCTGCAGATTCTACAAAAGGAGTGTTTCCAAAATGCTGTATCAAAACCAAGGTTCAACTCTGTTAGTTGAGGACACACATCACAAATAAGTTTCTGAGAATGCTTCTGTCTAGATTTTATATGAAGATATCCCCTTTCCAACGAATCCCTCTAAGCTATCCAAATATCCACCTGCAGATTCTACAAAAAGAGTGTTTCCAAAATGCTGTATCAAAACAAAGTTTCAACTCTGTTAGTTGAGGACACACATCACAAATAAGTTTCTGAGAATGCTTCTGTCTAGTTTTTATTCGAAGATATTTCCTTTCTCACCATAGGCCTGAAAGCGCTTGAAATGTCCACTTCCAGATCCTACAGAATGAGTGTTTCAAACCTGCTCTATCAAAGTGAATGTTCAATTCTGTGACTTCAATGCAAACATCACAAAGAAGTTCCTGAGAATGCTTCTCTCTAGATTTTATATGTAATCCCGCTTCCAACGAAATCCTCAGAGCCATCCGAATATCCACTTTCTGATTCCACAAAAAGAGTGTTTTAAAACGGCTCTGTAAAAACAAAAGTTCAACTCTGTTAGTTGAATACACACATCACAAACAAGTTTCTGAGAATGCTTCTGTCTAGTTTTTATGGGAAGATATTTCCTTTTTCACCATAGGCCTCAAAGCGCTCGAAATGTCCACTTCCAGATAGTGCAGAAAGAGTGTTTCAAACGTGCTCTATAAAAGGGAATATTCAACTCTGTGACTTGAATGGAAACATCACAAAGCAGTTTCTGAGAATGCTTCCCTCTAGATTTTATATGGAGATATTCCCTTTTCCAACGAAATCTTCAAATCTATCTAAATATCAACTTGCAGATTCTACTCAAGGAATGTTTCCAAAATGCTGTATCCAAGCAATGGTTCAACTCTGTTAATTGAGGACATACAGCACAAAGAAGTTTCTGAGAATGCTTCTGTCTAGATTTTATATGAAGATATCCCGTTTCCAACGAAATCCTCAAAGCTATCCAAATATCCACTTGCAGATTCTACAAAAAGATTGTTTCAAAACTGCTGTGTCAAAAGGAAGGTTCAACTCTGTTACTTGAGTACACACATCAAAAAGAAGTTTCTGAGAATGCTTGTTTCTGGTTTTTATGAGAAGATATTTCCTTTTTCACCATAGGCCTCAAAGCGCTGCAAATGTCCACTTCCAAATATTACAAAAAGAGTGTTTCAAACCTGCTCTATGAAAGGAAGTTTTCAACTCTATGAGTGGAATGCAAACATCACAGAGAAGTTTCTGAGAATGCATCTGTCTTGAGTTTATATGCAGAAATTCCCGTTTCCAACGAAATCTTAAAATCTATCCAAATATCCACCTGCAGATCCTACAAAAGGAGTGTTTCCAAAATGCTGTATCAAAACAAAGGTTCAACTGTGTTCGTTTAGGACACACATCACAAATAAGTTTCTGAGAATCCTTCTGTCTAGTTTTTATTTGAAGATATTTCCTTTCTCCCCGTAGGCCTGAAAGCGCTTGAAATGTCCACTTCCAGATACTACAGAAAGAGTGTGTTTCAAACCTGCACTCTGAAAAGGAATGTTCAATTCTGTGACTTGAATGCAAACATCAGAAAGAAGTTCCTGAGAATGCTTCTCTCTAGATTTTATACGTCATCCCGTTTCCAACGAAATCCACAAAGCTATCCAATTATCCACTTTCAGATTCCACAAAAAGAGTGTTTTAAAATTGCTCTGTAACAGAAATGTTCAACTCTGGTAGTTGAATACACACATCACAAACAAGTTTCTGAGACGGCTTCTGTCTAGTTTTTATGGGAAGATATTTCCTTTTAACCATAGGCCTCAAAGAGCTCGAAATATCCACTTCCAGGTAGTGCCGAAAGAGTGTTTCAAACCTACTCTATAAAAGGGAATATTCAACTCTGTGACTTGAATGCAAACATCACAAAGCAGTTTCTGAGAATGCTTCCGTCTAGATTTTCTATGAAGATATTCCCGTTTCCAACGAAATCTTCAAAGCTATCTAAATATCAACTTGCAGATTCTACTAAAGGAATGTCTCCAAAATGCTGTATCCAAACAAAGGTTCAGCTCTGTGAATTGAGGACATACAGCACAAAGAAGTTTCTGAGAATGCTCCTGTCTGGATTTTATAGGAAGATAACCCGTTTCCAATGAAATCCTCAAAGCTATCCAAATATCCACTTGCAGATTCTACCAAAAGAGTGTTTCAAAACTACTCTGTCAAAAGGAAGGTTCAACACTGTTACTTGAGTACACACAACACAAAGAAGTTTCTGAGAATGCTTCTTTCTGGTTTTTATGAGAAGATATTTCCTTTTTCACCATAGGCCTCAAAGCGCTCGAAATGTCCGCTTCCAGGTAGTGCAGAAAGAGTGTTTCAAACCTGCTCTATGAAAGGAAGTGTTCAACTCTACTGAGTTGAATGCAAACATCACAGAGATGTTTCCGAGAATGCTTCTGTCTTGATTTTATATGAAGATATTCCGGTTTCCAACGAAATCTTCAAAGCTATCCAAATATCCACCTGCAGATTCTACAAAAGGAGTGTTTCCAAAATGTTGTATCAAAACAAAGGTTCAACTCTGTTAGTTGAGGACACACATCACAAATAAGTTTCTGAGAATGCTTCTGTCTAGTTTTTATTTGAAGGTATTTCCTTTCTCTCCATAGGCCTGAAAGCGCTTGAAATGCCCACTTCCAGATACTAGAGAAAGAGTGTTTCAAACCTGCTCTATGAAAGGGAATGTTCAATTCTGTGACTTGAATGCAAACATCACAAAGAAGTTCCTGAGAATGCTTCCTCTCTAGATATTATATGTCATCCCGTTTCCAACGAAATCCTCAAAGCTATCCAAATATCCACTTGCAGATTCTACAAAAAGAGTGTTTCAAAACTCCTCTGTCAAAAGGATGGTTCAACACTGTTACATGAGTACACACAACACAAAGAAGTTTCTGAGAATGCTTCTTTCTGGTTTATATGAGAAGATATTTCCTTTTTCACCATAGGACTCAAAGCGCTCGAAATGTCCTCTTCCAGGTAGTGCAGAAAGAGTGTTTCAAACCGGCTCTATGAAGGGAAGTGTTCAACTCCATGAACTGAATGCAAACATCACTGAGAAGTTTCTGAGAATGCTTCTGTTTGATTTTATATGAAGAAATTCCCGTTTCCAACGAAATCTTCAGTAGCTATCCACATATCCACCTGCAGATTCTACAAAAGGAGTGTTTCCAAAATGCTGTATCAAAACCAAGGTTCAACTCTGTTAGTTGAGGACACACATCACAAATAAGTTTCTGAGAATGCTTCTGTCTAGATTTTATATGAAGATATCCCCTTTCCAACGAATCCCTCTAAGCTATCAAAATATCCACCTGCAGATTCTACAAAAAGAGTGTTTCCAAAATGCTGTATCAAAACAAAGTTTCAACTCTGTTAGTTGAGGACACACATCACAAATAAGTTTCTGAGGATGCTTCTGTCTAGTTTTTATTCGAAGATATTTCCTTTCTCACCATAGGCCTGAAAGCGCTTGAAATGTCCACTTCCAGATACTACAGAATGAGTGTTTCAAACCTGCTCTATCAAAGTGAATGTTCAATTCTGTGACTTCAATGCAAACATCACAAAGAAGTTCCTGAGAATGCTTCTCTCTAGATTTTATACGTAATCCCGCTTCCAACGAAATCCTCAGAGCCATCCGAATATCCACTTTCTGATTCCACAAAAAGAGTGTTTTAAAACGGCTCTGTAAAAACAAAAGTTCAACTCTGTTAGTTGAATACACACATCACAAACAAGTTTCTGAGAATGCTTCCGTCTAGTTTTTATGGGAAGATATTTCCTTTTTCACCACAGGCCTCAAAGCGCTCGAAATCTCCACTTCCAGGGAGTGCAGAAAGAGTGTTTCAAACCTGCTCTGTAAAAGAATATTTAACTCTGTGACTTGAATGCAAACATCACAAAGCAGTTTCTGACAATGCTTCCGTCTAGGATTTTATATGAAGATATTCCCGTTTCCAACGAAATCTTCAAATCTATCTAAATATCAACTTGCAGATTCTACTAAAGGAATGTTTCCAAAATGCTGTATCCAAGCAATGGTTCAACTCTGTTAATTGAGGACATACAGCACAAAGAAGTTTCTGAGAATGCTTCTGTCTAGATTTTATATGAAGATATCCCGTTTCCAACGAAATCCTCAAAGCTATCCAAATATCCACTTGCAGATTCTACAAAAAGATTGTTTCAAAACTGCTGTGTCAAAAGGAAGGTTCAACTCTGTTACTTGAGTACACACATCAAAAAGAAGTTTCTGAGAATGGTTGTTTCTGGTTTTTATGAGAAGATATTTCCTTTTTCACCATAGGCCTCAAAGCGCTGCAAATGTCCACTTCCAAATATTACAAAAAGAGTGTTTCAAACCTGCTCTATGAAAGGAAGTTTTCAACTCTATGAGTGGAATGCAAACATCACAGAGAAGTTTCTGAGAATGCATCTGTCTTGAGTTTATATGAAGAAATTCCCGTTTCCAACGAAATCTTAAAATCTATCCAAATATCCACCTGCAGATTCTACAAAGGGAGTGTTTCCAAAATGCTGTATCAAAACAAAGGTTCAACTGTGTTCGTTTAGGACACACATCACCAATAAGTTTCTGAGAATCCTTCTGTCTAGTTTTTATTTGAAGATATTTCCTTTCTCCCCATAGGCCTGAAAGCGCTGGAAATGTCCACTTCCAGATACTACAGAAAGAGTGTTTCAAACCTGCACTATGAAAAGGAATGTTCAATTCTGTGACTTGAATGCAAACATCAGAAAGAAGTTCCTGAGAATGCTCTCTCTAGATTTTATACGTCATCCCGTTTCCAACGAAATCCACAAAGCTATCCAATTATCCACTTTCAGATTCCACAAAAAGAGTGTTTTAAAACTGCTCTGTAAAAAGAAATGTTCAACGCTCTTAGTTGAATACACACATCTCAAACAAGTTTCTGAGAAGGCTTTCCGTCTAGTTTTTATGGGAAGATATTTCCTTTTTCACCATAGGCCTCAAAGCGCTCGAAATCTCCACTTCCAGGGAGTGCAGAAAGAGTGTTTCAAACCTGCTCTGTAAAAGAATATTTAACTCTGTGACTTGAATGCAAACATCACAAAGCAGTTTCTGACAATGCTTCCGTCTAGATTTTTTATGAAGATATTCCCGTTTCCAACGAAATCTTCAAAGCTATCTAAATATCAACTTGCAGATTCTACTAAAGGAATGTTTCCAAAATGCTGTATCCAAACAAAGGTTCAACTCTGTGAATTGAGGACATACAGCACAAAGAAGTTTCTGAGAATGCTTCTGTCTAGATTTAATATGAAGATAACCCGTTTCCAACGAAATCCTCAAAGCTATCCAAATATCCACTTGCAGATTCTACAAAAAGAGTGTTTCAAAACTGCTCTGTCAAAAGGATGGTTCAACACTGTTACATGAGTACACACAACACAAAGAAGTTTCTGAGAACGCTTCCTTCTGGTTTTTATGAGAAGATATTTCCTTTTTCACCATAGGCCTCAAAGCGCTCGAAATGTCCACTTCCAGGTAGTGCAGCAAGAGTGTTTCAAACCTGCTCTATGAAAGGAAGTGTTCAACTCCATGAGCTGAAGGCAAACATCACAGAGAAGTTTCTGAGAATGCTTCTGTTTGATTTTATATGAAGAAATTCCCGATTCCAACGAAATCTTCAAAGCTATCCACATATCCACCTGCAGATTCTACAAAAGGAGTGTTTCCAAAATGCTGTATCAAAACCAAGGTTCAAATCTGTTAGTTGAGGACACACATCACAAATAAGTTTCTGAGAATGTTTCTGTCTAGATTTTATATGAAGATATCCCCTTTCCAACGAATCCCTCTAAGCTATCCAAATAGCCACCTGCAGATTCTACAAAAGGAGTGTTTCTAAAAGGCGGTATCAAAACAAAGTTTCAACTCTGTTAGTTGAGGACACACATCACAAATAAGTTTCTGAGGATGCTTCTGTCTAGTTTTTATTTGAAGATATCTCCTTTCTCACCATAGGCCTGAAAGCGCTTGAAATGTCCACTTCCAGATACTACAGAATGAGTGTTTCAAACCTGCTCTATAAAAGTGAATGTTCAATTCTGTGACTTCAATGCAAACATCACAAAGAAGTTCCTGAGAATGCTTCTCTCTAGATTTTATATGTAATCCCGCTTCCAACGAAATCCTCAATGCCATCCGAATATGCACTTTCTGATTCCACAAAAAGAGTGTTTTAAAACGGCTCTGTAAAAACAAAAGTTCAACTCTGTTAGTTGAATACACCCATCACAAACAAGTTTCTGAGAATGCTTCTGTCTAGTTTTTATGGGAAGATATTTCCTTTTTCACCATAGGCCTCAAAGCGCTCGAAATGTCCACTTCCAGATAGTGCAGAAAGAGTGTTTCAAACGTGCTCTATAAAAGAGAATATTCAACTCCGTGACTTGAATGGAAACGTCACAAAGCAGTTTCTGAGAATGCTTCCCTCTAGATTTTATATGGAGATATTCCGTTTTCGAACGAAATCTTCAAATCTATCTAAATATCAACTTGCAGATTCTACTACAGGAATGTTTCCAAAATGCTGTATGCAAGCAATGGTTCAACTCTGTTAATTGAGGTCATACAGCACAAAGAAGTTTCTGAGAATGCTTCTGTCTAGATTTTATATGAAGATATCCCGTTTCCAACGAAATCCTCAAAGCTATCCAAATATCCACTTGCAGATTCTACAAAAAGATTGTTTCAAAACTGCTGTGTCAAAAGGAAGGTTCAACTCTGTTACTTGAGTACACACATCAAAAAGAAGTTTCTGAGAATGCTTGTTTCTGGTTTTTATGAGAAGATATTTCCTTTTTCACCATAGGCCTCAAAGCGCTGCAAATGTCCACTTCCAAATATTACAAAAAGAGTGTTTCAAACCTGCTCTATGAAAGGAAGTTTTCAACTCTATGAGTGGAATGCAAACATCACAGAGAAGTTTCTGAGAATGCATCTGTCTTGAGCTTCTATGAAGAAATTCCCGTTTCCAACGAAATCTTAAAATCTATCCAAATATCCACCTGCAGATCCTACAAAAGGAGTGTTTCCAAAATGCTGTATCAAAACAAAGGTTCAACTGTGTTCGTTTAGGGCACACATCACAAATAAGTTTCTGAGAATCCTTCTGTCTAGTTTTTATTTGAAGATATTTCCTTTCTCCCCGTAGGCCTGAAAGCGCTTGAAATGTCCACTTCCAGATACTACAGAAAGAGTGTTTCAAACCTGCACTCTGAAAAGGAATGTTCAATTCTGTGACTTGAATGCAAACATCAGAAAGAAGTTCCTGAGAATGCTTCTCTCTAGATTTTATACGTCATCCCGTTTCCAACGAAATCCACAAAGCTATCCAATTATCCACTTTCAGATTCCACAAAGAGTGTTTTAAAATTGCTCTGTAACAGAAATGTTCAACTCTGTTAGTTGAATACACACATCACAAACAAGTTTCTGAGACGGCTTCTGTCTAGTTTTTATGGGAAGATATTTCCTTTTAACCATAGGCCTCAAAGAGCTCGAAATATCCACTTCCAGGTAGTGCCGAAAGAGTGTTTCAAACCTACTCTATAAAAGGGAATATTCAACTCTGTGACTTGAATGCAAACATCACAAAGCAGTTTCTGAGAATGCTTCCGTCTAGATTTTCTATGAAGATATTCCCGTTTCCAACGAAATCTTCAAAGCTATCTAAATATCAACTTGCAGATTCTACTAAAGGAATGTCTCCAAAATGCTGTATCCAAACAAAGGTTCAGCTCTGTGAATTGAGGACATACAGCACAAAGAAGTTTCTGAGAATGCTCCTGTCTGGATTTTATAGGAAGATAACCCGTTTCCAACGAAATCCTCAAAGCTATCCAAATATCCACTTGCAGATTCTACCAAAAGAGTGTTTCAAAACTACTCTGTCAAAAGGAAGGTTCAACACTGTTACTTGAGTACACACAACACAAAGAAGTTTCTGAGAATGCTTCTTTCTGGTTTTTATGAGAAGATATTTCCTTTTTCACCATAGGCCTCAAAGCGCTCGAAATGTCCGCTTCCAGGTAGTGCAGAAAGAGTGTTTCAAACCTGCTCTATGAAAGGAAGTGTTCAACTCTACTGAGTTGAATGCAAACATCACAGAGATGTTTCCGAGAATGCTTCTGTCTTGATTTTATATGAAGATATTCCGGTTTCCAACGAAATCTTCAAAGCTATCCAAATATCCACCTGCAGATTCTACAAAAGGAGTGTTTCCAAAATGCTGTATCAAAACAAAGGTTCAACTCTGTTAGTTGAGGACACACATCACAAATAAGTTTCTGAGAATGCTTCTGTCTAGTTTTTATTTGAAGGTATTTCCTTTCTCTCCATAGGCCTGAAAGCGCTTGAAATGCCCACTTCCAGATACTAGAGAAAGAGTGTTTCAAACCTGCTCTATGAAAGGGAATGTTCAATTCTTTGACTTGAATGCAAACATCACAAAGAAGTTCCTGAGAATGCTTCTCTCTAGATATTATATGTCATCCCGTTTCCAACGAAATCCTCAAAGCTATCCAAATATCCACTTGCAGATTCTACAAAAAGAGTGTTTCAAAACTCCTCTGTCAAAAGGATGGTTCAACACTGTTACATGAGTACACACAACACAAAGAAGTTTCTGAGAATGCTTCTTTCTGGTTTCTATGAGAAGATATTTCCTTTTTCACCATAGGACTCAAAGCGCTCGAAATGTCCTCTTCCAGGTAGTGCAGAAAGAGTGTTTCAAACCTGCTCTATGAAAGGAAGTGTACAACTCCATGAGCTGAATGCAAACATCACTGAGAAGTTTCTGAGAATGCTTCTGTTTGATTTTATATGAAGAAATTCCCGTTTCCAACGAAATCTTCAGAGCTATCCACATATCCACCTGCAGATTCTACAAAAGGAGTGTTTCCAAAATGCTGTATCAAAACCAAGGTTCAACTCTGTTAGTTGAGGACACACATCACAAATAAGTTTCTGAGAATGCTTCTGTCTAGATTTTATATGAAGATATCCCCTTTCCAACGAATCCCTCTAAGCTATCCAAATATCCACCTGCAGATTCTACAAAAAGAGTGTTTCCAAAATGCTGTATCAAAACAAAGTTTCAACTCTGTTAGTTGAGGACACACATCACAAATAAGTTTGAGGATGCTTCTGTCTAGTTTTTATTCGAAGATATTTCCTTTCTCACCATAGGCCTGAAAGCGCTTGAAATGTCCACTTCCAGATACTACAGAATGAGTGTTTCAAACCTGCTCTATCAAAGTGAATGTTCAATTCTGTGACTTCAATGCAAACATCAGAAAGAAGTTCCTGAGAATGCTTCTCTCTAGATTTTTTACGTAATCCCGCTTCCAACGAAATCCTCAGAGCCATCCGAATATCCACTTTCTGATTCCACAAAAAGAGTGTTTTAAAACGGCTCTGTAAAAACAAAAGTTCAACTCTGTTAGTTGAATACACACATCACAAACAAGTTTCTGAGAATGCTTCTGTCTAGTTTTTATGGGAAGATATTTCCTTTTTCACCATAGGCCTCAAAGCGCTCGAAATGTCCGCTTCCAGATAGTGCAGAAAGAGTGTTTCAAACGTGCTCTATAAAAGGGAATATTCAACTCTGTGACTTGAATGGAAACATCACAAAGCAGTTTCTGAGAATGCTTCCGTCTAGGATTTTATATGAAGATATTCCCGTTTCCAACGAAATCTTCAAATCTATCTAAATATCAACTTGCAGATTCTACTAAAGGAATGTTTCCAAAATGCTGTATCCAAGCAATGGTTCAACTCTGTTAATTGAGGACATACAGCACAAAGAAGTTTCTGAGAATGCTTCTGTCTAGATTTTATATGAAGATATCCCGTTTCCAACGAAATCCTCAAAGCTATCCAAATATCCACTTGCAGATTCTACAAAAAGATTGTTTCAAAACTGCTGTGTCAAAAGGAAGGTTCAACTCTGTTACTTGAGTACACACATCAAAAAGAAGTTTCTGAGAATGCTTGTTTCTGGTTTTTATGAGAAGATATTTCCTTTTTCACCATAGGCCTCAAAGCGCTGCAAATGTCCACTTCCAAATATTACAAAAAGAGTGTTTCAAACCTGCTCTATGAAAGGAAGTTTTCAACTCTATGAGTGGAATGCAAACATCACAGAGAAGTTTCTGAGAATGCATCTGTCTTGAGTTTATATGCAGAAATTCCCGTTTCCAACGAAATCTTAAAATCTATCCAAATATCCACCTGCAGATCCTACAAAAGGAGTGTTTCCAAAATGCTGTATCAAAACAAAGGTTCAACTGTGTTCGTTTAGGACACACATCACAAATAAGTTTCTGAGAATCCTTCTGTCTAGTTTTTATTTGAAGATATTTCCTTTCTCCCCGTAGGCCTGAAAGCGCTTGAAATGTCCACTTCCAGATACTACAGAAAGAGTGTTTCAAACCTGCACTCTGAAAAGGAATGTTCAATTCTGTGACTTGAATGCAAACATCAGAAAGAAGTTCCTGAGAATGCTTCTCTCTAGATTTTATACGTCATCCCGTTTCCAACGAAATCCACAAAGCTATCCAATTATCCACTTTCAGATTCCACAGAAAGAGTGTTTTAAAATTGCTCTGTAACAGAAATGTTCAACTCTGGTAGTTGAATACACACATCACAAACAAGTTTCTGAGACGGCTTCTGTCTAGTTTTTATGGGAAGATATTTCCTTTTAACCATAGGCCTCAAAGAGCTCGAAATATCCACTTCCAGGTAGTGCCGAAAGAGTGTTTCAAACCTACTCTATAAAAGGGAATATTCAACTCTGTGACTTGAATGCAAACATCACAAAGCAGTTTCTGAGAATGCTTCCGTCTAGATTTTCTATGAAGATATTCCCGTTTCCAACGAAATCTTCAAAGCTATCTAAATATCAACTTGCAGATTCTACTAAAGGAATGTCTCCAAAATGCTGTATCCAAACAAAGGTTCAGCTCTGTGAATTGAGGACATACAGCACAAAGAAGTTTCTGAGAATGCTCCTGTCTGGATTTTATAGGAAGATAACCCGTTTCCAACGAAATCCTCAAAGCTCTCCAAATATCCACTTGCAGATTCTACCAAAAGAGTGTTTCAAAACTGCTCTGTCAAAAGGAAGGTTCAACACTGTTACTTGAGTACACACAACACAAAGAAGTTTCTGAGAATGCTTCTTTCTGGTTTTTATGAGAAGATATTTCCTTTTTCACCATAGGCCTCAAAGCGCTCGAAATGTCCGCTTCCAGGTAGTGCAGAAAGAGTGTTTCAAACCTGCTCTATGAAAGGAAGTGTTCAACTCTACTGAGTTGAATGCAAACATCACAGAGATGTTTCCGAGAATGCTTCTGTCTTGATTTTATATGAAGATATTCCGGTTTCCAACGAAATCTTCAAAGCTATCCAAATATCCACCTGCAGATTCTACAAAAGGAGTGTTTCCAAAATGCTGTATCAAAACAAAGGTTCAACTCTGTTAGTTGAGGACACACATCACAAATAAGTTTCTGAGAATGCTTCTGTCTAGTTTTTATTTGAAGGTATTTCCTTTCTCTCCATAGGCCTGAAAGCGCTTGAAATGCCCACTTCCAGATACTAGAGAAAGAGTGTTTCAAACCTGCTCTATGAAAGGGAATGTTCAATTCTGTGACTTGAATGCAAACATCACAAAGAAGTTCCTGAGAATGCTTCTCTCTAGATATTATATGTCATCCCGTTTCCAACGAAATCCTCAAAGCTATCCAAATATCCACTTGCAGATTCTACAAAAAGAGTGTTTCAAAACTCCTCTGTCAAAAGGATGGTTCAACACTGTTACATGAGTACACACAACACAAAGAAGTTTCTGAGAATGCTTCTTTCTGGTTTCTATGAGAAGATATTTCCTTTTTCACCATAGGACTCAAAGCGCTCGAAATGTCCTCTTCCAGGTAGTGCAGAAAGAGTGTTTCAAACCTGCTCTATGAAAGGAAGTGTTCAACTCCATGAGCTGAATGCAAACATCACTGAGAAGTTTCTGAGAATGCTTCTGTTTGATTTTATATGAAGAAATTCCCGTTTCCAACGAAATCTTCAGAGCTATCCACATATCCACCTGCAGATTCTACAAAAGGAGTGTTTCCAAAATGCTGTATCAAAACCAAGGTTCAACTCTGTTAGTTGAGGACACACATCACAAATAAGTTTCTGAGAATGCTTCTGTCTAGATTTTATATGAAGATATCCCCTTTCCAACGAATCCCTCTAAGCTATCCAAATATCCACCTGCAGATTCTACAAAGAGTGTTTCCAAAATGCTGTATCAAAACAAAGTTTCAACTCTGTTAGTTGAGGACACACATCACAAATAAGTTTCTGAGGATGCTTCTGTCTAGTTTTTATTCGAAGATATTTCCTTTCTCACCATAGGCCTGAAAGCGCTTGAAATGTCCACTTCCAGATACTACAGAATGAGTGTTTCAAACCTGCTCTATCAAAGTGAATGTTCAATTCTGTGACTTCAATGCAAACATCACAAAGAAGTTCCTGAGAATGCTTCTCTCTAGATTTTATACGTAATCCCGCTTCCAACGAAATCCTCAGAGCCATCCGAATATCCACTTTCTGATTCCACAAAAAGAGTGTTTTAAAACGGCTCTGTAAAAACAAAAGTTCAACTCTGTTAGTTGAATACACACATCACAAACAAGTTTCTGAGAATGCTTCTGTCTAGTTTTTATGGGAAGATATTTCCTTTTTCACCATAGGCCTCAAAGCGCTCGAAATGTCCGCTTCCAGATAGTGCAGAAAGAGTGTTTCAAACGTGCTCTATAAAAGGGAATATTCAACTCTGTGACTTGAATGGAAACATCACAAAGCAGTTTCTGAGAATGCTTCCCTCTAGATTTTATATGGAGATATTCCCTTTTCCAACCGAAATCTTCAAATCTATCTAAATATCAACTTGCAGATTCTACTCAAGGAATGTTTCCAAAATGCTGTATCCAAGCAATGGTTCAACTCTGTTAATTGAGGACATACAGCACAAAGAAGTTTCTGAGAATGCTTCTGTCTAGATTTTATATGAAGATATCCCGTTTCCAACGAAATCCTCAAAGCTATCCAAATATCCACTTGCAGATTCTACAAAAAGATTGTTTCAAAACTGCTGTGTCAAAAGGAAGGTTCAACTCTGTTACTTGAGTACACACATCAAAAAGAAGTTTCTGAGAATGCTTGTTTCTGGTTTTTATGAGAAGATATTTCCTTTTTCACCATAGGCCTCAAAGCGCTGCAAATGTCCACTTCCACATATTACAAAAAGAGTGTTTCAAACCTGCTCTATGAAAGGAAGTTTTCAACTCTATGAGTGGAATGCAAACATCACAGAGAAGTTTCTGAGAATGCATCTGTCTTGAGTTTCTATGCAGAAATTCCCGTTTCCAACGAAATCTTAAAATCTATCCAAATATCCACCTGCAGATCCTACAAAAGGAGTGTTTCCAAAATGCTGTATCAAAACAAAGGTTCAACTGTGTTCGTTTAGGACACACATCACAAATAAGTTTCTGAGAATCCTTCTGTCTAGTTTTTATTTGAAGATATTTCCTTTCTCCCCGTAGGCCTGAAAGCGCTTGAAATGTCCACTTCCAGATACTACAGAAAGAGTGTTTCAAACCTGCACTCTGAAAAGGAATGTTCAATTCTGTGACTTGAATGCAAACATCAGAAAGAAGTTCCTGAGAATGCTTCTCTCTAGATTTTATACGTCATCCCGTTTCCAACGAAATCCACAAAGCTATCCAATTATCCACTTTCAGATTCCACAAAAAGAGTGTTTTAAAATTGCTCTGTAACAGAAATGTTCAACTCTGTTAGTTGAATACACACATCACAAACAAGTTTCTGAGACGGCTTCTGTCTAGTTTTTATGGGAAGATATTTCCTTTTAACCATAGGCCTCAAAGAGCTCGAAATATCCACTTCCAGGTAGTGCCGAAAGAGTGTTTCAAACCTACTCTATAAAAGGGAATATTCAACTCTGTGACTTGAATGCAAACATCACAAAGCAGTTTCTGAGAATGCTTCCGTCTAGATTTTCTATGAAGATATTCCCGTTTCCAACGAAATCTTCAAAGCTATCTAAATATCAACTTGCAGATTCTACTAAAGGAATGTCTCCAAAATGCTGTATCCAAACAAAGGTTCAGCTCTGTGAATTGAGGACATACAGCACAAAGAAGTTTCTGAGAATGCTCCTGTCTGGATTTTATATGAAGATAACCCGTTTCCAACGAAATCCTCAAAGCTATCCAAATATCCACTTGCAGATTCTACCAAAAGAGTGTTTCAAAACTGCTCTGTCAAAAGGAAGGTTCAACACTGTTACTTGAGTACACACAACACAAAGAAGTTTCTGAGAATGCTTCTTTCTGGTTTTTATGAGAAGATATTTCCTTTTTCACCATAGGACTCAAAGCGCTCGAAATGTCCTCTTCCAGGTAGTGCAGAAAGAGTGTTTCAAACCGGCTCTATGAAGGGAAGTGTTCAACTCCATGAACTGAATGCAAACATCACTGAGAAGTTTCTGAGAATGCTTCTGTTTGATTTTATATGAAGAAATTCCCGTTTCCAACGAAATCTTCAGAGCTATCCACATATCCACCTGCAGATTCTACAAAAGGAGTGTTTCCAAAATGCTGTATCAAAACCAAGGTTCAACTCTGTTAGTTGAGGACACACATCACAAATAAGTTTCTGAGAATGCTTCTGTCTAGATTTTATATGAAGATATCCCCTTTCCAACGAATCCCTCTAAGCTATCCAAATATCCACCTGCAGATTCTACAAAAAGAGTGTTTCCAAAATGCTGTATCAAAACAAAGTTTCAACTCTGTTAGTTGAGGACACACATCACAAATAAGTTTCTGAGAATGCTTCTGTCTAGTTTTTATTTGAAGATATTTCCTTTCTCACCATAGGCCTGAAAGCGCTTGAAATGTCCACTTCCAGATACTACAGAATGAGTGTTTCAAACCTGCTCTATAAAAGTGAATGCTCAATTCTGTGACTTCAATGCAAACATCACAAAGAAGTTCCTGAGAATGCTTCTCTCTAGATTTTATATGTAATCCCGCTTCCAACGAAATCCTCAGAGCCATCCGAATATCCACTTTCTGATTCCACAAAAAGAGTGTTTTAAAACTGCTCTGTAGAAACAAAAGTTCAACTCAGTTGAATACACACATCACAAACAAGTTTCTGAGAATGCTTCTGTCTAGTTTTTATGGGAAGATATTTCCTTTTTCACCATAGGCCTCAAAGCGCTCGAAATGTCCACTTCCAGATAGTGCAGAAAGAGTGTTTCAAACGTGCTCTATAAAAGAGAATATTCAACTCTGTGACTTGAATGGAAACATCACAAAGCAGTTTCTGAGAATGCTTCCGTCTAGATTTTATATGAAGATATTCCCGTTTCCAACGAAATCTTCAAAGCTATCTAAATATCAACTTGCAGATTCTACTAAAGGAATGTTTCCAAAATGCTGTATCCAAGCAATGGTTCAACTCTGTTAATTGAGGACATACAGCACAAAGAAGTTTCTGAGAATGCTTCTGTCTAGATTTTATATGAAGATATCCCGTTTGCAACGAAATCCTCAAAGCTATCCAAATATCCACTTGCAGATTCTACAAAAAGATTGTTTCAAAACTGCTGTGTCAAAAGGAAGGTTCAACTCTGTTACTTGAGTACACACATCAAAAAGCAGTTTCTGAGAATGCTTGTTTCTGGTTTTTATGAGAAGATATTTCCTTTTTCACCATAGGCCTCAAAGCGCTGCAAATGTCCACTTCCAAATATTACAAAAAGAGTGTTTCAAACCTGCTCTATGAAAGGAAGTTTTCAACTCTGTGAGTGGAATGCAAACATCACAGAGAAGTTTCTGAGAATGCATCTGTCTTGAGTTTATATGAAGAAATTCCCGTTTCCAATGAAATCTTAAAATCTATCCAAATATCCACCTGCAGATTCTACAAAAGGAGTGCTTCCAAAATGCTATATCAAAACAAAGGTTCAACTGTGTTCGTTGAGAACACACATCACAAATAAGTTTCTGAGAATCCTTCTGTCTAGTTTTTATTTCAAGATATTTCCTTTCTCCCCATAGGCCTGAAAGCGCTTGAAATGTCCACTTCCAGATACTACAGAGTGTTTCAAACCTGCACTATGAAAACGAATGTTCAATTCTGTGACTTGAATGCAAACATCAGAAAGAAGTTTCTGAGAATGCTTCTCTCTAGATTTTAAACGTAATCCCGTTTCCAACGAAATCCACAAAGCTATCCAATTATCCACTTTCAGATTGCACCAAAAGAGTGTTTTAAAACTGCTCTGTAAAAAGAAATGTTCAACGCTCTTAGTTGAATACACACATCTCAAACAAGTTTCTGAGAAGGCTTCTGTCTAGTTTTTATGGGAAGATATTTCCTTTTAACCATAGGCCTCAAAGAGCTCGAAATATCCACTTCCAGGTAGTGCCGAAAGAGTGTTTCAAACCTACTCTATAAAAGGGAATATTCAACTCTGTGACTTGAATGCAAACATCACAAAGCAGTTTCTGAGACTGCTTCCGTCTAGATTTTCTATGAAGATATTCCCGTTTCCAACGAAATCTTCAAAGCTATCTAAATATCAACTTGCAGATTCTACTAAAGGAATGTCTCCAAAATGCTGTATCCAAACAAAGGTTCAGCTCTGTGAATTGAGGACATACAGCACAAAGAAGTTTCTGAGAATGCTCCTGTCTGGATTTTATAGGAAGATAACCCGTTTCCAACGAAATCCTCAAAGCTATCCAAATATCCACTTGCAGATTCTACCAAAAGAGTGTTTCAAAACTGCTCTGTCAAAAGGAAGGTTCAACACTGTTACTT
This sequence comes from Homo sapiens, assembly GCF_000001405.40. Lineage (NCBI taxonomy): Eukaryota > Metazoa > Chordata > Mammalia > Primates > Hominidae > Homo > Homo sapiens. The sequence goes on along the minus strand of NC_000004.12, from coordinate 50,659,869 downwards.
GAGTACACACAACACAAAGAAGTTTCTGAGAATGCTTCTTTCTGGTTTTTATGAGAAGATATTTCCTTTTTCACCATAGGCCTCAAAGCGCTCGAAATGTCCGCTTCCAGGTAGTGCAGAAAGAGTGTTTCAAACCTGCTCTATGAAAGGAAGTGTTCAACTCTACTGAGTTGAATGCAAACATCACAGAGATGTTTCCGAGAATGCTTCTGTCTTGATTTTATATGAAGATATTCCGGTTTCCAACGAAATCTTCAAAGCTATCCAAATATCCACCTGCAGATTCTACAAAAGGAGTGTTTCCAAAATGCTGTATCAAAACAAAGGTTCAACTCTGTTAGTTGAGGACACACATCACAAATAAGTTTCTGAGAATGCTTCTGTCTAGTTTTTATTTGAAGGTATTTCCTTTCTCTCCATAGGCCTGAAAGCGCTTGAAATGCCCACTTCCAGATACTAGAGAAAGAGTGTTTCAAACCTGCTCTATGAAAGGGAATGTTCAATTCTGTGACTTGAATGCAAACATCACAAAGCAAGTTCCTGAGAATGCTTCTCTCTAGATATTATATGTCATCCCGTTTCCAACGAAATCCTCAAAGCTATCCAAATATCCACTTGCAGATTCTACAAAAAGAGTGTTTCAAAACTCCTCTGTCAAAAGGATGGTTCAACACTGTTACATGAGTACACACAACACAAAGAAGTTTCTGAGAATGCTTCTTTCTGGTTTCTATGAGAAGATATTTCCTTTTTCACCATAGGACTCAAAGCGCTCGAAATGTCCTCTTCCAGGTAGTGCAGAAAGAGTGTTTCAAACCTGCTCTATGAAAGGAAGTGTTCAACTCCATGAGCTGAATGCAAACATCACTGAGAAGTTTCTGAGAATGCTTCTGTTTGATTTTATATGAAGAAATTCCCGTTTCCAACGAAATCTTCAGAGCTATCCACATATCCACCTGCAGATTCTACAAAAGGAGTGTTTCCAAAATGCTGTATCAAAACCAAGGTTCAACTCTGTTAGTTGAGGACACACATCACAAATAAGTTTCTGAGAATGCTTCTGTCTAGATTTTATATGAAGATATCCCCTTTCCAACGAATCCCTCTAAGCTATCCAAATATCCACCTGCAGATTCTACAAAAAGAGTGTTTCCAAAATGCTGTATCAAAACAAAGTTTCAACTCTGTTAGTTGAGGACACACATCACAAATAAGTTTGAGGATGCTTCTGTCTAGTTTTTATTCGAAGATATTTCCTTTCTCACCATAGGCCTGAAAGCGCTTGAAATGTCCACTTCCAGATACTACAGAATGAGTGTTTCAAACCTGCTCTATCAAAGTGAATGTTCCATTCTGTGACTTCAATGCAAACATCACAAAGAAGTTCCTGAGAATGCTTCTCTCTAGATTTTATATGTAATCCCGCTTCCAACGAAATCCTCAGAGCCATCCGAATATCCACTTTCTGATTCCACAAAAAGAGTGTTTTAAAACGGCTCTGTAAAAACAAAAGTTCAACTCTGTTAGTTGAATACACACATCACAAACAAGTTTCTGAGAATGCTTCTGTCTAGTTTTTATGGGAAGATATTTCCTTTTTCACCATAGGCCTCAAAGCGCTCGAAATGTCCACTTCCAGATAGTGTAGAAAGAGTGTTTCAAACGTGCTCTATAAAAGGGAATATTCAACTCTGTGACTTGAATGGAAACATCACAAAGCAGTTTCTGAGAATGCTTCCCTCTAGATTTTATATGGAGATATTCCCTTTTCCAACGAAATCTTCAAATCTATCTAAATATCAACTTGCAGATTCTACTCAAGGAATGTTTCCAAAATGCTGTATCCAAGCAATGGTTCAACTCTGTTAATTGAGGACATACAGCACAAAGAAGTTTCTGAGAATGCTTCTGTCTAGATTTTATATGAAGATATCCCGTTTCCAACGAAATCCTCAAAGCTATCCAAATATCCACTTGCAGATTCTACAAAAAGATTGTTTCAAAACTGCTGTGTCAAGAGGAAGGTTCAACTCTGTTACTTGAGTACACACATCAAAAAGAAGTTTCTGAGAATGCTTGTTTCTGGTTTTTATGAGAAGAATATTTCCTTTTTCACCATAGGCCTCAAAGCGCTGCAAATGTCCACTTCCAAATATTACAAAAAGAGTGTTTCAAACGTGCTCTATGAAAGGAAGTTTTCAACTCTATGAGTGGAATGCAAACATCACAGAGAAGTTTCGGAGAATGCATCTGTCTTGAGTTTATATGCAGAAATTCCCGTTTCCAACGAAATCTTAAAATCTATCCAAATATCCACCTGCAGATCCTACAAAAGGAGTGTTTCCAAAATGCTGTATCAAAACAAAGGTTCAACTGTGTTCGTTTAGGACACACATCACAAATAAGTTTCTGAGAATCCTTCTGTCTAGTTTTTATTTGAAGATATTTCCTTTCTCCCCGTAGGCCTGAAAGCGCTTGAAATGTCCACTTCCAGATACTACAGAAAGAGTGTTTCAAACCTGCACTCTGAAAAGGAATGTTCAATTCTGTGACTTGAATGCAAACATCAGAAAGAAGTTCCTGAGAATGCTTCTCTCTAGATTTTATACGTCATCCCGTTTCCAACGAAATCCACAAAGCTATCCAATTATCCACTTTCAGATTCCACAAAAAGAGTGTTTTAAAATTGCTCTGTAACAGAAATGTTCAACTCTGGTAGTTGAATACACACATCACAAACAAGTTTCTGAGACGGCTTCTGTCTAGTTTTTATGGGAAGATATTTCCTTTTAACCATAGGCCTCAAAGAGCTCGAAATATCCACTTCCAGGTAGTGCCGAAAGAGTGTTTCAAACCTACTCTATAAAAGGGAATATTCAACTCTGTGACTTGAATGCAAACATCACAAAGCAGTTTCTGAGAATGCTTCCGTCTAGATTTTCTATGAAGATATTCCCGTTTCCAACGAAATCTTCAAAGCTATCTAAATATCAACTTGCAGATTCTACTAAAGGAATGTCTCCAAAATGCTGTATCCAAACAAAGGTTCAGCTCTGTGAATTGAGGACATACAGCACAAAGAAGTTTCTGAGAATGCTCCTGTCTGGATTTTATAGGAAGATAACCCGTTTCCAACGAAATCCTCAAAGCTCTCCAAATATCCACTTGCAGATTCTACCAAAAGAGTGTTTCAAAACTGCTCTGTCAAAAGGAAGGTTCAACACTGTTACTTGAGTACACACAACACAAAGAAGTTTCTGAGAATGCTTCTTTCTGGTTTTTATGAGAAGATATTTCCTTTTTCACCATAGGCCTCAAAGCGCTCGAAATGTCCGCTTCCAGGTAGTGCAGAAAGAGTGTTTCAAACCTGCTCTATGAAAGGAAGTGTTCAACTCTACTGAGTTGAATGCAAACATCACAGAGATGTTTCCGAGAATGCTTCTGTCTTGATTTTATATGAAGATATTCCGGTTTCCAACGAAATCTTCAAAGCTATCCAAATATCCACCTGCAGATTCTACAAAAGGAGTGTTTCCAAAATGCTGTATCAAAACAAAGGTTCAACTCTGTTAGTTGAGGACACACATCACAAATAAGTTTCTGAGAATGCTTCTGTCTAGTTTTTATTTGAAGGTATTTCCTTTCTCTCCATAGGCCTGAAAGCGCTTGAAATGCCCACTTCCAGATACTAGAGAAAGAGTGTTTCAAACCTGCTCTATGAAAGGGAATGTTCAATTCTGTGACTTGAATGCAAACATCACAAAGAAGTTCCTGAGAATGCTTCTCTCTAGATATTATATGTCATCCCGTTTCCAACGAAATCCTCAAAGCTATCCAAATATCCACTTGCAGATTCTACAAAAAGAGTGTTTCAAAACTGCTCTGTCAAAAGGATGGTTCAACACTGTTACATGAGTACACACAACACAAAGAAGTTTCTGAGAATGCTTCTTTCTGGTTTCTATGAGAAGATATTTCCTTTTTCACCATAGGACTCAAAGCGCTCGAAATGTCCTCTTCCAGGTAGTGCAGAAAGAGTGTTTCAAACCGGCTCTATGAAAGGAAGTGTTCAACTCCATGAACTGAATGCAAACATCACTGAGAAGTTTCTGAGAATGCTTCTGTTTGATTTTCTATGAAGAAATTCCCGTTTCCAACGAAATCTTCAGAGCTATCCACATATCCACCTGCAGATTCTACAAAAGGAGTGTTTCCAAAATGCTGTATCAAAACCAAAGTTCAACTCTGTTAGTTGAGGACACACATCACAAATAAGTTTCTGAGAATGCTTCTGTCTAGATTCTATATGAAGATATCCCCTTTCCAACGAATCCCTCTAAGCTATCCAAATATCCACCTGCAGATTCTACAAAAAGAGTGTTTCCAAAATGCTGTATCAAAACAAAGTTTCAACTCTGTTAGTTGAGGACACACATCACAAATAAGTTTGAGGATGCTTCTGTCTAGTTTTTATTCGAAGATATTTCCTTTCTCACCATAGGCCTGAAAGCGCTTGAAATGTCCACTTCCAGATACTACAGAATGAGTGTTTCAAACCTGCTCTATCAAAGTGAATGTTCAATTCTGTGACTTCAATGCAAACATCACAAAGAAGTTCCTGAGAATGCTTCTCTCTAGATTTTATATGTAATCCCGCTTCCAACGAAATCCTCAGAGCCATCCGAATATCCACTTTCTGATTCCACAAAAAGAGTGTTTTAAAACGGCTCTGTAAAAACAAAAGTTCAACTCTGTTAGTTGAATACACACATCACAAACAAGTTTCTGAGAATGCTTCTGTCTAGTTTTTATGGGAAGATATTTCCTTTTTCACCATAGGCCTCAAAGCGCTCGAAATGTCCACTTCCAGATAGTGCAGAAAGAGTGTTTCAAACGTGCTCTATAAAAGGGAATATTCAACTCTGTGACTTGAATGGAAACATCACAAAGCAGTTTCTGAGAATGCTTCCCTCTAGATTTTATATGGAGCTATTCCCTTTTCCAACGAAATCTTCAAATCTATCTAAATATCAACTTGCAGATTCTACTCAAGGAATGTTTCCAAAATGCTGTATCCAAGCAATGGTTCAACTCTGTTAATTGAGGACATACAGCACAAAGAAGTTTCTGAGAATGCTTCTGTCTAGATTTTATATGAAGATATCCCGTTTCCAACGAAATCCTCAAAGCTATCCAAATATCCACTTGCAGATTCTACAAAAAGATTGTTTCAAAACTGCTGTGTCAAAAGGAAGGTTCAACTCTGTTACTTGAGTACACACATCAAAAAGAAGTTTCTGAGAATGCTTGTTTCTGGTTTTTATGAGAAGATATTTCCTTTTTCACCATAGGCCTCAAAGCGCTGCAAATGTCCACTTCCAAATATTACAAAAAGAGTGTTTCAAACCTGCTCTATGAAAGGAAGTTTTCAACTCTATGAGTGGAATGCAAACATCACAGAGAAGTTTCTGAGAATGCATCTGTCTTGAGCTTCTATGAAGAAATTCCCGTTTCCAACGAAATCTTAAAATCTATCCAAATATCCACCTGCAGATCCTACAAAAGGAGTGTTTCCAAAATGCTGTATCAAAACAAAGGTTCAACTGTGTTCGTTTAGGACACACATCACAAATAAGTTTACTGAGAATCCTTCTGTCTAGTTTTTATTTGAAGATATTTCCTTTCTCCCCGTAGGCCTGAAAGCGCTTGAAATGTCCACTTCCAGATACTACAGAAAGAGTGTTTCAAACCTGCACTCTGAAAAGGAATGTTCAATTCTGTGACTTGAATGCAAACATCAGAAAGAAGTTCCTGAGAATGCTTCTCTCTAGATTTTATACGTCATCCCGTTTCCAACGAAATCCACAAAGCTATCCAATTATCCACTTTCAGATTCCACAAAAAGAGTGTTTTAATATTGCTCTATAACAGAAATGTTCAACTCTGGTAGTTGAATACACACATCACAAACAAGTTTCTGAGACGGCTTCTGTCTAGTTTTTATGGGAAGATATTTCCTTTTAACCATAGGCCTCAAAGAGCTCGAAATATCCACTTCCAGGTAGTGCCGAAAGAGTGTTTCAAACCTACTCTATAAAAGGGAATATTCAACTCTGTGACTTGAATGCAAACATCACAAAGCAGTTTCTGAGAATGCTTCCGTCTAGATTTTCTATGAAGATATTCCCGTTTCCAACGAAATCTTCAAAGCTATCTAAATATCAACTTGCAGATTCTACTAAAGGAATGTCTCCAAAATGCTGTATCCAAACAAAGGTTCAGCTCTGTGAATTGAGGACATACAGCACAAAGAAGTTTCTGAGAATGCTCCTGTCTGGATTTTATAGGAAGATAACCCGTTTCCAACGAAATCCTCAAAGCTATCCAAATATCCACTTGCAGATTCTACCAAAAGAGTGTTTCAAAACTACTCTGTCAAAAGGAAGGTTCAACACTGTTACTTGAGTACACACAACACAAAGAAGTTTCTGAGAATGCTTCTTTCTGGTTTTTATGAGAAGATATTTCCTTTTTCACCATAGGCCTCAAAGCGCTCGAAATGTCCGCTTCCAGGTAGTGCAGAAAGAGTGTTTCAAACCTGCTCTATGAAAGGAAGTGTTCAACTCTACTGAGTTGAATGCAAACATCACAGAGATGTTTCCGAGAATGCTTCTGTCTTGATTTTATATGAAGATATTCCGGTTTCCAACGAAATCTTCAAAGCTATCCAAATATCCACCTGCAGATTCTACAAAAGGAGTGTTTCCAAAATGCTGTATCAAAACAAAGGTTCAACTCTGTTAGTTGAGGACACACATCACAAATAAGTTTCTGAGAATGCTTCTGTCTAGTTTTTATTTGAAGGTATTTCCTTTCTCTCCATAGGCCTGAAAGCGCTTGAAATGCCCACTTCCAGATACTAGAGAAAGAGTGTTTCAAACCTGCTCTATGAAAGGGAATGTTCAATTCTGTGACATGAATGCAAACATCACAAAGAAGTTCCTGAGAATGCTTCTCTCTAGATATTATATGTCATCCCGTTTCCAACGAAATCCTCAAAGCTATCCAAATATCCACTTGCAGATTCTACAAAAAGAGTGTTTCAAAACTCCTCTGTCAAAAGGATGGTTCAACACTGTTACATGAGTACACACAACACAAAGAAGTTTCTGAGAATGCTTCTTTCTGGTTTCTATGAGAAGATATTTCCTTTTTCACCATAGGACTCAAAGCGCTCGAAATGTCCTCTTCCAGGTAGTGCAGAAAGAGTGTTTCAAACCTGCTCTATGAAAGGAAGTGTACAACTCCATGAGCTGAATGCAAACATCACTGAGAAGTTTCTGAGAATGCTTCTGTTTGATTTTATATGTAGAAATTCCCGTTTCCAACGAAATCTTCAGAGCTATCCACATATCCACCTGCAGATTCTACAAAAGGAGTGTTTCCAAAATGCTGTATCAAAACCAAGGTTCAACTCTGTTAGTTGAGGACACACATCACAAATAAGTTTCTGAGAATGCTTCTGTCTAGATTTTATATGAAGATATCCCCTTTCCAACGAATCCCTCTAAGCTATCCAAATATCCACCTGCAGATTCTACAAAAAGAGTGTTTCCAAAATGCTGTATCAAAACAAAGTTTCAACTCTGTTAGTTGAGGACACACATCACAAATAAGTTTCTGAGGATGCTTCTGTCTAGTTTTTATTCGAAGATATTTCCTTTCTCACCATAGGCCTGAAAGCGCTTGAAATGTCCACTTCCAGATACTACAGAATGAGTGTTTCAAACCTGCTCTATCAAAGTGAATGTTCAATTCTGTGACTTCAATGCAAACATCACAAAGAAGTTCCTGAGAATGCTTCTCTCTAGATTTTATACGTAATCCCGCTTCCAACGAAATCCTCAGAGCCATCCGAATATCCACTTTCTGATTCCACAAAAAGAGTGTTTTAAAACGGCTCTGTAAAAACAAAAGTTCAACTCTGTTAGTTGAATACACACATCACAAACAAGTTTCTGAGAATGCTTCTGTCTAGTTTTTATGGGAAGATATTTCCTTTTTCACCATAGGCCTCAAAGCGCTCGAAATGTCCGCTTCCAGATAGTGCAGAAAGAGTGTTTCAAACGTGCTCTATAAAAGGGAATATTCAACTCTGTGACTTGAATGGAAACATCACAAAGCAGTTTCTGAGAATGCTTCCCTCTAGATTTTATATGGAGATATTCCCTTTTCCAACGAAATCTTCAAATCTATCTAAATATCAACTTGCAGATTCTACTCAAGGAATGTTTCCAAAATGCTGTATCCAGGCAATGGTTCAACTCTGTTAATTGAGGACATACAGCACAAAGAAGTTTCTGAGAATGCTTCTGTCTAGATTTTATATGAAGATATCCCGTTTCCAACGAAATCCTCAAAGCTATCCAAATATCCACTTGCAGATTCTACAAAAAGATTGTTTCAAAACTGCTGTGTCAAGAGGAAGGTTCAACTCTGTTACTTGAGTACACACATCAAAAAGAAGTTTCTGAGAATGCTTGTTTCTGGTTTTTATGAGAAGATATTTCCTTTTTCACCATAGGCCTCAAAGCGCTGCAAATGTCCACTTCCAAATATTACAAAAAGAGTGTTTCAAACCTGCTCTATGAAAGGAAGTTTTCAACTCTATGAGTGGAATGCAAACATCACAGAGAAGTTTCTGAGAATGCATCTGTCTTGAGCTTCTATGAAGAAATTCCCGTTTCCAACGAAATCTTAAAATCTATCCAAATATCCACCTGCAGATCCTACAAAAGGAGTGTTTCCAAAATGCTGTATCAAAACAAAGGTTCAACTGTGTTCGTTTAGGACACACATCACAAATAAGTTTCTGAGAATCCTTCTGTCTAGTTTTTATTTGAAGAGATTTCCTTTCTCCCCGTAGGCCTGAAAGCGCTTGAAATGTCCACTTCCAGATACTACAGAAAGAGTGTTTCAAACCTGCACTCTGAAAAGGAATGTTCAATTCTGTGACTTGAATGCAAACATCAGAAAGAAGTTCCTGAGAATGCTTCTCTCTAGATTTTATACGTCATCCCGTTTCCAACGAAATCCACAAAGCTATCCAATTATCCACTTTCAGATTCCACAAAGAGTGTTTTAAAATTGCTCTGTAACAGAAATGTTCAACTCTGTTAGTTGAATACACACATCACAAACAAGTTTCTGAGACGGCTTCTGTCTAGTTTTTATGGGAAGATATTTCCTTTTAACCATAGGCCTCAAAGAGCTCGAAATATCCACTTCCAGGTAGTGCCGAAAGAGTGTTTCAAACCTACTCTATAAAAGGGAATATTCAACTCTGTGACTTGAATGCAAACATCACAAAGCAGTTTCTGAGAATGCTTCCGTCTAGATTTTCTATGAAGATATTCCCGTTTCCAACGAAATCTTCAAAGCTATCTAAATATCAACTTGCAGATTCTACTAAAGGAATGTCTCCAAAATGCTGTATCCAAACAAAGGTTCAGCTCTGTGAATTGAGGACATACAGCACAAAGAAGTTTCTGAGAATGCTCCTGTCTGGATTTTATATGAAGATAACCCGTTTCCAACGAAATCCTCAAAGCTATCCAAATATCCACTTGCAGATTCTACCAAAAGAGTGTTTCAAAACTGCTCTGTCAAAAGGAAGGTTCAACACTGTTACTTGAGTACACACAACACAAAGAAGTTTCTGAGAATGCTTCTTTCTGGTTTTTATGAGAAGATATTTCCTTTTTCACCATAGGCCTCAAAGCGCTCGAAATGTCCGCTTCCAGGTAGTGCAGAAAGAGTGTTTCAAACCTGCTCTATGAAAGGAAGTGTTCAACTCTACTGAGTTGAATGCAAACATCACAGAGATGTTTCCGAGAATGCTTCTGTCTTGATTTTATATGAAGATATTCCGGTTTCCAACGAAATCTTCAAAGCTATCCAAATATCCACCTGCAGATTCTACAAAAGGAGTGTTTCCAAAATGCTGTATCAAAACAAAGGTTCAACTCTGTTAGTTGAGGACACACATCACAAATAAGTTTCTGAGAATGCTTCTGTCTAGTTTTTATTTGAAGGTATTTCCTTTCTCTCCATAGGCCTGAAAGCACTTGAAATGCCCACTTCCAGATACTAGAGAAAGAGTGTTTCAAACCTGCTCTATGAAAGGGAATGTTCAATTCTGTGACTTGAATGCAAACATCACAAAGAAGTTCCTGAGAATGCTTCTCTCTAGATATTATATGTCATCCCGTTTCCAACGAAATCCTCAAAGCTATCCAAATATCCACTTGCAGATTCTACAAAAAGAGTGTTTCAAAACTCCTCTGTCAAAAGGATGGTTCAACACTGTTACATGAGTACACACAACACAAAGAAGTTTCTGAGAATGCTTCTTTCTGGTTTCTATGAGAAGATATTTCCTTTTTCACCATAGGACTCAAAGCGCTCGAAATGTCCTCTTCCAGGTAGTGCAGAAAGAGTGTTTCAAACCTGCTCTATGAAAGGAAGTGTACAACTCCATGAGCTGAATGCAAACATCACTGAGAAGTTTCTGAGAATGCTTCTGTTTGATTTTATATGAAGAAATTCCCGTTTCCAACGAAATCTTCAAAGCTATCCACATATCCACCTGCAGATTCTAGAAAAGGAGTGTTTCCAAAATGCTGTATCAAAACCAAGGTTCAACTCTGTTAGTTGAGGACACACATCACAAATAAGTTTCTGAGAATGCTTCTGTCTAGATTTTATATGAAGATATCCCCTTTCCAACGAATCCCTCTAAGCTATCCAAATATCCACCTGCAGATTCTACAAAAAGAGTGTTTCCAAAATGCTGTATCAAAACAAAGTTTCAACTCTGTTAGTTGAGGACACACATCACAAATAAGTTTGAGGATGCTTCTGTCTAGTTTTTATTCGAAGATATTTCCTTTCTCACCATAGGCCTGAAAGCGCTTGAAATGTCCACTTCCAGATACTACAGAATGAGTGTTTCAAACCTGCTCTATCAAAGTGAATGTTCAATTCTGTGACTTCAATGCAAACATCACAAAGAAGTTCCTGAGAATGCTTCTCTCTAGATTTTATACGTAATCCCGCTTCCAACGAAATCCTCAGAGCCATCCGAATATCCACTTTCTGATTCCACAAAAAGAGTGTTTTAAAACGGCTCTGTAAAAACAAAAGTTCAACTCTGTTAGTTGAATACACACATCACAAACAAGTTTCTGAGAATGCTTCTGTCTAGTTTTTATGGGAAGATATTTCCTTTTTCACCATAGGCCTCAAAGCGCTCGAAATGTCCGCTTCCAGATAGTGCAGAAAGAGTGTTTCAAACGTGCTCTATAAAAGGGAATATTCAACTCTGTGACTTGAATGGAAACATCACAAAGCAGTTTCTGAGAATGCTTCCCTCTAGATTTTATATGGAGATATTCCCTTTTCCAACGAAATCTTCAAATCTATCTAAATATCAACTTGCAGATTCTACTCAAGGAATGTTTCCAAAATGCTGTATCCAGGCAATGGTTCAACTCTGTTAATTGAGGACATACAGCACAAAGAAGTTTCTGAGAATGCTTCTGTCTAGATTTTATATGAAGATATCCCGTTTCCAACGAAATCCTCAAAGGTATCCAAATATCCACTTGCAGATTCTACAAAAAGATTGTTTCAAAACTGCTGTGTCAAGAGGAAGGTTCAACTCTGTTACTTGAGTACACACATCAAAAAGAAGTTTCTGAGAATGCTTGTTTCTGGTTTTTATGAGAAGATATTTCCTTTTTCACCATAGGCCTCAAAGCGCTGCAAATGTCCACTTCCAAATATTACAAAAAGAGTGTTTCAAACCTGCTCTATGAAAGGAAGTTTTCAACTCTATGAGTGGAATGCAAACATCACAGAGAAGTTTCTGAGAATGCATCTGTCTTGAGCTTCTATGAAGAAATTCCCGTTTCCAACGAAATCTTAAAATCTATCCAAATATCCACCTGCAGATCCTACAAAAGGAGTGTTTCCAAAATGCTGTATCAAAACAAAGGTTCAACTGTGTTCGTTTAGGACACACATCACAAATAAGTTTCTGAGAATCCTTCTGTCTAGTTTTTATTTGAAGATATTTCCTTTCTCCCCGTAGGCCTGAAAGCGCTTGAAATGTCCACTTCCAGATACTACAGAAAGAGTGTGTTTCAAACCTGCACTCTGAAAAGGAATGTTCAATTCTGTGACTTGAATGCAAACATCAGAAAGAAGTTCCTGAGAATGCTTCTCTCTAGATTTTATACGTCATCCCGTTTCCAACGAAACCCACAAAGCTATCCAATTATCCACTTTCAGATTCCACAAAAAGAGTGTTTTAAAATTGCTCTGTAACAGAAATGTTCAACTCTGGTAGTTGAATACACACATCACAAACAAGTTTCTGAGACGGCTTTCTGTCTAGTTTTTATGGGAAGATATTTCCTTTTAACCATAGGCCTCAAAGAGCTCGAAATATCCACTTCCAGGTAGTGCCGAAAGAGTGTTTCAAACCTACTCTATAAAAGGGAATATTCAACTCTGTGACTTGAATGCAAACATCACAAAGCAGTTTCTGAGAATGCTTCCGTCTAGATTTTCTATGAAGATATTCCCGTTTCCAACGAAATCTTCAAAGCTATCTAAATATCAACTTGCAGATTCTACTAAAGGAATGTCTCCAAAATGCTGTATCCAAACAAAGGTTCAGCTCTGTGAATTGAGGACATACAGCACAAAGAAGTTTCTGAGAATGCTCCTGTCTGGATTTTATAGGAAGATAACCCGTTTCCAACGAAATCCTCAAAGCTCTCCAAATATCCACTTGCAGATTCTACCAAAAGAGTGTTTCAAAACTGCTCTGTCAAAAGGAAGGTTCAACACTGTTACTTGAGTACACACAACACAAAGAAGTTTCTGAGAATGCTTCTTTCTGGTTTTTATGAGAAGATATTTCCTTTTTCACCATAGGCCTCAAAGCGCTCGAAATGTCCGCTTCCAGGTAGTGCAGAAAGAGTGTTTCAAACCTGCTCTATGAAAGGAAGTGTTCAACTCTACTGAGTTGAATGCAAACATCACAGAGATGTTTCCGAGAATGCTTCTGTCTTGATTTTATATGAAGATATTCCGGTTTCCAACGAAATCTTCAAAGCTATCCAAATATCCACCTGCAGATTCTACAAAAGGAGTGTTTCCAAAATGCTGTATCAAAACAAAGGTTCAACTCTGTTAGTTGAGGACACACATCACAAATAAGTTTCTGAGAATGCTTCTGTCTAGTTTTTATTTGAAGGTATTTCCTTTCTCTCCATAGGCCTGAAAGCGCTTGAAATGCCCACTTCCAGATACTAGAGAAAGAGTGTTTCAAACCTGCTCTATGAAAGGGAATGTTCAATTCTGTGACTTGAATGCAAACATCACAAAGAAGTTCCTGAGAATGCTTCTCTCTAGATATTATATGTCATCCCGTTTCCAACGAAATCCTCAAAGCTATCCAAATATCCACTTGCAGATTCTACAAAAAGAGTGTTTCAAAACTGCTCTGTCAAAAGGATGGTTCAACACTGTTACATGAGTACACACAACACAAAGAAGTTTCTGAGAATGCTTCTTTCTGGTTTCTATGAGAAGATATTTCCTTTTTCACCATAGGACTCAAAGCGCTCGAAATGTCCTCTTCCAGGTAGTGCAGAAAGAGTGTTTCAAACCGGCTCTATGAAAGGAAGTGTTCAACTCCATGAACTGAATGCAAACATCACTGAGAAGTTTCTGAGAATGCTTCTGTTTGATTTTATATGAAGAAATTCCCGTTTCCAACGAAATCTTCAAAGCTATCCACATATCCACCTGCAGATTCTTCAAAAGCAGTGTTTCCAAAATGCTGTATCAAAACCAAGGTTCAACTCTGTTAGTTGAGGACACACATCACAAATAAGTTTCTGAGAATGCTTCTGTCTAGATTTTATATGAAGATATCCCCTTTCCAACGAATCCCTCTAAGCTATCCAAGTATCCACCTGCAGATTCTACAAAAAGAGTGTTTCCAAAATGCTGTATCAAAACAAAGTTTCAACTCTGTTAGTTGAGGACACACATCACAAATAAGTTTCTGAGGATGCTTCTGTCTAGTTTTAATTTGAAGATATTTCCTTTCTCACCATAGGCCTAAAAGCGCTTGAAATGTCCACTTCCAGATACTACAGAATGAGTGTTTCAAACCTGCTCTATCAAAGTGAATGTTCAATTCTGTGACTTCAATGCAAACATCACAAAGTAGTTCCTGAGAATGCTTCTCTCTAGATTTTATATGTAATCCCGCTTCCAACGAAATCCTCAAAGCCATCCGAATATCCACTTTCTGATTCCACAAAAAGATTGTTTTAAAACTGCTCTGTAAAAACAAAAGTTCAAGTCTGTTAGTTGAATACACACATCACAAACAAGTTTCTGAGAATGCTTCCGTCTAGTTTTTATGGGAAGATATTTCCTTTTTCACCATAGGCCTCAAAGCGCTCGAAATCTCCACTTCCAGGTAGTGCAGAAAGAGTGTTTCAAACCTGCTCTATAAAAGACTATTTAACTCTGTAACTTGAATGCAAACATCGCAAAGCAGTTTCTGACAATGCTTCCGTCCAGATTTTTTATGAAGATATTCCCGTTTCCAACGAAATCTTCAAAGCTATCTAAATATCCACTTGCAGATTCTACTAAAGGAATGTTTCCAAAATGCTGTATCCAAACAAAGGTTCAACTCTGTGAATTGAGGACATACAGCACAAAGAAGTTTCTGAGAATGCTTCTGTCTAGATTTAATATGAAGATAACCCGTTTCCAACGAAATCCTCAAAGCTATCCAAATATCCACTTGCAGATTCTACAAAAAGAGTGTTTCAAAACTGCTCTGTCAAAAGGATGGTTCAACACTGTTACATGAGTACACACAACACAAAGAAGTTTCTGAGAACGCTTCTTTCTGGTTTTTATGAGAGGATATTTCCTTTTTCACCATAGGCCTCAAAGCGCTCGAAATGTCCACTTCTAGGTAGGGCAGAAAGAGTGTTTCAAACCTGCTCTATGAAAGGAAGTGTTCAACTCCATGAGCTGAATGCAAACATCACAGAGAAGTTTCTGAGAATGCTTCTGTTTGATTTTATATGAAGAAATTCCCGTTTCCAACGAAATCTTCAAAGCTATCCACATATCCACCTGCAGATTCTTCAAAAGCAGTGTTTCCAAAATGCTGTATCAAAACCAAGGTTCAACTCTGTTAGTTGAGGACACACATCACAAATAAGTTTCTGAGAATGCTTCTGTCTAGGTTTTATATGAAGATATCCCCTTTCCAACGAATCCCTCTAAGCTATCCAAATATCCACCTGCAGATTCTACAAAAAGAGTGTTTCCAAAATGCTGTATCAAAACAAAGTTTCAACTCTGTTAGTTGAGGACACACATCACAAATAAGTTTCTGAGGATGCTTCTCTCTAGTTTTTATTTGAAGATACTTCCTTTCTCCCCATAGGCCTGAAAGCGCTTGAATTGTCCGCTTCCAGATACTACAGAATGAGTGTTTCAAACCTGCTCTATCAAAGTGAATGTTCAATTCTGTGACTTCAATGCAAACATCACAAAGAAGTTCCTGAGAATGCTTCTCTCTAGATTTTATATGTAATCCCGCTTCCAACGAAGTCCTCAAAGCCATCCGAATATCCACTTTCTGATTCCACAAAAAGATTGTCTTAAAACTGCTCTGTAAAAACAAAAGTTCAAGTCTGTTAGTTGAATACACACATCATAAACAATTTTCTGAGAATGCTTCTGTCTAGTTTTTATGGGAAGGTATTTCCTTTTTCACCATAGGCCTCACAGCGCTCGAAATGTCCACTTCCAGATAGTGCAGAAAGAGTGTTTCAAACGTGCCCTATAAAAGAGAATATTCAACTCTGTGACTTGAATGGAAACATCACAAAGCAGTTTCTGAGAATGCCTCCGTCTAGGATTTTATATGAAGATATTCCCGTTTCCAACGAAATCTTCAAATCTATCTAAATATCAACTTGCAGATTCTACTAAAGGAATGTTTCCAAAATGCTGTATCCAAGCAATGGTTCAACTCTGTTAATTGAGGACATACAGCACAAAGAAGTTTCTGAGAATGCTTCTCTCTAGATTTTATATGAAGATATCCCGTTTCCAACGAAATCCTCAAAGCTATCCAAATATCCACTTGCAGATTCTACAAAAAGATTGTTTCAAAACTGCTGTGTCAAAAGGAAGGTTCAACTCTGTTACTTGAGTACACACATCAAAAAGAAGTTTCTGAGAATGCTTGTTTCTGGTTTTTATGAGAAGATATTTCCTTTTTCACCATAGGCCTCAAAGCGCTGCAAATGTCCACTTCCAAATATTACAAAAAGAGTGTTTCAAACCTGCTCTATGAAAGGAAGTTTTCAACTCTATGAGTGGAATGCAAACATCACAGAGAAGTTTCTGAGAATGCATCTGTCTTGAGCTTCTATGAAGAAATTCCCGTTTCCAACGAAATCTTAAAATCTATCCAAATATCCACCTGCAGATCCTACAAAAGGAGTGTTTCCAAAATGCTGTATCAAAACAAAGGTTCAACTGTGTTCGTTTAGGACACACATCACAAATAAGTTTCTGAGAATCCTTCTGTCTAGTTTTTATTTGAAGATATTTCCTTTCTCCCCGTAGGCCTGAAAGCGCTTGAAATGTCCACTTCCAGATACTACAGAAAGAGTGTTTCAAACCTGCACTCTGAAAAGGAATGTTCAATTCTGTGACTTGAATGCAAACATCAGAAAGAAGTTCCTGAGAATGCTTCTCTCTAGATTTTATACGTCATCCCGTTTCCAACGAAATCCACAAAGCTATCCAATTATCCACTTTCAGATTCCACAAAGAGTGTTTTAAAATTGCTCTGTAACAGAAATGTTCAACTCTGTTAGTTGAATACACACATCACAAAAAAGTTTCTGAGACGGCTTCTGTCTAGTTTTTATGGGAAGATATTTCCTTTTAACCATAGGCCTCAAAGAGCTCGAAATATCCACTTCCAGGTAGTGCCGAAAGAGTGTTTCAAACCTACTCTATAAAAGGGAATATTCAACTCTGTGACTTGAATGCAAACATCACAAAGCAGTTTCTGAGAATGCTTCCGTCTAGATTTTCTATGAAGATATTCCCGTTTCCAACGAAATCTTCAAAGCTATCTAAATATCAACTTGCAGATTCTACTAAAGGAATGTCTCCAAAATGCTGTATCCAAACAAAGGTTCAGCTCTGTGAATTGAGGACATACAGCACAAAGAAGTTTCTGAGAATGCTCCTGTCTGGATTTTATATGAAGATAACCCGTTTCCAACGAAATCCTCAAAGCTATCCAAATATCCACTTGCAGATTCTACCAAAAGAGTGTTTCAAAACTGCTCTGTCAAAAGGAAGGTTCAACACTGTTACTTGAGTACACACAACACAAAGAAGTTTCTGAGAATGCTTCTTTCTGGTTTTTATGAGAAGATATTTCCTTTTTCACCATAGGCCTCAAAGCGCTCGAAATGTCCGCTTCCAGGTAGGGCAGAAAGAGTGTTTCAAACCTGCTCTATGAAAGGAAGTGTTCAACTCTACTGAGTTGAATGCAAACATCACAGAGATGTTTCCGAGAATGCTTCTGTCTTGATTTTATATGAAGATATTCCGGTTTCCAACGAAATCTTCAAAGCTATCCAAATATCCACCTGCAGATTCTACAAAAGGAGTGTTTCCAAAATGCTGTATCAAAACAAAGGTTCAACTCTGTTAGTTGAGGACACACATCACAAATAAGTTTCTGAGAATGCTTCCGTCTAGAGTTTTTATGAAGATATTCCCGTTTCCAACGAAATCTTCAAACCTATCGAAATATCAACTTGCAGATTCTACTAAAGGAATGTTTCCAAAATGCTGTATCCAAACAAAGGTTCAACTCTGTGAATTGAGGACATACAGCACAAAGAAGTTTCTGAGAATGCTTCTGTCTAGATTTAATATGAAGATAACCCGTTTCCAACGAAATCCTCAAAACTATCCAAATATCCACTTGCAGATTCTACAAAAAGAGTGTTTCAAAACTGCTCTGTCAAAAGGATGGTTCAACACTGTTACATGAGTACACACAACACAAAGAAGTTTCTGAGAACGCTTCTTTCTGGTTTTTATGAGAAGATATTTCCTTTTTCACCATAGGCCTCAAAGCGCTCGAAATGTCCACTTCCAGGTAGTGCAGAAAGAGTGTTTCAAACCTGCTCTATGAAAGGAAGTGTTCAACTCCATGAACTGAATGCAAACATCACAGAGAAGTTTCTGAGAATGCTTCTGTTTGATTTTATATGAAGAAATTCCCGTTTCCAACGAAATCTTCAAAGCTATCCACATATCCACCTGCAGATTCTTCAAAAGGAGTGTTTCCAAAATGCTGTATCAAAACCAAGGTTCAACTCTGTTAGTTGAGGACACACATCACAAATAAGTTTCTGAGAATGCTTCTGTCTAGATTTTATATGAATTTATCCCCTTTCCAACGAATCCCTCTAAGCTATCCAAGTATCCACCTGCAGATTCTACAAAAAGAGTGTTTCCAAAATGCTGTATCAAAACAAAGTTTCAACTCTGTTAGTTGAGGACACACATCACAAATAAGTTTCTGAGGATGCTTCTGTCTAGTTTTTATTTGAAGATATTTCCTTTCTCCCCATAGGCCTGAAAGCGCTTGAATTGTCCACTTCCAGATACTACAGCATGAGTGTTTCAAACCTGCTCTATCAAAGTGAATGTTCAATTCTGTGACTTCAATGCAAACATCACAAAGTAGTTCCTGAGAATGCTTCTCTCTAGATTTTATATGTAATCCCGCTTCCAACGAAATCCTCAGAGCCATCCGAATATCCACTTTCTGATTCCACAAAAAGAGTGTTTTAAAACTGCTCTGTAGAAACAAAAGTTCAACTCAGTTGAATACACACATCACAAACAAGTTTCTGAGAAAGCTTCTGTCTAGTTTTTATGGGAAGATATTTCCTTTTTCACCATAGGCCTCAAAGCGCTCGAAATGTCCACTTCCAGATAGTGCAGAAAGAGTGTTTCAAACGTGCTCTATAAAAGAGAATATTCAACTCTGTGACTTGAATGGAAACATCACAAAACAGTTTCTGAGAATGCTTCCGTCTAGATTTTATATGAAGATATTCCCGTTTCCAACGAAATCTTCAAATCTATCTAAATATCAACTTGCAGATTCTACTAAAGGAATGTTTCCAAAATGCTGTATCCAAGCAATGGTTCAACTCTGTTAATTGAGGACATACAGCACAAAGAAGTTTCTGAGAATGCTTCTGTCTAGATTTTATATGAAGATATCCCGTTTCCAACGAAATCCTCAAAGCTATCCAAATATCCACTTGCAGATTCTACAAAAAGATTGTTTCAAAACTGCTGTGTCAAAAGGAAGGTTCAACTCTGTTACTTGAGTACACACATCAAAAAGAAGTTTCTGAGAATGCTTGTTTCTGGTTTTTATGAGAAGATATTTCCTTTTTTCACCATAGGCCTCAAAGCGCTGCAAATGTCCACTTCCAAATATTACAAAAAGAGTGTTTCAAACCTGCTCTATGAAAGGAAGTTTTCAACTCTATGAGTGGAATGCAAACATCACAGAGAAGTTTCTGAGAATGCATCTGTCTTGAGTTTATATGCAGAAATTCCCGTTTCCAACGAAATCTTAAAATCTATCCAAATATCCACCTGCAGATCCTACAAAAGGAGTGTTTCCAAAATGCTGTATCAAAACAAAGGTTCAACTGTGTTCGTTTAGGACACACATCACAAATAAGTTTCTGAGAATCCTTCTGTCTAGTTTTTATTTGAAGATATTTCCTTTCTCCCCGTAGGCCTGAAAGCGCTTGAAATGTCCACTTCCAGATACTACAGAAAGAGTGTGTTTCAAACCTGCACTCTGAAAAGGAATGTTCAATTCTGTGACTTGAATGCAAACATCAGAAAGAAGTTCCTGAGAATGCTTCTCTCTAGATTTTATACGTCATCCCGTTTCCAACGAAATCCACAAAGCTATCCAATTATCCACTTTCAGATTCCACAAAAAGAGTGTTTTAAAATTGCTCTGTAACAGAAATGTTCAACTCTGGTAGTTGAATACACACATCACAAACAAGTTTCTGAGACGGCTTCTGTCTAGTTTTTATGGGAAGATATTTCCTTTTAACCATAGGCCTCAAAGAGCTCGAAATATCCACTTCCAGGTAGTGCCGAAAGAGTGTTTCAAACCTACTCTATAAAAGGGAATATTCAACTCTGTGACTTGAATGCAAACATCACAAAGCAGTTTCTGAGAATGCTTCCGTCTAGATTTTCTATGAAGATATTCCCGTTTCCAACGAAATCTTCAAAGCTATCTAAATATCAACTTGCAGATTCTACTAAAGGAATGTCTCCAAAATGCTGTATCCAAACAAAGGTTCAGCTCTGTGAATTGAGGACATACAGCACAAAGAAGTTTCTGAGAATGCTCCTGTCTGGATTTTATAGGAAGATAACCCGTTTCCAACGAAATCCTCAAAGCTATCCAAATATCCACTTGCAGATTCTACCAAAAGAGTGTTTCAAAACTACTCTGTCAAAAGGAAGGTTCAACACTGTTACTTGAGTACACACAACACAAAGAAGTTTCTGAGAATGCTTCTTTCTGGTTTTTATGAGAAGATATTTCCTTTTTCACCATAGGCCTCAAAGCGCTCGAAATGTCCGCTTCCAGGTAGTGCAGAAAGAGTGTTTCAAACCTGCTCTATGAAAGGAAGTGTTCAACTCTACTGAGTTGAATGCAAACATCACAGAGATGTTTCCGAGAATGCTTCGGTCTTGATTTTATATGAAGATATTCCGATTTCCAACGAAATCTTCAAAGCTATCCAAATATCCACGTGCAGATTCTACAAAAGGAGTGTTTCCAAAATGCTGTATCAAAACAGAGGTTCAACTCTGTTAGTTGAGGACACACATCTCAAATAAGTTTCTGAGGATGCTTCTGTCTAGTTTTTATTTGAAGGTATTTCCTTTCTCACCATAGGCCTGAAGGCGCTTGAAATGTCCACTTCCAGATACTACAGAATGAGTGTTTCAAACCTGCTCTATAAAAGTGAATGTTCAATTCTGTGACTTCAATGCAAACATCACAAAGAAGTTCCTGAGAATGCTTCTCTCTAGATTTTATATGTAATCCCGCTTCCAACGAAATCCTCAGAGCCATCCGACTATCTACTTTCTGATTCCACAAAAAGAGTGTTTTAAAACTGCTCTGTAAAAACAAAAGTTCAACTCTGTTAGTTGAATACACACATCACAAACAAGTTTCTGAGAATGCTTCTGTCTAGTTTTTATGGGAAGATATTACCTTTTTCACCCTAGGCCTCAAAGCGCTCGAAATGTCCGCTTCCAGATAGTGCAGAAAGAGTGTTTCAAACGTGCTCTATAAAAGGGAATATTCAACTCTGTGACTTGAATGGAAACATCACAAAGCAGTTTCTGAGAATGCTTCCCTCTAGATTTTATATGGAGATATTCCCTTTTCCAACGAAATCTTCAAATCTATCTAAATATCAACTTGCAGATTCTACTCAAGGAATGTTTCCAAAATGATGTATCCAGGCAATGGTTCAACTCTGTTAATTGAGGACATACAGCACAAAGAAGTTTCTGAGAATGCTTCTGTCTAGATTTTATATGAAGATATCCCGTTTCCAACGAAATCCTCAAAGCTATCCAAATATCCACTTGCAGATTCTACAAAAAGATGGTTTCAAAACTGCTGTGTCAAAAGGAAGGTTCAACTCTGTTACTTGAGTACACACATCAAAAAGAAGTTTCTGAGAATGCTTGTTTCTGGTTTTTATGAGAAGATATTTCCTTTTTCACCATAGGCCTCAAAGCGCTGCAAATGTCCACTTCCAAATATTACAAAAAGAGTGTTTCAAACCTGCTCTATGAAAGGAAGTTTTCAACTCTATGAGTGGAATGCAAACATCACAGAGAAGTTTCTGAGAATGCATCTGTCTTGAGCTTCTATGAAGAAATTCCCGTTTCCAACGAAATCTTAAAATCTATCCAAATATCCACCTGCAGATCCTACAAAAGGAGTGTTTCCAAAATGCTGTATCAAAACAAAGGTTCAACTGTGTTCGTTTAGGACACACATCACAAATAAGTTTCTGAGAATCCTTCTGTCTAGTTTTTATTTGAAGATATTTCCTTTCTCCCCGTAGGCCTGAAAGCGCTTGAAATGTCCACTTCCAGATACTACAGAAAGAGTGTTTCAAACCTGCACTCTGAAAAGGAATGTTCAATTCTGTGACTTGAATGCAAACATCAGAAAGAAGTTCCTGAGAATGCTTCTCTCTAGATTTTATACGTCATCCCGTTTCCAACGAAATCCACAAAGCTATCCAATTATCCACTTTCAGATTCCACAAAGAGTGTTTTAAAATTGCTCTGTAACAGAAATGTTCAACTCTGTTAGTTGAATACACACATCACAAACAAGTTTCTGAGACGGCTTCTGTCTAGTTTTTATGGGAAGATATTTCCTTTTAACCATAGGCCTCAAAGAGCTCGAAATATCCACTTCCAGGTAGTGCCGAAAGAGTGTTTCAAACCTACTCTATAAAAGGGAATATTCAACTCTGTGACTTGAATGCAAACATCACAAAGCAGTTTCTGAGAATGCTTCCGTCTAGATTTTCTATGAAGATATTCCCGTTTCCAACGAAATCTTCAAAGCTATCTAAATATCAACTTGCAGATTCTACTAAAGGAATGTCTCCAAAATGCTGTATCCAAACAAAGGTTCAGCTCTGTGAATTGAGGACATACAGCACAAAGAAGTTTCTGAGAATGCTTCTGTCTGGATTTAATATGAAGATAACCCGTTTCCAACGAAATCCTCAAAGCTATCCAAATATCCACTTGCAGATTCTACAAAAAGAGTGTTTCAAAACTGCTCTGTCAAAAGGATGGTTCAACACTGTTACATGAGTACACACAACACAAAGAAGTTTCTGAGAACGCTTCTTTCTGGTTTTTATGAGAGGATATTTCCTTTTTCACCGTAGGCCTCAAAGCGGCTCGAAATGTCCACTTCCAGGTAGTGCAGAAAGAGTGTTTCAAACCTGCTCTATGAAAGGAAGTGTTCAACTCCATGAGCTGAATGCAAACATCACAGAGAAGTTCCTGAGAATGCTTCTGTTTGATTTTATATGAAGAAATTCCCGTTTCCAACGAAATCTTCAAAGCTATCCACATATCCACCTGCAGATTCTTCAAAAGGAGTGTTTCCAAAATGCTGTATCAAAACCAAGGTTCAACTCTGTTAGTTGAGGACACACATCACAAATAAGTTTCTGAGAATGCTTCTGTCTAGATTTTATATGAAGATATCCCCTTTCCAACGAATCCCTCTAAGCTATCCAAATATCCACCTGCAGATTCTACAAAAAGAGTGTTTCCAAAATGCTGTATCAAAACAAAGTTTCAACTCTGTTAGTTGAGGACACACATCACAAATAAGTTTCTGAGGATGCTTCTGTCTAGTTTTAATTTGAAGATATTTCCTTTCTCACCATAGGCCTGAAAGCACTTGAAATGTCCACTTCCAGATACTACAGCATGAGTGTTTCAAACCTGCTCTATCATAGTGAATGTTCAATTCTGTGACTTCAATGCAAACATCACAAAGTAGTTCCTGAGAATGCTTCTCTCTAGATTTTATATGTAATCCCGCTTCCAACGAAATCCTCAAAGCCATCCGAATATCCACTTTCTGATTCCACAAAAAGATTGTTTTAAAACTGCTCTGTAAAAACAAAAGTTCAAGTCTGTTAGTTGAATACACACATCACAAACAAGTTTCTGAGAATGCTTCTGTCTAGTTTTTATGGGAAGATATTTCCTTTTTCACCATAGGCCTCAAAGCGCTCGAAATGTCCACTTCCAGATAGTGCAGAAAGAGTGTTTCAAACGTGCTCTAGAAAAGAGAATATTCAACTCTGTGACTTGAATGGAAACATCACAAAGCAGTTTCTGAGAATGCCTCCGTCTAGATTTTATATGAAGATATTCCCGTTTCCAACGAAATCTTCAATGCTATCTAAATATCAACTTGCAGATTCTACTAAAGGAATGTTTCCAAAATGCTGTATCCAAGCAATGGTTCAACTCTGTTAATTGAGGACATACAGCACAAAGAAGTTTCTGAGAATGCTTCTGTCTAGATTTTATATGAAGATATCCCGTTTCCAACGAAATCCTCAAAGCTATCCAAATATCCACTTGCAGATTCTACAAAAAGATTGTTTCAAAACTGCTGTGTCAAAAGGAAGGTTCAACTCTGTTACTTGAGTACACACATCAAAAAGCAGTTTCTGAGAATGCTTGTTTCTGGTTTTTATGAGAAGATATTTCCTTTTTCACCATAGGCCTCAAAGCGCTGCAAATGTCCACTTCCAAATATTACAAAAAGAGTGTTTCAAACCTGCTCTATGAAAGGAAGTTTTCAACTCTGTGAGTGGAATGCAAACATCACAGAGAAGTTTCTGAGAATGCATCTGTCTTGAGTTTATATGAAGAAATTCCCGTTTCCAATGAAATCTTAAAATCTATCCAAATATCCACCTGCAGATTCTACAAAAGGAGTGTTTCCAAAATGCTGTATCAAAACAAAGGTTCAACTGTGTTCGTTTAGGACACACATCACAAATAAGTTTCTGAGAATCCTTCTGTCTAGTTTTTATTTCAAGATATTTCCTTTCACCCCATAGGCTTGAAAGCGCTTGAAATGTCCACTTCCAGATACTACAGAGTGTTTCAAACCTGCACTATGAAAAGGAATGTTCAATTCTGTGACTTGAATGCAAACATCAGAAAGAAGTTCCTGAGAATGCTTCTCTCTAGATTTTAAACGTAATCCCGTTTCCAACGAAATCCACAAAGCTATCCAATTATCCACTTTCAGATTCCACCAAAAGACTGTTTTAAAACTGCTCTGTAAAAAGAAATGTTCAACGCTCTTAGTTGAATACACACATCTCAAACAAGTTTCTGAGAAGGCTTCCGTCTAGTTTTTACGGGAAGATATTTCCTTTTTCACCATAGGCCTCAAAGCGCTCGAAATCTCCACTTCCAGGGAGTGCAGAAAGAGTGTTTCAAACCTGCTCTGTAAAAGAATATTTAACTCTGTGACTTGAATGGAAACATCACAGAGCAGTTTCTGACAATGCTTCCGTCTAGATTTTTTATGAAGATATTCCCGTTTCCAACGAAATCTTCAAAGCTATCTAAATATCAACTTGCAGATTCTACTAAAGGAATGTTTCCAAAATGCTGTATCCAAACAAAGGTTCAACTCTGTGAATTGAGGACATACAGCACAAAGAAGTTTCTGAGAATGCTTCTGTCTAGATTTAATATGAAGATAACCCGTTTCCAACGAAATCCTCAAAGCTATCCAAATATCCACTGGCAGATTCTACAAAAAGAGTGTTTCAAAACTGCTCTGTCAAAAGGATGGTTCAACACTGTTACATGAGTACACACAACACAAAGAAGTTTCTGAGAACGCTTCTTTCTGGTTTTTATGAGAGGATATTTCCTTTTTCAAGATAGGCCTCAAAGCGCTCGAAATGTCCACTTCCAAGTAGTGCAGAAAGAGTGTTTCAAACCTGCTCTATGAAAGGAAGTGTTCAACTCCATGAGCTGAATGCAAACATCACAGAGAAGTTCCTGAGAATGCTTCTGTTTGATTTTATATGAAGAAATTCCCGTTTCCAACGAAATCTTCAAAGCTATCCACATATCCACCTGCAGATTCTACAAAAGGAGTGTTTCCAAAATGCTGTATCAAAACCAAGGTTCCACTCTGTTAGTTGAGGACACACATCACAAATAAGTTTCTGAGAATGCTTCTGTCTAGATTTTATATGAAGATATCCCCTTTCCAACGAATCCCTCTAAGCTATCTAAATATCCACCTGCAGATTCTACAAAAAGAGTGTTTCCAAAATGCTGTATCAAAACAAAGTTTCAACTCTGTTAGTTTAGGACACACATCACAAATAAGTTTCTGAGGATGCTTCTGTCTAGTTTCTATTTGAAGATATTTCCTTTCTCCCCATAGGCCTGAAAGCGCTTGAATTGTCGGCTTCCAGATACTACAGAATGAGTGTTTCAAACCTGCTCTATCAAAGTGAATGTTCAATTCTGTGACTTCAATGCAAACATCACAAAGTAGTTCCTGAGAATGCTTCTCTCTAGATTTTATATGTAATCCCGCTTCCAACGAAATCCTCAAAGCCATCCGAATATCCACTTTCTGATTCCACAAAAAGATTGTTTTAAAACTGC
Organism: Homo sapiens; assembly: GCF_000001405.40. NCBI lineage: Eukaryota > Metazoa > Chordata > Mammalia > Primates > Hominidae > Homo > Homo sapiens. Next base: position 50,633,373 of record NC_000004.12, on the reverse strand, counting down.
TCTGTAAAAACAAAAGTTCAAGTCTGTTAGTTGAATACACACATCACAAACAAGTTTCTGAGAATGCTTCTGTCTAGTTTTTATGGGAAGATATTTCCTTTTTCACCATAGGCCTCAAAGCGCTCGAAATGTCCACTTCCAGATAGTGCCGAAAGAGTGTTTCAAACGTGCTCTATAAAAGGGAATATTCAACTCTGTGACTTGAATGGAAACATCACAAAGCAGTTTCTGAGAATGCCTCCGTCTAGATTTTATATGAAGATATTCCCGTTTCCAACGAAATCTTCAAATCTATCTAAATATCAACTTGCAGATTCTACTAAAGGAATGTTTCCAAAATGCTGTATCCAAGCAATGGTTCAACTCTGTTAATTGAGGACATACAGCACAAAGAAGTTTCTGAGAATGCTTCTGTCTAGATTTTATATGAAGATATCCCGTTTCCAACGAAATCCTCAAAGCTATCCAAATATCCACTTGCAGATTCTACAAAAAGATTGTTTCAAAACTGCTGTGTCAAAAGGAAGGTTCAACTCTGTTACTTGAGTACACACATCAAAAAGAAGTTTCTGAGAATGCTTGTTTCTGGTTTTTATGAGAAGATATTTCCTTTTTCACCATAGGCCTCAAAGCGCTGCAAATGTCCACTTCCAAATATTACAAAAAGAGTGTTTCAAACCTGCTCTATGAAAGGAAGTTTTCAACTCTATGAGTGGAATGCAAACATCACAGAGAAGTTTCTGAGAATGCATCTGTCTTGAGTTTATATGCAGAAATTCCCGTTTCCAACGAAATCTTAAAATCTATCCAAATATCCACCTGCAGATCCTACAAAAGGAGTGTTTCCAAAATGCTGTATCAAAACAAAGGTTCAACTGTGTTCGTTTAGGACACACATCACAAATAAGTTTCTGAGAATCCTTCTGTCTAGTTTTTATTTGAAGATATTTCCTTTCTCCCCATAGGCCTGAAAGCGCTTGAAATGTCCACTTCCAAATACTACAGAAAGAGTGTTTCAAACCTGCACTATGAAAAGGAATGTTCAATTCTGTGACTTGAATGCAAACATCAGAAAGAAGTTCCTGAGAATGCTTCTCTCTAGATTTTATACGTCATCCCGTTTCCAACGAAATCCACAAAGCTATCCAATTATCCACTTTCAGATTCCACAAAAAGAGTGTTTTAAAACTGCTCTGTAACAGGAATGTTCAGCTCTGTTAGTTGAATGCACACATCACAAACAAGTTTCTGAGACGGCTTCTGTCTAGTTTTTATGGGAAGATATTTCCTTTTAACCATAGGCCTCAAAGAGCTCGAAATATCCACTTCCAGGTAGTGCCGAAAGAGTGTTTCAAACCTACTCTATAAAAGGGAATATTCAACTCTGTGACTTGAATGCAAACATCACAAAGCAGTTTCTGAGAATGCTTCCGTCTAGCATTTTCTATGAAGATATTCCCGTTTCCAACGAAATCTTCAAAGCTATCTAAATATCAACTTGCAGATTCTACTAAAGGAATGTCTCCAAAATGCTGTATCCAAACAAAGGTTCAGCTCTGTGAATTGAGGACATACAGCACAAAGAAGTTTCTGAGAATGCTCCTGTCTGGTATTTTATATGAAGATAACCCGTTTCCAACGAAATCCTCAAAGCTATCCAAATATCCACTTGCAGATTCTACCAAAAGAGTGTTTCAAAACTGCTCTGTCAAAAGGAAGGTTCAACACTGTTACTTGAGTACACACAACACAAAGAAGTTTCTGAGAATGCTTCTTTCTGGTTTTTATGAGAAGATATTTCCTTTTTCACCATAGGCCTCAAAGCGCTCGAAATGTCCGCTTCCAGGTAGTGCAGAAAGAGTGTTTCAAACCTGCTCTATGAAAGGAAGTGTTCAACTCTACTGAGTTGAATGCAAACATCACAGAGATGTTTCCGAGAATGCTTCTGTCTTGATTTTATATGAAGATATTCCGGTTTCCAACGAAATCTTCAAAGCTATCCAAATATCCACCTGCAGATTCTACAAAAGGAGTGTTTCCAAAATGCTGTATCAAAACAAAGGTTCAACTCTGTTAGTTGAGGACACACATCACAAATAAGTTTACTGAGAATGCTTTCTGTCTAGTTTTTATTTGAAGGTATTTCCTTTCTCTCCATAGGCCTGAAAGCGCTTGAAATGCCCACTTCCAGATACTAGAGAAAGAGTGTTTCAAACCTGCTCTATGATAGGGAATGTTCAATTCTGTGACTTGAATGCAAACATCACAAAGAAGTTCCTGAGAATGCTTCTCTCTAGATATTATATGTCATCCCGTTTCCAACGAAATCCTCAAAGCTATCCAAATATCCACTTGCAGATTCTACAAAAAGAGTGTTTCAAAACTCCTCTGTCAAAAGGATGGTTCAACACTGTTACATGAGTACACACAACACAAAGAAGTTTCTGAGAATGCTTCTTTCTGGTTTCTATGAGAAGATATTTCCTTTTTCACCATAGGACTCAAAGCGCTTGAAATGTCCTCTTCCAGGTAGTGCAGAAAGAGTGTTTCAAACCTGCTCTATGAAAGGAAGTGTACAACTCCATGAGCTGAATGCAAACATCACTGAGAAGTTTCTGAGAATGCTTCTGTTTGATTTTATATGAAGAAATTCCCGTTTCCAACGAAATCTTCAGAGCTATCCACATATCCACCTGCAGATTCTACAAAAGGAGTGTTTCCAAAATGCTGTATCAAAACCAAGGTTCAACTCTGTTAGTTGAGGACACACATCACAAATAAGTTTCTGAGAATGCTTCTGTCTAGATTTTATATGAAGATATCCCCTTTCCAACGAATCCCTCTAAGCTATCCAAACATCCACCTGCAGATTCTACAAAAAGAGTGTTTCCAAAATGCTGTATCAAAACAAAGTTTCAACCCTGTTAGTTGAGGACACACATCACAAATAAGTTTCTGAGGATGCTTCTGTCTAGTTTTTATTCGAAGATATTTCCTTTCTCACCATAGGCCTGAAAGCGCTTGAAATGTCCACTTCCAGATACTACAGAATGAGTGTTTCAAACCTGCTCTATCAAAGTGAATGTTCAATTCTGTGACTTCAATGCAAACATCACAAAGAAGTTCCTGAGAATGCTTCTCTCTAGATTTTATACGTAATCCCGCTTCCAACGAAATCCTCAGAGCCATCCGAATATCCACTTTCTGATTCCACAAAAAGAGTGTTTTAAAACGGCTCTGTAAAAACAAAAGTTCAACTCTGTTAGTTGAATACACACATCACAAACAAGTTTCTGAGAATGCTTCTGTCTAGTTTTTATGGGAAGATATTTCCTTTTTCACCATAGGCCTCAAAGCGCTCGAAATGTCCGCTTCCAGATAGTGCAGAAAGAGTGTTTCAAACGTGCTCTATAAAAGGGAATATTCAACTCTGTGACTTGAATGGAAACATCACAAAGCAGTTTCTGAGAATGCTTCCCTCTAGATTTTATATGGAGATATTCCCTTTTCCAACGAAATCTTCAAATCTATCTAAATATCAACTTGCAGATTCTACTCAAGGAATGTTTCCAAAATGCTGTATCCAGGCAATGGTTCAACTCTGTTAATTGAGGACATACAGCACAAAGAAGTTTCTGAGAATGCTTCTGTCTAGATTTTATATGAAGATATCCCGTTTCCAACGAAATCCTCAAAGCTATCCAAATATCCACTTGCAGATTCTACAAAAAGATTGTTTCAAAACTGCTGTGTCAAGAGGAAGGTTCAACTCTGTTACTTGAGTACACACATCAAAAAGAAGTTTCTGAGAATGCTTGTTTCTGGTTTTTATGAGAAGATATTTCCTTTTTCACCATAGGCCTCAAAGCGCTGCAAAGGTCCACTTCCAAATATTACAAAAAGAGTGTTTCAAACCTGCTCTATGAAAGGAAGTTTTCAACTCTATGAGTGGAATGCAAACATCACAGAGAAGTTTCTGAGAATGCATCTGTCTTGAGTTTCTATGAAGAAATTCCCGTTTCCAACGAAATCTTAAAATCTATCCAAATATCCACCTGCAGATTCTACAAAAGGAGTGTTTCCAAAATGCTGTATCAAAACAAAGGTTCAACTGTGTTCGTTTAGGACACACATCACAAATAAGTTTCTGAGAAGCCTTCTGTCTAGTTTTTATTTGAAGATATTTCCTTTCTCCCCATAGGCCTGAAAGCGCTTGAAATGTCCACTTCCAGAAACTACAGAAAGAGTGTTTCAAACCTGCACTCTGAAAAGGAATGTCAATTCTGTGACTTGAATGCAAACATCAGAAAGAAGTTCCTGAGAATGCTTCTCTCTAGATTTTATACGTCATCCCGTTTCCAACGAAATCCACAAAGCTATCCAATTATCCACTTTCAGATTCCACAAAAAGAGTGTTTTAAAATTGCTCTGTAACAGAAATGTTCAACTCTGGTAGTTGAATACACACATCACAAACAAAGTTTCTGAGACGGCTTCTGTCTAGTTTTTATGGGAAGATATTTCCTTTTAACCATAGGCCTCAAAGAGCTCGAAATATCCACTTCCAGGTAGTGCCGAAAGAGTGTTTCAAACCTACTCTATAAAAGGGAATATTCAACTCTGTGACTTGAATGCAAACATCACAAAGCAGTTTCTGAGAATGCTTCCGTCTAGATTTTCTATGAAGATATTCCCGTTTCCAACGAAATCTTCAAAGCTATCTAAATATCAACTTGCAGATTCTACTAAAGGAATGTCTCCAAAATGCTGTATCCAAACAAAGGTTCAGCTCTGTGAATTGAGGACATACAGCACAAAGAAGTTTCTGAGAATGCTCCTGTCTGGATTTTATAGGAAGATAACCCGTTTCCAACGAAATCCTCAAAGCTATCCAAATATCCACTCACAGATTCTACCAAAAGAGTGTTTCAAAACTGCTCTGTCAAAAGGAAGGTTCAACACTGTTACTTGAGTACACACAACACAAAGAAGTTTCTGAGAATGCTTCTTTCTGGTTTTTATGAGAAGATATTTCCTTTTTCACCATAGGCCTCAAAGCGCTCGAAATGTCCGCTTCCAGGTAGTGCAGAAAGAGTGTTTCAAACCTGCTCTATGAAAGGAAGTGTTCAACTCTACTGAGTTGAATGCAAACATCACAGAGATGTTTCCGAGAATGCTTCTGTCTTGATTTTATATGAAGATATTCCGGTTTCCAACGAAATCTTCAAAGCTATCCAAATATCCACCTGCAGATTCTACAAAAGGAGTGTTTCCAAAATGCTGTATCAAAACAAAGGTTCAACTCTGTTAGTTGAGGACACACATCACAAATAAGTTTCTGAGAATGCTTCTGTCTAGTTTTTATTTGAAGGTATTTCCTTTCTCTCCATAGGCCTGAAAGCGCTTGAAATGCCCACTTCCAGATACTAGAGAAAGAGTGTTTCAAACCTGCTCTATGAAAGGGAATGTTCAATTCTGTGACTTGAATGCAAACATCACAAAGAAGTTCCTGAGAATGCTTCTCTCTAGATATTATATGTCATCCCGTTTCCAACGAAATCCTCAAAGCTATCCAAATATCCACTTGCAGATTCTACAAAAAGAGTGTTTCAAAACTCCTCTGTCAAAAGGATGGTTCAACACTGTTACATGAGTACACACAACACAAAGAAGTTTCTGAGAATGCTTCCTTCTGGTTTTTATGAGAAGATATTTCCTTTTTCACCATAGGCCTCAAAGCGCTCGAAATGTCCACTTCCAGGTAGTGCAGAAAGAGTGTTTCAAACCTGCTCTATGAAAGGAATTGTTCAACTCCATGAGCTGAAGGCAAACATCACAGAGAAGTTTCTGAGAATGCTTCTGTTTGATTTCATATGAAGAAATTCCCGTTTCCAACGAAATCTTCAGAGCTATCCACATATCCACCTGCAGATTCTACAAAAGGAGTGTTTCCAAAATGCTGTATCAAAACCAAGGTTCAACTCTGTTAGTTGAGGACACACATCACAAATAAGTTTCTGAGAATGCTTCTGTCTAGATTTTATATGAAGATATCCCCTTTCCAACGAATCCCTCTAAGCTATCCAAATATCCACCTGCAGATTCTACAAAAAGAGTGTTTCCAAAATGCTGTATCAAAACAAAGTTTCAACTCTGTTAGTTGAGGACACACATCACAAATAAGTTTCTGAGGATGCTTCTGTCTAGTTTTTATTCGAAGATATTTCCTTTCTCACCATAGGCCTGAAAGCGCTTGAAATGTCCACTTCCAGATCCTACAGAATGAGTGTTTCAAACCTGCTCTATCAAAGTGAATGTTCAATTCTGTGACTTCAATGCAAACATCACAAAGAAGTTCCTGAGAATGCTTCTCTCTAGATTTTATATGTAATCCCGCTTCCAACGAAATCCTCAGAGCCATCCGAATATCCACTTTCTGATTCCACAAAAAGAGTGTTTTAAAACGGCTCTGTAAAAACAAAAGTTCAACTCTGTTAGTTGAATACACACATCACAAACAAGTTTCTGAGAATGCTTCTGTCTAGTTTTTATGGGAAGATATTTCCTTTTTCACCATAGGCCTCAAAGCGCTCGAAATGTCCACTTCCAGATAGTGCAGAAAGAGTGTTTCAAACGTGCTCTATAAAAGGGAATATTCAACTCTGTGACTTGAATGGAAACATCACAAAGCAGTTTCTGAGAATGCTTCCCTCTAGATTTTATATGGAGATATTCCCTTTTCCAACGAAATCTTCAAATCTATCTAAATATCAACTTGCAGATTCTACTCAAGGAATGTTTCCAAAATGCTGTATCCAAGCAATGGTTCAACTCTGTTAATTGAGGACATACAGCACAAAGAAGTTTCTGAGAATGCTTCTGTCTAGATTTTATATGAAGATATCCCGTTTCCAACGAAATCCTCAAAGCTATCCAAATATCCACTTGCAGATTCTACAAAAAGATTGTTTCAAAACTGCTGTGTCAAAAGGAAGGTTCAACTCTGTTACTTGAGTACACACATCAAAAAGAAGTTTCTGAGAATGCTTCTTTCTGGTTTTTATGAGAAGATATTTCCTTTTTCACCATAGGCCTCATAGCGCTGCAAGTGTCCACTTCCAAATATTACAAAAAGAGTGTTTCAAACCTGCTCTATGAAAGGAAGTTTTCAACTCTATGAGTGGAATGCAAACATCACAGAGAAGTTTCTGAGAATGCATCTGTCTTGAGTTTATATGAAGAAATTCCCGTTTCCAACGAAATCTTAAAATCTATCCAAATATCCACCTGCAGATCCTACAAAAGGAGTGTTTCCAAAATGCTGTATCAAAACAAAGGTTCAACTGTGTTCGTTTAGGACACACATCACAAATAAGTTTCTGAGAATCCTTCTGTCTAGTTTTTATTTGAAGATATTTCCTTTCTCCCCGTAGGCCTGAAAGCGCTTGAAATGTCCACTTCCAGATACTACAGAAAGAGTGTTTCAAACCTGCACTCTGAAAAGGAATGTTCAATTCTGTGACTTGAATGCAAACATCAGAAAGAAGTTCCTGAGAATGCTTCTCTCTAGATTTTATACGTCATCCCGTTTCCAACGAAATCCACAAAGCTATCCAATTATCCACTTTCAGATTCCACAAAAAGAGTGTTTTAAAATTGCTCTGTAACAGAAATGTTCAACTCTGGTAGTTGAATACACACATCACAAACAAGTTTCTGAGACGGCTTCTGTCTAGTTTTTATGGGAAGATATTTCCTTTTAACCATAGGCCTCAAAGAGCTCGAAATATCCACTTCCAGGTAGTGCCGAAAGAGTGTTTCAAACCTACTCTATAAAAGGGAATATTCAACTCTGTGACTTGAATGCAAACATCACAAAGCAGTTTCTGAGAATGCTTCCGTCTAGATTTTCTATGAAGATATTCCCGTTTCCAATGAAATCTTCAAAGCTATCTAAATATCAACTTGCAGATTCTACTAAAGGAATGTTTCCACAATGCTGTATCCAAACAAAGGTTCAGCTCTGTGAATTGAGGACATACAGCACAAAGAAGTTTCTGTGAATGCTCCTGTCTGGATTTTATATGAAGATAACCCGTTTCCAACGAAATCCTCAAAGCTATCCAAATATCCACTTGCAGATTCTACCAAAAGAGTGTTTCAAACCTGCTCTGTCAAAAGGAAGGTTCAACATGTTACTTGAGTACACACAACACAAAGAAGTTTCTGAGAATGCGTCTTTCTGGTTTTTATGAGAAGATATTTCCTTTTTCACCATAGGCCTCAAAGCGCTCGAAATGTCCGCTTCCAGGTAGTGCAGAAAGAGTGTTTCAAACCTGCTCTATGAAAGGAAGTGTTCAACTCCATGAGCTGAATGCAAACATCACAGAGAAGTTTCTGAGAATGCTTCTGTTTGATTTTATATGAAGAAATTCCCGTTTCCAACGAAATCTTCAAAGCTATCCAAATATCCACCTGCAGATTCTACAAAAGGAGTGTTTCCAAAATGCTGTATCAAAACCAAGGTTCAACTCTGTTAGTTGAGGACACACATCACAAATAAGTTTCAGAGAATGCTTCTGTCTAGATTTTATATGAAGATATCCCCTTTCCAACGAATCCCTCTAAGCTATCCAAATATCCACCTGCAGATTCTACAAAAAGAGTGTTTCCAAAAGGCTGTATCAAAACAAAGTTTCAACTCTGTTAGTTGAGGACACACATCACAAATAAGTTTCTGACGATGCTTCTGTCTAGTTTCTATTTGAAGATATTTCCTTTCTCCCCATAGGCCTGAAAGCGCTTGAATTGTCGGCTTCCAGATACTACAGAATGAGTGTTTCAAACCTGCTCTATCAAAGTGAATGTTCAATTCTGTGACTTCAATGCAAACATCACAAACTAGTTCCTGAGAATGCTTCTCTCTAGATTTTATATGTAATCCCGCTTCCAACGAAATCCTCAAAGCCATCCGAATAACCACTTTGTGATTCCACAAAAAGATTGTGTTAAAACTGCTCTGTAAAAACAAAAGTTCAAGTCTGTTAGTTGAATACACACATCACAAACAAGTTTCTGAGAATGCTTCTGTCTAGTTTTTATGGGAAGATATTTCCTTTTTCACCATAGGCCTCAAAGCGCTCGAAATGTCCACTTCCAGATAGTGCAGAAAGAGTGTTTCAAACGTGCTCTATTAAAGAGAATATTCAACTCTGTGACTTGAATGGAAACATCACAAAGCAGTTTCTGAGAATGCCTCCGTCTAGATTTTATATGAAGATATTCCCGTTTCCAACGAAATCTTCAAATCTATCTAAATATCAACTTGCAGATTCTACTAAAGGAATGTTTCCAAAATGCTGTATCCAAGCAATGGTTCAACTCTGTTAATTGAGGACATACAGCACAAAGAAGTTTCTGAGAATGCTTCTGTCTAGATTTTATATGAAGATATCCCGTTTCCAACGAAATCCTCAAAGCTATCCAAATATCCACTTGCAGATTCTACAAAAAGATTGTTTCAAAACTGCTGTGTCAAAAGGAAGGTTCAACTCTGTTACTTGAGTACACACATCAAAAAGAAGTTTCTGAGAATGGTTGTTTCTGGTTTTTATGAGAAGATATTTCCTTTTTCACCATAGGCCTCAAAGCGCTGCAAATGTCCACTTCCAAATATTACAAAAAGAGTGTTTCAAACCTGCTCTATGAAAGGAAGTTTTCAACTCTATGAGTGGAATGCAAACATCACAGAGAAGTTTCTGAGAATGCATCTGTCTTGAGTTTCTATGCAGAAATTCCCGTTTCCAATGAAATCTTAAAATCTATCCAAATATCCACCTGCAGATTCTACAAAAGGAGTGTTTCCAAAATGCTGTATCAAAACAAAGGTTCAACTGTGTTCGCTTAGGACACACATCACAAATAAGTTTCTGAGAATCCTTCTGTCTAGTTTTTATTTGAAGATATTTCCTTTCTCCCCATAGGCCTGAAAGCGCTTGAAATGTCCACTTCCAGATACTACAGAAAGAGTGTTTCAAACCTGCACTCTGAAAAGGAATGTCAATTCTGTGACTTGAATGCAAACATCAGAAAGAAGTTCCTGAGAATGCTTCTCTCTAGATTTTATACGTCATCCCGTTTCCAACGAAATCCACAAAGCTACCCAATTATCCACTTTCAGATTCCACAAAAAGAGTGTTTTAAAATTGCTCTGTAACAGAAATGTTCAACTCTGTTAGTTGAATACACACATCACAAACAAGTTTCTGAGACGGCTTCTGTCTAGTTTTTATGGGAAGATATTTCCTTTTAACCATAGGCCTCAAAGAGCTCGAAATATCCACTTCCAGGTAGTGCCGAAAGAGTGTTTCAAACCTACTCTATAAAAGGGAATATTCAACTCTGTGACTTGAATGCAAACATCACAAAGCAGTTTCTGAGAATGCTTCCGTCTAGATTTTCTATGAAGATATTCCCGTTTCCAACGAAATCTTCAAAGCTATCTAAATATCAACTTGCAGATTCTACTAAAGGAATGTCTCCAAAATGCTGTATCCAAACAAAGGTTCAGCTCTGTGAATTGAGGACATACAGCACAAAGAAGTTTCTGAGAATGCTCCTGTCTGGATTTTATAGGAAGATAACCCGTTTCCAACGAAATCCTCAAAGCTATCCAAATATCCACTTGCAGATTCTACCAAAAGAGTGTTTCAAAACTGCTCTGTCAAAAGGAAGGTTCAACACTGTTACTTGAGTACACACAACACAAAGAAGTTTCTGAGAATGCTTCTTTCTGGTTTTTATGAGAAGATATTTCCTTTTTCACCATAGGCCTCAAAGCGCTCGAAATGTCCGCTTCCAGGTAGTGCAGAAAGAGTGTTTCAAACCTGCTCTATGAAAGGAAGTGTTCAACTCTACTGAGTTGAATGCAAACATCACAGAGATGTTTCCGAGAATGCTTCTGTCTTGATTTTATATGAAGATATTCCGGTTTCCAACGAAATCTTCAAAGCTATCCAAATATCCACCTGCAGATTCTACAAAAGGAGTGTTTCCAAAATGCTGTATCAAAACAAAGGTTCAACTCTGTTAGTTGAGGACACACATCACAAATAAGTTTCTGAGAATGCTTCTGTCTAGATTTTATATGAAGATATCCCCTTTCCAACGAATCCCTCTAAGCTATCAAAATATCCACCTGCAGATTCTACAAAAAGAGTGTTTCCAAAATGCTGTATCAAAACAAAGTTTTAACTCTGTTAGTTGAGGACACACATCACAAATAAGTTTCTGAGGATGCTTCTGTCTAGTTTTTATTCGAAGATATTTCCTTTCCCACCATAGGCCTGAAAGCGCTTGAAATGTCCACTTCCAGATACTACAGAATGAGTGTTTCAAACCTGCTCTATCAAAGTGAATGTTCAATTCTGTGACTTCAATGCAAACATCACAAAGAAGTTCCTGAGAATGCTTCTCTCTAGATTTTATATGTAATCCCGCTTCCAACGAAATCCTCAGAGCCATCCGAATATCCACTTTCTGATTCCACAAAAAGAGTGTTTTAAAACGGCTCTGTAAAAACAAAAGTTCAACTCTGTTAGTTGAATACACACATCACAAACAAGTTTCTGAGAATGCTTCTGTCTAGTTTTTATGGGAAGATATTTCCTTTTTCACCATAGGCCTCAAAGCGCTCGAAATGTCCACTTCCAGATAGTGCAGAAAGAGTGTTTCAAACGTGCTCTATAAAAGGGAATATTCAACTCTGTGACTTGAATGGAAACATCACAAAGCAGTTTCTGAGAATGCTTCCCTCTAGATTTTATATGGAGCTATTCCCTTTTCCAACGAAATCTTCAAATCTATCTAAATATCAACTTGCAGATTCTACTCAAGGAATGTTTCCAAAATGCTGTATCCAAGCAATGGTTCAACTCTGTTAATTGAGGACATACAGCACAAAGAAGTTTCTGAGAATGGCTTCTGTCTAGATTTTATATGAAGATATCCCGTTTCCAACGAAATCCTCAAAGCTATCCAAATATCCACTTGCAGATTCTACAAAAAGATTGTTTCAAAACTGCTGTGTCAAGAGGAAGGTTCAACTCTGTTACTTGAGTACACACATCAAAAAGAAGTTTCTGAGAATGCTTGTTTCTGGTTTTTATGAGAAGATATTTCCTTTTTCACCATAGGCCTCAAAGCGCTGCAAATGTCCACTTCCACATATTACAAAAAGAGTGTTTCAAACCTGCTCTATGAAAGGAAGTTTTCAACTCTATGAGTGGAATGCAAACATCACAGAGAAGTTTCTGAGAATGCATCTGTCTTGAGTTTCTATGCAGAAATTCCCGTTTCCAACGAAATCTTAAAATCTATCCAAATATCCACCTGCAGATCCTACAAAAGGAGTGTTTCCAAAATGCTGTATCAAAACAAAGGTTCAACTGTGTTCGTTTAGGACACACATCACAAATAAGTTTCTGAGAACCCTTCTGTCTAGTTTTTATTTGAAGATATTTCCTTTCTCCCCGTAGGCCTGAAAGCGCTTGAAATGTCCACTTCCAGATACTACAGAAAGAGTGTTTCAAACCTGCACTCTGAAAAGGAATGTTCAATTCTGTGACTTGAATGCAAACATCAGAAAGAAGTTCCTGAGAATGCTTCTCTCTAGATTTTATACGTCATCCCGTTTCCAACGAAATCCACAAAGCTATCCAATTATCCACTTTCAGATTCCACAAAGAGTGTTTTAAAATTGCTCTGTAACAGAAATGTTCAACTCTGTTAGTTGAATACACACATCACAAACAAGTTTCTGAGACGGCTTCTGTCTAGTTTTTATGGGAAGATATTTCCTTTTAACCATAGGCCTCAAAGAGCTCGAAATATCCACTTCCAGGTAGTGCCGAAAGAGTGTTTCAAACCTACTCTATAAAAGGGAATATTCAACTCTGTGACTTGAATGCAAACATCACAAAGCAGTTTCTGAGAATGCTCTGTCTAGATTTTCTATGAAGATATTCCCGTTTCCAACGAAATCTTCAAAGCTATCTAAATATCAACTTGCAGATTCTACTAAAGGAATGTCTCCAAAATGCTGTATCCAAACAAAGGTTCAGCTCTGTGAATTGAGGACATACAGCACAAAGAAGTTTCTGAGAATGCTCTCTGTCTAGCATTTAATATGAAGATAACCCGTTTCCAACGAAATCCTCAAAGCTATCCAAATATCCACTGGCAGATTCTACAAAAAGAGTGTTTCAAAACTGCTCTGTCAAAAGGATGGTTCAACACTGTTACATGAGTACACACAACACAAAGAAGTTTCTGAGAACGCTTCTTTCTGGTTTTTATGAGAAGATATTTCCTTTTTCACCATAGGCCTCAAAGCGCTCGAAATGTCCGCTTCCAGGTAGTGCAGAAAGAGTGTTTCAAACCTGCTCTATGAAAGGAAGTGTTCAACTCTACTGAGTTGAATGCAAACATCACAGAGATGTTTCCGAGAATGCTTCTGTCTTGATTTTATATGAAGATATTCCGGTTTCCAACGAAATCTTCAAAGCTATCCAAATATCCACCTGCAGATTCTACAAAAGGAGTGTTTCCAAAATGCTGTATCAAAACAAAGGTTCAACTCTGTTAGTTGAGGACACACATCACAAATAAGTTTCTGAGAATGCTTCTGTCTAGTTTTTATTTGAAGGTATTTCCTTTCTCTCCATAGGCCTGAAAGCGCTTGAAATGCCCACTTCCAGATACTAGAGAAAGAGTGTTTCAAACCTGCTCTATGAAAGGGAATGTTCAATTCTGTGACTTGAATGCAAACATCACAAAGAAGTTCCTGAGAATGCTTCTCTCTAGATATTATATGTCATCCCGTTTCCAACGAAATCCTCAAAGCTATCCAAATATCCACTTGCAGATTCTACAAAAAGAGTGTTTCAAAACTCCTCTGTCAAAAGGATGGTTCAACACTGTTACATGAGTACACACAACACAAAGAAGTTTCTGAGAATGCTTCTTTCTGGTTTCTATGAGAAGATATTTCCTTTTTCACCATAGGACTCAAAGCGCTCGAAATGTCCTCTTCCAGGTAGTGCAGAAAGAGTGTTTCAAACCTGCTCTATGAAAGGAAGTGTACAACTCCATGAGCTGAATGCAAACATCACTGAGAAGTTTCTGAGAATGCTTCTGTTTGATTTTATATGAAGAAATTCCCGTTTCCAACGAAATCTTCAGAGCTATCCACATATCCACCTGCAGATTCTACAAAAGGAGTGTTTCCAAAATGCTGTATCAAAACCAAGGTTCAACTCTGTTAGTCGAGGACACACATCACAAATAAGTTTCTGAGAATGCTTCTGTCTAGATTTTATATGAAGATATCCCCTTTCCAACGAATCCCTCTAAGCTATCCAAATATCCACCTGCAGATTCTACAAAAAGAGTGTTTCCAAAATGCTGTATCAAAACAAAGTTTCAACTCTGTTAGTTGAGGACACACATCACAAATAAGTTTGAGGATGCTTCTGTCTAGTTTTTATTCGAAGATATTTCCTTTCTCACCATAGGCCTGAAAGCGCTTGAAATGTCCACTTCCAGATACTACAGAATGAGTGTTTCAAACCTGCTCTATCAAAGTGAATGTTCAATTCTGTGACTTCAATGCAAACATCACAAAGAAGTTCCTGAGAATGCTTCTCTCTAGATTTTATACGTAATCCCGCTTCCAACGAAATCCTCAGAGCCATCCGAATATCCACTTTCTGATTCCACAAAAAGAGTGTTTTAAAACGGCTCTGTAAAAACAAAAGTTCAACTCTGTTAGTTGAATACACACATCACAAACAAGTTTCTGAGAATGCTTCTGTCTAGTTTTTATGGGAAGATATTTCCTTTTTCACCATAGGCCTCAAAGCGCTCGAAATGTCCGCTTCCAGATAGTGCAGAAAGAGTGTTTCAAACGTGCTCTATAAAAGGGAATATTCCAACTCTGTGACTTGAATGGAAACATCACAAAGCAGTTTCTGAGAATGCTTCCCTCTAGATTTTATATGGAGATATTCCCTTTTCCAACGAAATCTTCAAATCTATCTAAATATCAACTTGCAGATTCTACTCAAGGAATGTTTCCAAAATGATGTATCCAGGCAATGGTTCAACTCTGTTAATTGAGGACATACAGCACAAAGAAGTTTCTGAGAATGCTTCTTTCTAGATTTTATATGAAGATATCCCGTTTCCAACGAAATCCTCAAAGCTATCCAAATATCCACTTGCAGATTCTACAGAAAGATTGTTTCAAAACTGCTGTGTCAAAAGGAAGGTTCAACTCTGTTACTTGAGTACACACATCAAAAAGCAGTTTCTGAGAATGCTTGTTTCTGGTTTTTATGAGAAGATATTTCCTTTTTCACCATAGGCCTCAAAGCGCTGCAAATGTCCACTTCCAAATATTACAAAAAGAGTGTTTCAAACCTGCTCTATGAAAGGAAGTTTTCAACTCTATGAGTGGAATGCAAACATCACAGAGAAGTTTCTGAGAATGCATCTGTCTTGAGTTTATATGAAGAAATTCCCGTTTCCAATGAAATCTTAAAATCTATCCAAATATCCACCTGCAGATTCTACAAAAGGAGTGTTTCCAAAATGCTGTATCAAAACAAAGGTTCAACTGTGTTCGTTTAGGACACACATCACAAATAAGTTTCTGAGAATCCTTCTGTCTGGTTTTTATTTGAAGAGATTTCCTTTCTCCCCGTAGGCCTGAAAGCGCTTGAAATGTCCACTTCCAGATACTACAGAAAGAGTGTTTCAAACCTGCACTCTGAAAAGGAATGTTCAATTCTGTGACTTGAATGCAAACATCAGAAAGAAGTTCCTGAGAATGCTTCTCTCTAGATTTTATACGTCATCCCGTTTCCAATGAAATCCACAAAGCTATCCAATTATACACTTTCAGATTCCACAAAAAGACTGTTTTAAAATTGCTCTGTAACAGAAATGTTCAACTCTGTTAGTTGAATACACACATCACAAACAAGTTTCTGAGACGGCTTCTGTCTAGTTTTTATGGGAAGATATTTCCTTTTAA
The DNA here is from genome assembly GCF_000001405.40 of Homo sapiens. NCBI lineage: Eukaryota > Metazoa > Chordata > Mammalia > Primates > Hominidae > Homo > Homo sapiens. Next base: position 50,617,277 of record NC_000004.12, on the reverse strand, counting down.
CCATAGGCCTCAAAGAGCTCGAAATATCCACTTCCAGGTAGTGCCGAAAGAGTGTTTCAAACCTACTCTATAAAAGGGAATATTCAACTCTGTGACTTGAATGCAAACATCACAAAGCAGTTTCTGAGAATGCTTCCGTCTAGATTTTCTATGAAGATATTCCCGTTTCCAACGAAATCTTCAAAGCTATCTAAATATCAACTTGCAGATTCTACTAAAGGAATGTCTCCAAAATGCTGTATCCAAACAAAGGTTCAGCTCTGTGAATTGAGGACATACAGCACAAAGAAGTTTCTGAGAATGCTCCTGTCTGGATTTTATAGGAAGATAACCCGTTTCCAACGAAATCCTCAAAGCTATCCAAATATCCACTTGCAGATTCTACCAAAAGAGTGTTTCAAAACTACTCTGTCAAAAGGAAGGTTCAACACTGTTACTTGAGTACACACAACACAAAGAAGTTTCTGAGAATGCTTCTTTCTGGTTTTTATGAGAAGATATTTCCTTTTTCACCATAGGCCTCAAAGCGCTCGAAATGTCCGCTTCCAGGTAGTGCAGAAAGAGTGTTTCAAACCTGCTCTATGAAAGGAAGTGTTCAACTCTACTGAGTTGAATGCAAACATCACAGAGATGTTTCCGAGAATGCTTCTGTCTTGATTTTATATGAAGATATTCCGGTTTCCAACGAAATCTTCAAAGCTATCCAAATATCCACCTGCAGATTCTACAAAAGGAGTGTTTCCAAAATGCTGTATCAAAACAAAGGTTCAACTCTGTTAGTTGAGGACACACATCACAAATAAGTTTCTGAGAATGCTTCTGTCTAGTTTTTATTTGAAGGTATTTCCTTTCTCTCCATAGGCCTGAAAGCGCTTGAAATGCCCACTTCCAGATACTAGAGAAAGAGTGTTTCAAACCTGCTCTATGAAAGGGAATGTTCAATTCTGTGACTTGAATGCAAACATCACAAAGAAGTTCCTGAGAATGCTTCTGTCTAGATTTAATATGAAGATAACCCGTTTGCAACGACATCCTCAAAGCTATCCAAATATCCACTGGCAGATTCTACAAAAAGTGTGTTTCAAAACTGCTCTGTCAAAAGGATGGTTCAACACTGTTACATGAGTACACACAACACAAAGAAGTTTCTGAGAACTCTTCTTTCTGGTTTTTATGAGAAGATATTTCCTTTTTCACCCTAGGCCTCAAAGCGCTCGAAATGTCCACTTCCAGGTAGTGCAGAAAGAGTGTTTCAAACCTGCTCTATGAAAGGAAGTGTTCAACTCCATGAGCTGAATGCAAACATCACAGAGAAGTTCCTGAGAATGCTTCTGTTTGATTTTATATGAAGAAATTCCCGTTTCCAACGAAATCTTCAAAGCTATCCACATATCCACCTGCAGATTCTTCAAAAGGAGTGTTTCCAAAATGCTGTATCAAAACCAAGGTTCAACTCTGTTAGTTGAGGACACACATCACAAATAAGTTTCTGAGAATGCTTCTGTCTAGATTTTATATGAAGATATCCCCTTTCCAACGAATCCCTCTAAGCTATCAAAATATCCACCTGCAGATTCTACAAAAAGAGTGTTTCCAAAATGCTGTATCAAAACAAAGTTTCAACTCTGTTAGTTGAGGACACACATCACAAATAAGTTTCTGAGGATGCTTCTGTCTAGTTTTAATTTGAAGATATTTCCTTTCTCCCCATAGGCCTGAAAGCGCTTGAAATGTCCACTTCCAGATACTACAGAATGAGTGTTTCAAACCTGCTCTATCAAAGTGAATGTTCAATTCTGTGACTTCAATGCAAACATCACAAAGTAGATCCTGAGAATGCTTCTCTCTAGATTTTATATGTAATCCCGCTTCCAACGAGGTCCTCAAAGCCATCCGAATATCCACTTTCTGATTCCACAAAAAGATTGTCTTAAAACTGCTCTGTAAAAACAAAAGTTCAAGTCTGTTAGTTGAATACACACATCACAAACAAGTTTCTGAGAATGCTTCTGTCTAGTTTTTATGGGAAGATATTTCCTTTTTCACCATAGGCCTCACAGCGCTCGAAATGTCCACTTCCAGATAGTGCAGAAAGAGTGTTTCAAACGTGCTCTATAAAAGAGAATATTCAACTCTGTGACTTGAATGGAAACATCACAAAGCAGTTTCTGAGAATGCCTCCGTCTAGATTTTATATGAAGATATTCCCGTTTCCAACGAAATCTTCAAATCTATCTAAATATCAACTTGCAGATTCTACTAAAGGAATGTTTCCAAAATGCTGTACCCAAGCAATGGTTCAACTCTGTTAATTGAGGACATACAGCACAAAGAAGTTTCTGAGAATGCTTCTGTCTAGATTTTATATGAAGATATCCCGTTTCCAACGAAATCCTCAAAGCTATCCAAATATCCACTTGCAGATTCTACAAAAAGATTGTTTCAAAACTGCTGTGTCAAAAGGAAGGTTCAACTCTGTTACTTGAGTACACACATCAAAAAGAAGTTTCTGAGAATGCTTGTTTCTGGTTTTTATGAGAAGATATTTCCTTTTTCACCATAGGCCTCACAGTGCTGCAAATGTCCACTTCCAAATATTACAAAAAGAGTGTTTCAAACCTGCTCTATGAAAGGAAGTTTTCAACTCTATGAGTGGAATGCAAACATCACAGAGAAGTTTCTGAGAATGCATCTGTCTTGAGTTTATATGCAGAAATTCCCGTTTCCAACGAAATCTTAAAATCTATCCAAATATCCACCTGCAGATCCTACAAAAGGAGTGTTTCCAAAATGCTGTATCAAAACAAAGGTTCAACTGTGTTCGTTTAGGACACACATCACAAATAAGTTTCTGAGAATCCTTCTGTCTAGTTTTTATTTGAAGATATTTCCTTTCTCCCCATAGGCCTGAAAGCGCTGGAAATGTCCACTTCCAGATAGTACAGAAAGAGTGTTTCAAACCTGCACTATGAAAAGGAATGTTCAATTCTGTGACTTGAATGCAAACATCAGAAAGAAGTTTCTGAGAATGCTTCTCTCTAGATTTTATACGTCATCCCGTTTCCAACGAAATCCACAAAGCTATCCAATTATCCACTTTCAGATTCCACAAAGAGTGTTTTAAAATTGCTCTGTAACAGAAATGTTCAACTCTGTTAGTTGAATACACACATCACAAACAAGTTTCTGAGACGGCTTCTGTCTAGTTTTTATGGGAAGATATTTCCTTTTAACCATAGGCCTCAAAGAGCTCGAAATATCCACTTCCAGGTAGTGCCGAAAGAGTGTTTCAAACCTACTCTATAAAAGGGAATATTCAACTCTGTGACTTGAATGCAAACATCACAAAGCAGTTTCTGAGAATGCTTCCCGTCTAGATTTTCTATGAAGATATTCCCGTTTCCAACGAAATCTTCAAAGCTATCTAAATATCAACTTGCAGATTCTACTAAAGGAATGTCTCCAAAATGCTGTATCCAAACAAAGGTTCAGCTCTGTGAATTGAGGACATACAGCACAAAGAAGTTTCTGAGAATGCTCCTGTCTGGATTTTATAGGAAGATAACCCGTTTCCAACGAAATCCTCAAAGCTATCCAAATATCCACTTGCAGATTCTACCAAAAGAGTGTTTCAAAACTACTCTGTCAAAAGGAAGGTTCAACACTGTTACTTGAGGTACACACAACACAAAGAAGTTTCTGAGAATGCTTCTTTCTGGTTTTTATGAGAAGATATTTCCTTTTTCACCATAGGCCTCAAAGCGCTCGAAATGTCCGCTTCCAGGTAGTGCAGAAAGAGTGTTTCAAACCTGCTCTATGAAAGGAAGTGTTCAACTCTACTGAGTTGAATGCAAACATCACAGAGATGTTTCCGAGAATGCTTCTGTCTTGATTTTATATGAAGATATTCCGGTTTCCAACGAAATCTTCAAAGCTATCCAAATATCCACCTGCAGATTCTACAAAAGGAGTGTTTCCAAAATGCTGTATCAAAACAAAGGTTCAACTCTGTTAGTTGAGGACACACATCACAAATAAGTTTCTGAGAATGCTTCTGTCTAGTTTTTATTTGAAGGTATTTCCTTTCTCTCCATAGGCCTGAAAGCGCTTGAAATGCCCACTTCCAGATACTAGAGAAAGAGTGTTTCAAACCTGCTCTATGAAAGGGAATGTTCAATTCTGTGACTTGAATGCAAACATCACAAAGAAGTTCCTGAGAATGCTTCTCTCTAGATATTATATGTCATCCCGTTTCCAACGAAATCCTCAAAGCTATCCAAATATCCACTTGCAGATTCTACAAAAAGAGTGTTTCAAAACTGCTCTGTCAAAAGGATGGTTCAACACTGTTACATGAGTACACACAACACAAAGAAGTTTCTGAGAATGCTTCTTTCTGGTTTCTATGAGAAGATATTTCCTTTTTCACCATAGGACTCAAAGCGCTCGAAATGTCCTCTTCCAGGTAGTGCAGAAAGAGTGTTTCAAACCGGCTCTATGAAAGGAAGTGTTCAACTCCATGAACTGAATGCAAACATCACTGAGAAGTTTCTGAGAATGCTTCTGTTTGATTTTATATGAAGAAATTCCCGTTTCCAACGAAATCTTCAGAGCTATCCACATATCCACCTGCAGATTCTACAAAAGGAGTGTTTCCAAAATGCTGTATCAAAACCAAAGTTCAACTCTGTTAGTTGAGGACACACATCACAAATAAGTTTCTGAGAATGCTTCTGTCTAGATTCTATATGAAGATATCCCCTTTCCAACGAATCCCTCTAAGCTATCCAAATATCCACCTGCAGATTCTACAAAAAGAGTGTTTCCAAAATGCTGTATCAAAACAAAGTTTCAACTCTGTTAGTTGAGGACACACATCACAAATAAGTTTGAGGATGCTTCTGTCTAGTTTTTATTCGAAGATATTTCCTTTCTCACCATAGGCCTGAAAGCGCTTGAAATGTCCACTTCCAGATACTACAGAATGAGTGTTTCAAACCTGCTCTATCAAAGTGAATGTTCAATTCTGTGACTTCAATGCAAACATCACAAAGAAGTTCCTGAGAATGCTTCTCTCTAGATTTTATATGTAATCCCGCTTCCAACGAAATCCTCAGAGCCATCCGAATATCCACTTTCTGATTCCACAAAAAGAGTGTTTTAAAACGGCTCTGTAAAAACAAAAGTTCAACTCTGTTAGTTGAATACACACATCACAAACAAGTTTCTGAGAATGCTTCTGTCTAGTTTTTATGGGAAGATATTTCCTTTTTCACCATAGGCCTCAAAGCGCTCGAAATGTCCACTTCCAGATAGCGCAGAAAGAGTGTTTCAAACGTGCTCTATAAAAGGGAATATTCAACTCTGTGACTTGAATGGAAACATCACAAAGCAGTTTCTGAGAATGCTTCCCTCTAGATTTTATATGGAGATATTCCGTTTTCGAACGAAATCTTCAAATCTATCTAAATATCAACTTGCAGATTCTACTCAAGGAATGTTTCCAAAATGCTGTATGCAAGCAATGGTTCAACTCTGTTAATTGAGGTCATACAGCACAAAGAAGTTTCTGAGAATGCTTCTGTCTAGATTTTATATGAAGATATCCCGTTTCCAACGAAATCCTCAAAGCTATCCAAATATCCACTTGCAGATTCTACAAAAAGATTGTTTCAAAACTGCTGTGTCAAAAGGAAGGTTCAACTCTGTTACTTGAGTACACACATCAAAAAGAAGTTTCTGAGAATGCTTGTTTCTGGTTTTTATGAGAAGATATTTCCTTTTTCACCATAGGCCTCAAAGCGCTGCAAATGTCCACTTCCAAATATTACAAAAAGAGTGTTTCAAACCTGCTCTATGAAAGGAAGTTTTCAACTCTATGAGTGGAATGCACACATCACAGAGAAGTTTCTGAGAATGCATCTGTCTTGAGTTTCTATGCAGAAATTCCCGTTTCCAACGAAATCTTAAAATCTATCCAAATATCCACCTGCAGATCCTACAAAAGGAGTGTTTCCAAAATGCTGTATCAAAACAAAGGTTCAACTGTGTTCGTTTAGGACACACATCACAAATAAGTTTCTGAGAATCCTTCTGTCTAGTTTTTAATTTGAAGATATTTCCTTTCTCCCCATAGGCCTGAAAGCGCTTGAAATGTCCACTTCCAGATACTGCAGAAAGAGTGTTTCAAACCTGCACTATGAAAAGGAATGTTCAATTCTGTGACTTGAATACAAACATCAGAAAGAAGTTCCTGAGAATGCTTCTCTCTAGTATTTTATACGTCATCCCGTTTCCAACGAAATCCACAAAGCTATCCAATTATCCACTTTCAGATTCCACAAAAAGAGTGTTTTAAAATTGCTCTGTAACAGAAATGTTCAACTCTGTTAGTTGAATACACACATCACAAACAAGTTTCTGAGACGGCTTCTGTCTAGTTTTTATGGGAAGATATTTCCTTTTAACCATAGGCCTCATAAGAGCTCGAAATATCCACTTCCAGGTAGTGCCGAAAGAGTGTTTCAAACCTACTCTATAAAAGGGAATATTCAACTCTGTGACTTGAATGCAAACATCACAAAGCAGTTTCTGAGAATGCTTCCGTCTAGATTTTCTATGAAGATATTCCCGTTTCCAACGAAATCTTCAAAGCTATCTAAATATCAACTTGCAGATTCTACTAAAGGAAAGTTTCCAAAATGCTGTATCCAAACAAAGGTTCAGCTCTGTGAATTGAGGACATACAGCACAAAGAAGTTTCTGAGAATGCTCCTGTCTGGATTTTATATGAAGATAACCCGTTGCCAACGAAATCCTCAAAGCTCTCCAAATATCCACTTGCAGATTCTACCAAAAGAGTGTTTCAAAACTGCTCTGTCAAAAGGAAGGTTCAACACTGTTACTTGAATACACACAACACAAAGAAGTTTCTGAGAATGCTTCTTTCTGGTTTTTATGAGAAGATATTTCCTTTTTCACCATAGGCCTCAAAGCGCTCGAAATGTCCGCTTCCAGGTAGTGCAGAAAGAGTGTTTCAAACCTGCTCTATGAAAGGAAGTGTTCAACTCTACTGAGTTGAATGCAAACATCACAGAGATGTTTCCGAGAATGCTTCTGTCTTGATTTTATATGAAGATATTCCGGTTTCCAACGAAATCTTCAAAGCTATCCAAATATCCACCTGCAGATTCTACAAAAGGAGTGTTTCCAAAATGCTGTATCAAAACAAAGGTTCAACTCTGTTAGTTGAGGACACACATCACAAATAAGTTTCTGAGAATGCTTCTGTCTAGTTTTTATTTGAAGGTATTTCCTTTCTCTCCATAGGCCTGAAAGCGCTTGAAATGCCCACTTCCAGATACTAGAGAAAGAGTGTTTCAAACCTGCTCTATGAAAGGGAATGTTCAATTCTGTGACTTGAATGCAAACATCACAAAGAAGTTCCTGAGAATGCTTCTCTCTAGATATTATATGTCATCCCGTTTCCAACGAAATCCTCAAAGCTATCCAAATATCCACTTGCAGATTCTACAAAAAGAGTGTTTCAAAACTGCTCTGTCAAAAGGATGGTTCAACACTGTTACATGAGTACACACAACACAAAGAAGTTTCTGAGAATGCTTCTTTCTGGTTTCTATGAGAAGATATTTCCTTTTTCACCATAGGACTCAAAGCGCTCGAAATGTCCTCTTCCAAGTAGTGCAGAAAGAGTGTTTCAAACCTGCTCTATGAAAGGAAGTGTACAACTCCATGAGCTGAATGCAAACATCACTGAGAAGTTTCTGAGAATGCTTCTGTTTGATTTTATATGAAGAAATTCCCGTTTCCAACGAAATCTTCAGAGCTATCCACATATCCACCTGCAGATTCTACAAAAGGAGTGTTTCCAAAATGCTGTATCAAAACCAAGGTTCAACTCTGTTAGTTGAGGACACACATCACAAATAAGTTTCTGAGAATGCTTCTGTCTAGATTTTATATGAAGATATCCCCTTTCCAACGAATCCCTCTAAGCTATCCAAATATCCACCTGCAGATTCTACAAAAAGAGTGTTTCCAAAATGCTGTATCAAAACAAAGTTTCAACTCTGTTAGTTGAGGACACACATCACAAATAAGTTTGAGGATGCTTCTGTCTAGTTTTTATTCGAAGATATTTCCTTTCTCACCATAGGCCTGAAAGCGCTTGAAATGTCCACTTCCAGGTACTACAGAATGAGTGTTTCAAACCTGCTCTATCAAAGTGAATGTTCAATTCTGTGACTTCAATGCAAACATCACAAAGAAGTTCCTGAGAATGCTTCTCTCTAGATTTTATACGTAATCCCGCTTCCAACGAAATCCTCAGAGCCATCCGAATATCCACTTTCTGATTCCACAAAAAGAGTGTTTTAAAACGGCTCTGTAAAAACAAAAGTTCAACTCTGTTAGTTGAATACACACATCACAAACAAGTTTCTGAGAATGCTTCTGTCTAGTTTTTATGGGAAGATATTTCCTTTTTCACCATAGGCCTCAAAGCGCTCGAAATGTCCACTTCCAGATAGTGCAGAAAGAGTGTTTCAAACGTGCTCTATAAAAGGGAATATTCAACTCTGTGACTTGAATGGAAACATCACAAAGCAGTTTCTGAGAATGCTTCCCTCTAGATTTTATATGGAGATATTCCCTTTTCCAACGAAATCTTCAAATCTATCTAAATATCAACTTGCAGATTCTACTCAAGGAATGTTTCCAAAATGCTGTATCCAAGCAATGGTTCAACTCTGTTAATTGAGGACATACAGCACAAAGAAGTTTCTGAGAATGCTTCTGTCTAGATTTTATATGAAGATATCCCGTTTCCAACGAAATCCTCAAATCTATCCAAATATCCACTTGCAGATTCTACAAAAAGATTGTTTCAAAACTGCTGTGTCAAAAGGAAGGTTCAACCCTGTTACTTGAGTACACACATCAAAAAGAAGTTTCTGAGAATGCTTGTTTCTGGTTTTTATCAGAAGATATTTCCTTTTTCACCATAGGCCTCAAAGCGCTGCAAATGTCCACTTCCAAATATTACAAAAAGAGTGTTTCAAACCTGCTCTATGAAAGGAAGTTTTCAACTCTATGAGTGGAATGCAAACATCACAGAGAAGTTTCTGAGAATGCATCTGTCTTGAGCGTCTATGAAGAAATTCCCGTTTCCAACGAAATCTTAAAATCTATCCAAATATCCACCTGCAGATCCTACAAAAGGAGTGTTTCCAAAATGCTGTATCAAAACAAAGGTTCAACTGTGTTCGTTTAGGACACACATCACAAATAAGTTTCTGAGAATCCTTCTGTCTAGTTTTTATTTGAAGATATTTCCTTTCTCCCCGTAGGCCTGAAAGCGCTTGAAATGTCCACTTCCAGATACTACAGAAAGAGTGTTTCAAACCTGCACTCTGAAAAGGAATGTTCAATTCTGTGACTTGAATGCAAACATCAGAAAGAAGTTCCTGAGAATGCTTCTCTCTAGATTTTATACGTCATCCCGTTTCCAACGAAATCCACAAAGCTATCCAATTATCCACTTTCAGATTCCACAAAAAGAGTGTTTTAAAATTGCTCTGTAACAGAAATGTTCAACTCTGTTAGTTGAATACACACATCACAAACAAGTTTCTGAGACGGCTTCTGTCTAGTTTTTATGGGAAGATATTTCCTTTTAACCATAGGCCTCAAAGAGCTCGAAATATCCACTTCCAGGTAGTGCCGAAAGAGTGTTTCAAACCTACTCTATAAAAGGGAATATTCAACTCTGTGACTTGAATGCAAACATCACAAAGCAGTTTCTGAGAATGCTTCCGTCTAGATTTTCTATGAAGATATTCCCGTTTCCAACGAAATCTTCAAAGCTATCTAAATATCAACTTGCAGATTCTACTAAAGGAATGTCTCCAAAATGCTGTATCCAAACAAAGGTTCAGCTCTGTGAATTGAGGACATACAGCACAAAGAAGTTTCTGAGAATGCTCCTGTCTGGATTTTATATGAAGATAACCCGTTTCCAACGAAATCCTCAAAGCTATCCAAATATCCACTTGCAGATTCTACCAAAAGAGTGTTTCAAAACTGCTCTGTCAAAAGGAAGGTTCAACACTGTTACTTGAGTACACACAACACAAAGAAGTTTCTGAGAATGCTTCTTTCTGGTTTTTATGAGAAGATATTTCCTTTTTCACCATAGGCCTCAAAGAGCTCGAAATGTCCGCTTCCAGGTAGGGCAGAAAGAGTGTTTCAAACCTGCTCTATGAAAGGAAGTGTTCAACTCTACTGAGTTGAATGCAAACATCACAGAGATGTTTCCGAGAATGCTTCTGTCTTGATTTTATAGGAAGATATTCCGGTTTCCAACGAAATCTTCAAAGCTATCCACATATCCACCTGCAGATTCTACAAAAGGAGTGTTTCCAAAATGCTGTATCAAAACAAAGGTTCAACTCTGTTAGTTGAGGACACACATCACAAATAAGTTTCTGAGAATGCTTCTGTCTAGTTTTTATTTGAAGGTATTTCCTTTCTCTCCATAGGCCTGAAAGCGCTTGAAATGCCCACTTCCAGATACTAGAGAAAGAGTGTTTCAAACCTGCTCTATGAAAGGGAATGTTCAATTCTGTGACTTGAATGCAAACATCACAAAGAAGTTCCTGAGAATGCTTCTCTCTAGATATTATATGTCATCCCGTTTCCAACGAAATCCTCAAAGCTATCCAAATATCCACTTGCAGATTCTACAAAAAGAGTGTTTCAAAACTGCTCTGTCAAAAGGATGGTTCAACACTGTTACATGAGTACACACAACACAAAGAAGTTTCTGAGAATGCTTCTTTCTGGTTTCTATGAGAAGATATTTCCTTTTTCACCATAGTACTCAAAGCGCTCGAAATGTCCTCTTCCAAGTAGTGCAGAAAGAGTGTTTCAAACCTGCTCTATGAAAGGAAGTGTACAACTCCATGAGCTGAATGCAAACATCACTGAGAAGTTTCTGAGAATGCTTCTGTTTGATTTTATATGAAGAAATTCCCGTTTCCAACGAAATCTTCAGAGCTATCCACATATCCACCTGCAGATTCTACAAAAGGAGTGTTTCCAAAATGCTGTATCAAAACCAAGGTTCAACTCTGTTAGTTGAGGACACACATCACAAATAAGTTTCTGAGAATGCTTCTGTCTAGATTTTATATGAAGATATCCCCTTTCCAACGAATCCCTCTAAGCTATCCAAATATCCACCTGCAGATTCTACAAAAAGAGTGTTTCCAAAATGCTGTATCAAAACAAAGTTTCAACTCTGTTAGTTGAGGACACACATCACAAATAAGTTTCTGAGAATGCTTCTGTCTAGATTTTATATGAAGATATCCCCTTTCCAACGAATCCCTCTAAGCTATCCAAATATCCACCTGCAGATTCTACAAAAAGAGTGTTTCCAAAATGCTGTATCAAAACAAAGTTTCAACTCTGTTAGTTGAGGACACACATCACAAATAAGTTTCTGAGGATGCTCTGTCTAGTTTCTATTTGAAGATATTTCCTTTCTCCCCATAGGCCTGAAAGCGCTTGAATTGTCGGCTTCCAGATACTACAGAATGAGTGTTTCAAACCTGCTCTATCAAAGTGAATGTTCAATTCTGTGACTTCAATGCAAACATCACAAAGTAGTTCCTGAGAATGCTTTCTCTCTAGGTTTTATATGTTATCCCGCTTCCAACGAGGTCCTCAAAGCCATCCGAATATCCACTTTCTGATTCCACAAAAAGATTGTCTTAAAACTGCTCTGTAAAAACAAAAGTTCAAGTCTGTTAGTTGAATACACACATCACAAACAAGATTCTGAGAATGCTTCTGTCTAGTTTTTATGGGAAGATATTTCCTTTTTCACCATAGGCCTCAAAGCGCTCGAAATGTCCACTTCCAGATAGCGCAGAAAGAGTGTTTCAAACGTGCTCTATAAAAGGGAATATTCAACTCTGTGACTTGAAAGGAAACATCACAAAGCAGTTTCTGAGAATGCTTCCCTCTAGATTTTATATGGAGATATTCCGTTTTCGAACGAAATCTTCAAATCTATCTAAATATCAACTTGCAGATTCTACTCAAGGAATGTTTCCAAAATGCTGTATGCAAGCAATGGTTCAACTCTGTTAATTGAGGTCATACAGCACAAAGAAGTTTCTGAGAATGCTTCTGTCTAGATTTTATATGAAGATATCCCGTTTCCAACGAAATCCTCAAAGCTATCCAAATATCCACTTGCAGATTCTACAAAAAGATTGTTTCAAAACTGCTGTGTCAAGAGGAAGGTTCAACTCTGTTACTTGAGTACACACATCAAAAAGAAGTTTCTGAGAATGCTTGTTTCTGGTTTTTATGAGAAGATATTTCCTTTTTCACCATAGGCCTCAAAGCGCTGCAAATGTCCACTTCCAAATATTACAAAAAGAGTGTTTCAAACCTGCTCTATGAAAGGAAGTTTTCAACTCTATGAGTGGAATGCAAACATCACAGAGAAGTTTCTGAGAATGCACTGTCTTGAGTTTATATGAAGAAATTCCCGTTTCCAACGAAATCTTAAAATCTATCCAAATATCCACCTGCAGATTCTACAAAGGGAGTGTTTCCAAAATGCTGTATCAAAACAAAGGTTCAACTGTGTTCGTTTAGGACACACATCACCAATAAGTTTCTGAGAATCCTTTCTGTCTAGTTTTTATTTGAAGATATTTCCTTTCTCCCCGTAGGCCTGAAAGCGCTTGAAATGTCCACTTCCAGATACTACAGAAAGAGTGTTTCAAACCTGCACTCTGAAAAGGAATGTTCAATTCTGTGACTTGAATGCAAACATCAGAAAGAAGTTCCTGAGAATGCTTCTCTCTAGATTTTATACGTCATCCCGTTTCCAACGAAATCCACAAAGCTATCCAATTATCCACTTTCAGATTCCACAAAGAGTGTTTTAAAATTGCTCTGTAACAGAAATGTTCAACTCTGTTAGTTGAATACACACATCACAAACAAGTTTCTGAGACGGCTTCTGTCTAGTTTTTATGGGAAGATATTTCCTTTTAACCATAGGCCTCAAAGAGCTCGAAATATCCACTTCCAGGTAGTGCCGAAAGAGTGTTTCAAACCTACTCTATAAAAGGGAATATTCAACTCTGTGACTTGAATGCAAACATCACAAAGCAGTTTCTGAGAATGCTTCCGTCTAGATTTTCTATGAAGATATTCCCGTTTCCAACGAAATCTTCAAAGCTATCTAAATATCAACTTGCAGATTCTACTAAAGGAATGTCTCCAAAATGCTGTATCCAAACAAAGGTTCAGCTCTGTGAATTGAGGACATACAGCACAAAGAAGTTTCTGAGAATGCTCCTGTCTGGTATTTTATAGGAAGATAACCCGTTTCCAACGAAATCCTCAAAGCTATCCAAATATCCACTTGCAGATTCTACCAAAAGAGTGTTTCAAAACTACTCTGTCAAAAGGAAGGTTCAACACTGTTACTTGAGTACACACAACACAAAGAAGTTTCTGAGAATGCTTCTTTCTGGTTTTTATGAGAAGATATTTCCTTTTTCACCATAGGCCTCAAAGCGCTCGAAATGTCCGCTTCCAGGTAGTGCAGAAAGAGTGTTTCAAACCTGCTCTATGAAAGGAAGTGTTCAACTCTACTGAGTTGAATGCAAACATCACAGAGATGTTTCCGAGAATGCTTCTGTCTTGATTTTATATGAAGATATTCCGGTTTCCAACGAAATCTTCAAAGCTATCCAAATATCCACCTGCAGATTCTACAAAAGGAGTGTTTCCAAAATGCTGTATCAAAACAAAGGTTCAACTCTGTTAGTTGAGGACACACATCACAAATAAGTTTCTGAGAATGCTTCTGTCTAGTTTTTATTTGAAGGTATTTCCTTTCTCTCCATAGGCCTGAAAGCGCTTGAAATGCCCACTTCCAGATACTAGAGAAAGAGTGTTTCAAACCTGCTCTATGAAAGGGAATGTTCAATTCTGTGACTTCAATGCAAACATCACAAAGAAGTTCCTGAGAATGCTTCTCTCTAGATTTTATACGTAATCCCGCTTCCAACGAAATCCTCAGAGCCATCCGAATATCCACTTTCTGATTCCACAAAAAGAGTGTTTTAAAACGGCTCTGTAAAAACAAAAGTTCAACTCTGTTAGTTGAATACACACATCACAAACAAGTTTCTGAGAATGCTTCTGTCTAGTTTTTATGGGAAGATATTTCCTTTTTCACCATAGGCCTCAAAGCGCTCGAAATGTCCACTTCCAGATAGTGCCGAAAGAGTGTTTCAAACGTGCTCTATAAAAGGGAATATTCAACTCCTGTGACTTGAATGGAAACATCACAAAGCAGTTTCTGAGAATGCCTCCCCTCTAGATTTTATATGGAGATATTCCCTTTTCCAACGAAATCTTCAAATCTATCTAAATATCAACTTGCAGATTCTACTCAAGGAATGTTTCCAAAATGCTGTATCCAAGCAATGGTTCAACTCTGTTAATTGAGGACATACAGCACAAAGAAGTTTCTGAGAATGCTTCTGTCTAGATTTTATATGAAGATATCCCGTTTCCAACGAAATCCTCAAAGCTATCCAAATATCCACTTGCAGATTCTACAAAAAGATTGTTTCAAAACTGCTGTGTCAAAAGGAAGGTTCAACTCTGTTACTTGAGTACACACATCAAAAAGAAGTTTCTGAGAATGCTTGTTTCTGGTTTTTATGAGAAGATATTTCCTTTTTCACCATAGGCCTCAAAGCGCTGCAAATGTCCACTTCCAAATATTACAAAAAGAGTGTTTCAAACCTGCTCTATGAAAGGAAGTTTTCAACTCTATGAGTGGAATGCAAACATCACAGAGAAGTTTCTGAGAATGCATCTGTCTTGAGCTTCTATGAAGAAATTCCCGTTTCCAACGAAATCTTAAAATCTATCCAAATATCCACCTGCAGATCCTACAAAAGGAGTGTTTCCAAAATGCTGTATCAAAACAAAGGTTCAACTGTGTTCGTTTAGGACACACATCACAAATAAGTTTCTGAGAATCCTTCTGTCTAGTTTTTATTTGAAGATATTTCCTTTCTCCCCGTAGGCCTGAAAGCGCTTGAAATGTCCACTTCCAGATACTACAGAAAGAGTGTTTCAAACCTGCACTCTGAAAAGGAATGTTCAATTCTGTGACTTGAATGCAAACATCAGAAAGAAGTTCCCTGAGAATGCTTTCTCTCTAGATTTTATACGTAATCCCGTTTCCAACGAAATCCACAAAACTATCCAATTATCCACTTTCAGATTCCACAAAAAGAGTGTTTTAAAACTGCTCTGTAAAAAGAAATGTTCAACGCTCTTAGTTGAATACACACATCTCAAACCAGTTTCTGAGAAGGCTTCTGTCTAGTTTTTATGGGAAGATATTTCCTTTTAACCATAGGCCTCATAAGAGCTCGAAATATCCACTTCCAGGTAGTGCCGAAAGAGTGTTTCAAACCTACTCTATAAAAGGGAATATTCAACTCTGTGACTTGAATGCAAACATCACAAAGCAGTTTCTGAGAATGCTTCCGTCTAGATTTTCTATGAAGATATTCCCGTTTCCAACGAAATCTTCAAAGCTATCTAAATATCAACTTGCAGATTCTACTAAAGGAATGTCTCCAAAATGCTGTATCCAAACAAAGGTTCAGCTCTGTGAATTGAGGACATACAGCACAAAGAAGTTTCTGAGAATGCTCCTGTCTGGATTTTATAGGAAGATAACCCGTTTCCAACGAAATCCTCAAAGCTCTCCAAATATCCACTTGCAGATTCTACCAAAAGAGTGTTTCAAAACTGCTCTGTCAAAAGGAAGGTTCAACACTGTTACTTGAGTACACACAACACAAAGAAGTTTCTGAGAATGCTTCTTTCTGGTTTTTATGAGAAGATATTTCCTTTTTCACCATAGGCCTCAAAGCGCTCGAAATGTCCGCTTCCAGGTAGTGCAGAAAGAGTGTTTCAAACCTGCTCTATGAAAGGAAGTGTTCAACTCTACTGAGTTGAATGCAAACATCACAGAGATGTTTCCGAGAATGCTTCTGTCTTGATTTTATATGAAGATATTCCGGTTTCCAACGAAATCTTCAAAGCTACCCAAATATCCACCTGCAGATTCTACAAAAGGAGTGTTTCCAAAATGCTGTATCAAAACAAAGGTTCAACTCTGTTAGTTGAGGACACACATCACAAATAAGTTTCTGAGAATGCTTCTGTCTAGTTTTTATTTGAAGGTATTTCCTTTCTCTCCATAGGCCTGAAAGCGCTTGAAATGCCCACTTCCAGATACTAGAGAAAGAGTGTTTCAAACCTGCTCTATGAAAGGGAATGTTCAATTCTGTGACTTGAATGCAAACATCACAAAGAAGTTCCTGAGAATGCTTCTCTCTAGATATTATATGTCATCCCGTTTCCAACGAAATCCTCAAAGCTATCCAAATATCCACTTGCAGATTCTACAAAAAGAGTGTTTCAAAACTGCTCTGTCAAAAGGATGGTTCAACACTGTTACATGAGTACACACAACACAAAGAAGTTTCTGAGAATGCTTCTTTCTGGTTTCTATGAGAAGATATTTCCTTTTTCACCATAGGACTCAAAGCGCTCGAAATGTCCTCTTCCAGGTAGTGCAGAAAGAGTGTTTCAAACCTGCTCTATGAAAGGAAGTGTACAACTCCATGAGCTGAATGCAAACATCACTGAGAAGTTTCTGAGAATGCTCTGTTTGATTTTATATGAAGAAATTCCCGTTTCCAACGAAATCTTCAGAGCTATCCACATATCCACCTGCAGATTCTACAAAAGGAGTGTTTCCAAAATGCTGTATCAAAACAAAGGTTCAACTCTGTTAGTTGAGGACACACATCACAAATAAGTTTCTGAGAATGCTTCTGTCTAGATTCTATATGAAGATATCCCCTTTCCAACGAATCCCTCTAAGCTATCCAAATATCCACCTGCAGATTCTACAAAAAGAGTGTTTCCAAAATGCTGTATCAAAACAAAGTTTCAACTCTGTTAGTTGAGGACACACATCACAAATAAGTTTGAGGATGCTTCTGTCTAGTTTTTATTTGAAGATATTTCCTTTCTCCCCATAGGCCTGAAAGCGCTAGAATTGTCCGCTTCCAGATACTACAGAATGAGTGTTTCAAACCTGCTCTATCAAAGTGAATGTTCAATTCTGTGACATCAATGCAAACATCACAAAGTAGTTCCTGAGAATGCTTCTCTCTAGATTTTATATGTAATCCCGCTTCCAACGAAATCCTCAAAGCCATCCGAATATCCACTTTCTGATTCCACAAAAAGATTGTCTTAAAACTGCTCTGTAAAAACAAAAGTTCAAGTCTGTTAGTTGAATACACACATCATAAACAAGTTTCTGAGAATGCTTCTGTCTAGTTTTTATGGGAAGATATTTCCTTTTTCACCATAGGCCTCACAGCGCTCGAAATGTCCACTTCCAGATAGTGCAGAAAGAGTGTTTCAAACGTGCTCTATAAAAGAGAATATTCAACTCTGTGACTTCTATGGAAACATCACAAAGCAGTTTCTGAGAATGCCTCCGTCTAGATTTTATATGAAGATATTCCCGTTTCCAACGAAATCTTCAAATCTATCTAAATATCAACTTGCAGATTCTACTAAAGGAATGTTTCCAAAACGCTGTATCCAAGCAATGGTTCAACTCTGTTAATTGAGGACATACAGCACAAAGAAGTTTCTGAGAATGCTTCTGTCTAGATTTTATATGAAGATATCCCGTTTCCAACGAAATCCTCAAATCTATCCAAATATCCACTTGCAGATTCTACAAAAAGATTGTTTCAAAACTGCTGTGTCAAAAGGAAGGTTCAACTCTGTTACTTGAGTACACACATCAAAAAGAAGTTTCTGAGAATGCTTGTTTCTGGTTTTTATGAGAAGATATTTCCTTTTTCACCATAGGTCTCAAAGCGCTGCAAATGTCCACTTCCAAATATTACAAAAAGAGTGTTTCAAACCTGCTCTATGAAAGGAAGTTTTCAGCTCTATGAGTGGAATGCAAACATCACAGAGAAGTTTCGGAGAATGCATCTGTCTTGAGTTTATATGAAGAAATTCCCGTTTCCAACGAAATCTTAAAATCTATCCAAATATCCACCTGCAGATTCTACAAAGGGAGTGTTTCCAAAATGCTGTATCAAAACAAAGGTTCAACTGTGTTCGTTGAGGACACACATCACCAATAAGTTTCTGAGAATCCTTCTGTCTAGTTTTTATTTGAAGATATTTCCTTTCTCCCCATAGGCCTGAAAGCGCTTGAAATGTCCACTTCCAGATACTACAGAAAGAGTGTTTCAAACCTGCACTATGAAAAGGAATGTTCAATTCTCTGACTTGAATGCAAACATCAGAAAGAAGTTCCTGAGAATGCTTCTCTCTAGATTTTATACGTCATCCCGTTTCCAACGAAATCCACAAAGCTATCCAACTATCCACTTTCAGATTCCACAAAAAGAGTGTTTTAAAACTGCTCTGTAAAAAGAAATGTTCAACGCTCTTACTTGAATACACACATCTCAAACAAGTTTCTGAGAAGGCTTCCGTCTAGTTTTTATGGGAAGATATTTCCTTTTTCACCATAGGCCTCAAAGCGCTCGAAATCTCCACTTCCAGGGAGTGCAGAAAGAGTGTTTCAAACCTGCTCTGTAAAAGAATATTTAACTCTGTGACTTGAATGCAAACATCACAAAGCAGTTTCTGACAATGCTTCCGTCTAGATTTTTTATGAAGATATTCCCGTATCCAACGAAATCTTCAAAGCTATCTAAATATCAACTTGCAGATTCTACTAAAGGAATGTTTCCAAAATGCTGTATCCAAACAAAGGTTCAACTCTGTGAATTGAGGACATACAGCACAAAGAAGTTTCTGAGAATGCTCCTGTCTGGATTTTATATGAAGATAACCCGTTTCCAACGAAATCCTCAAAGCTCTCCAAATATCCACTTGCAGATTCTACCAAAAGAGTGTTTCAAAACTGCTCTGTCAAAAGGAAGGTTCAACACTGTTACTTGAGTACACACAACACAAAGAAGTTTCTGAGAATGCTTTCTTTCTGGTTTTTATGAGAGAATTTCCTTTTTCACCATAGGCCTCAAAGCGCTCGAAATGTCCGCTTCCAGGTAGTGCAGAAAGAGTGTTTCAAACCTGCTCTATGAAAGGAAGTGTTCAACTCTACTGAGTTGAATGCAAACATCACAGAGATGTTTCCGAGAATGCTTCTGTCTTGATTTTATATGAAGATATTCCGGTTTCCAACGAAATCTTCAAAGCTATCCAAATATCCACCTGCAGATTCTACAAAAGGAGTGTTTCCAAAATGCTGTATCAAAACAAAGGTTCAACTCTGTTAGTTGAGGACACACATCACAAATAAGTTTCTGAGAATGCTTCTGTCTAGTTTTTATTTGAAGGTATTTCCTTTCTCTCCATAGGCCTGAAAGCGCTTGAAATGCCCACTTCCAGATACTAGAGAAAGAGTGTTTCAAACCTGCTCTATGAAAGGGAATGTTCAATTCTGTGACTTGAATGCAAACATCACAAAGAAGTTCCTGAGAATGCTTCTCTCTAGATATTATATGTCATCCCGTTTCCAACGAAATCCTCAAAGCTATCCAAATATCCACTTGCAGATTCTACAAAAAGAGTGTTTCAAAACTGCTCTGTCAAAAGGATGGTTCAACACTGTTACATGAGTACACACAACACAAAGAAGTTTCTGAGAATGCTTCTTTCTGGTTTCTATGAGAAGATATTTCCTTTTTCACCATAGGACTCAAAGCGCTCGAAATGTCCTCTTCCAGGTAGTGCAGAAAGAGTGTTTCAAACCGGCTCTATGAAAGGAAGTGTTCAACTCCATGAACTGAATGCAAACATCACTGAGAAGTTTCTGAGAATGCTTCTGTTTGATTTTATATGAAGAAATTCCCGTTTCCAACGAAATCTTCAGAGCTATCCACATATCCACCTGCAGATTCTACAAAAGGAGTGTTTCCAAAATGCTGTATCAAAACCAAAGTTCAACTCTGTTAGTTGAGGACACACATCACAAATAAGTTTCTGAGAATGCTTCTGTCTAGATTTTATATGAAGATATCCCCTTTCCAACGAATCCCTCTAAGCTATCCAAATATCCACCTGCAGATTCTACAAAAAGAGTGTTTCCAAAATGCTGTATCAAAACAAAGTTTCAACTCTGTTAGTTGAGGACACACATCACAAATAAGTTTGAGGATGCTTCTGTCTAGTTTTTATTCGAAGATATTTCCTTTCTCACCATAGGCCTGAAAGCGCTTGAAATGTCCACTTCCAGATACTACAGAATGAGTGTTTCAAACCTGCTCTATCAAAGTGAATGTTCAATTCTGTGACTTCAATGCAAACATCACAAAGAAGTTCCTGAGAATGCTTCTCTCTAGATTTTATACGTAATCCCGCTTCCAACGAAATCCTCAGAGCCATCCGAATATCCACTTTCTGATTCCACAAAAAGAGTGTTTTAAAACGGCTCTGTAAAAACAAAAGTTCAACTCTGTTAGTTGAATACACACATCACAAACAAGTTTCTGAGAATGCTTCTGTCTAGTTTTTATTGGAAGATATTTCCTTTTTCACCATAGGCCTCAAAGCGCTCGAAATGTCCGCTTCCAGATAGTGCAGAAAGAGTGTTTCAAACGTGCTCTATAAAAGGGAATATTCAACTCTGTGACTTGAATGGAAACATCACAAAGCAGTTTCTGAGAATGCTTCCCTCTAGATTTTATATGGAGATATTCCCTTTTCCAACGAAATCTTCAAATCTATCTAAATATCAACTTGCAGATTCTACTCAAGGAATGTTTCCAAAATGCTGTATCCAGGCAATGGTTCAACTCTGTTAATTGAGGACATACAGCACAAAGAAGTTTCTGAGAATGCTTCTGTCTAGATTTTATATGAAGATATCCCGTTTCCAACGAAATCCTCAAAGCTATCCAAATATCCACTTGCAGATTCTACAAAAAGATTGTTTCAAAACTGCTGTGTCAAGAGGAAGGTTCAACTCTGTTACTTGAGTACACACATCAAAAAGAAGTTTCTGAGAATGCTTGTTTCTGGTTTTTATGAGAAGATATTTCCTTTTTCACCATAGGCCTCAAAGCGCTGCAAATGTCCACTTCCAAATATTACAAAAAGAGTGTTTCAAACCTGCTCTATGAAAGGAAGTTTTCAACTCTATGAGTGGAATGCAAACATCACAGAGAAGTTTCTGAGAATGCATCTGTCTTGAGCTTCTATGAAGAAATTCCCGTTTCCAACGAAATCTTAAAATCTATCCAAATATCCACCTGCAGATCCTACAAAAGGAGTGTTTCCAAAATGCTGTATCAAAACAAAGGTTCAACTGTGTTCGTTTAGGACACACATCACAAATAAGTTTCTGAGAATCCTTCTCTCTAGTTTTTATTTGAAGATATTTCCTTTCTCCCCGTAGGCCTGAAAGCGCTTGAAATGTCCACTTCCAGATACTACAGAAAGAGTGTTTCAAACCTGCACTCTGAAAAGGAATGTTCAATTCTGTGACTTGAATGCAAACATCAGAAAGAAGTTCCTGAGAATGCTTCTCTCTAGATTTTATACGTCATCCCGTTTCCAACGAAATCCACAAAGCTATCCAATTATCCACTTTCAGATTCCACAAAAAGAGTGTTTTAAAATTGCTCTGTAACAGAAATGTTCAACTCTGTTAGTTGAATACACACATCACAAACAAGTTTGCTGAGACGGCTTCTGTCTAGTTTTTATGGGAAGATATTTCCTTTTAACCATAGGCCTCAAAGAGCTCGAAATATCCACTTCCAGGTAGTGCCGAAAGAGTGTTTCAAACCTACTCTATAAAAGGGAATATTCAACTCTGTGACTTGAATGCAAACATCACAAAGCAGTTTCTGAGAATGCTTCCGTCTAGATTTTCTATGAAGATATTCCCGTTTCCAACGAAATCTTCAAAGCTATCTAAATATCAACTTGCAGATTCTACTAAAGGAATGTCTCCAAAATGCTGTATCCAAACAAAGGTTCAGCTCTGTGAATTGAGGACATACAGCACAAAGAAGTTTCTGAGAATGCTCCTGTCTGGATTTTATAGGAAGATAACCCGTTTCCAACGAAATCCTCAAAGCTATCCAAATATCCACTTGCAGATTCTACCAAAAGAGTGTTTCAAAACTACTCTGTCAAAAGGAAGGTTCAACACTGTTACTTGAGTACACACAACACAAAGAAGTTTCTGAGAATGCTTCTTTCTGGTTTTTATGAGAAGATATTTCCTTTTTCACCATAGGCCTCAAAGCGCTCAAAATGTCCGCTTCCAGGTAGTG
This sequence comes from Homo sapiens, assembly GCF_000001405.40. Classification (NCBI taxonomy): domain Eukaryota; kingdom Metazoa; phylum Chordata; class Mammalia; order Primates; family Hominidae; genus Homo; species Homo sapiens. The sequence continues at coordinate 50,594,775 of NC_000004.12, read as the reverse complement.
CAGAAAGAGTGTTTCAAACCTGCTCTATGAAAGGAAGTGTTCAACTCTACTGAGTTGAATGCAAACATCACAGAGATGTTTCCGAGAATGCTTCTGTCTTGATTTTATAGGAAGATATTCCGGTTTCCAACGAAATCTTCAAAGCTATCCACATATCCACCTGCAGATTCTACAAAAGGAGTGTTTCCAAAATGCTGTATCAAAACAAAGGTTCAACTCTGTTAGTTGAGGACACACATCACAAATAAGTTTCTGAGAATGCTTCTGTCTAGTTTTTATTTGAAGGTATTTCCTTTCTCTCCATAGGCCTGAAAGCGCTTGAAATGCCCACTTCCAGATACTAGAGAAAGAGTGTTTCAAACCTGCTCTATGAAAGGGAATGTTCAATTCTGTGACTTGAATGCAAACATCACAAAGAAGTTCCTGAGAATGCTTCTCTCTAGATATTATATGTCATCCCGTTTCCAACGAAATCCTCAAAGCTATCCAAATATCCACTTGCAGATTCTTCAAAAAGAGTGTTTCAAAACTGCTCTGTCAAAAGGATGGTTCAACACTGTTACATGAGTACACACAACACAAAGAAGTTTCTGAGAATGCTTCTTTCTGGTTTCTATGAGAAGATATTTCCTTTTTCACCATAGGACTCAAAGCGCTCGAAATGTCCGCTTCCAGGTAGTGCAGAAAGAGTGTTTCAAACCGGCTCTATGAAGGGAAGTGTTCAACTCCATGAACTGAATGCAAACATCACTGAGAAGTTTCTGAGAATGCTTCTGTTTGATTTTATATGAAGAAATTCCCGTTTCCAACGAAATCTTCAGAGCTATCCACATATCCACCTGCAGATTCTACAAAAGGAGTGTTTCCAAAATGCTGTATCAAAACCAAAGTTCAACTCTGTTAGTTGAGGACACACATCACAAATAAGTTTCTGAGAATGCTTCTGTCTAGATTTTATATGAAGATATCCCCTTTCCAACGAATCCCTCTAAGCTATCAAAATATCCACCTGCAGATTCTACAAAAAGAGTGTTTCCAAAATGCTGTATCAAAACAAAGTTTCAACTCTGTTAGTTGAGGACACACATCACAAATAAGTTTCTGAGGATGCTTCTGTCTAGTTTTTATTCGAAGATATTTCCTTTCTCACCATAGGCCTGAAAGCGCTTGAAATGTCCACTTCCAGATACTACAGAATGAGTGTTTCAAACCTGCTCTATCAAAGTGAATGTTCAATTCTGTGACTTCAATGCAAACATCAGAAAGAAGTTCCTGAGAATGCTTCTCTCTAGATTTTTTACGTAATCCCGCTTCCAACGAAATCCTCAGAGCCATCCGAATATCCACTTTCTGATTCCACAAAAAGAGTGTTTTAAAACGGCTCTGTAAAAACAAAAGTTCAACTCTGTTAGTTGAATACACACATCACAAACAAGTTTCTGAGAATGCTTCCGTCTAGTTTTTATGGGAAGATATTTCCTTTTTCACCACAGGCCTCAAAGCGCTCGAAATCTCCACTTCCAGGGAGTGCAGAAAGAGTGTTTCAAACCTGCTCTGTAAAAGAATATTTAACTCTGTGACTTGAATGCAAACATCACAAAGCAGTTTCTGACAATGCTTCCGTCTAGATTTTTTATGAAGATATTCCCGTTTCCAACGAAATCTTCAAAGCTATCTAAATATCAACTTGCAGATTCTACTAAAGGAATGTTTCCAAAATGCTGTATCCAAACAAAGGTTCAACTCTGTGAATTGAGGACATACAGCACAAAGAAGTTTCTGAGAATGCTTCTGTCTAGATTTAATATGAAGATAACCCGTTTCCAACGAAATCCTCAAAGCTATCCAAATATCCACTTGCAGATTCTACAAAAAGAGTGTTTCAAAACTGCTCTGTCAAAAGGATGGTTCAACACTGTTACATGAGTACACACAACACAAAGAAGTTTCTGAGAACGCTTCTTTCTGGTTTTTATGAGAGGATATTTCCTTTTTCACCATAGGCCTCAAAGCGCTCGAAATGTCCACTTCCAGGTAGTGCAGAAAGAGTGTTTCAAACCTGCTCTATGAAAGGAAGTGTTCAACTCCATGAGCTGAATGCAAACATCACAGAGAAGTTCCTGAGAATGCTTCTGTTTGATTTTATATGAAGAAATTCCCGTTTCCAACGAAATCTTCAGAGCTATCCACATATCCACATGCAGATTCTACAAAAGGAGTGTTTCCAAAATGCTGTATCAAAACCAAGGTTCAACTCTGTTAGTTGAGGACACACATCACAAATAAGTTTCTGAGAATGCTTCTGTCTAGATTTTATATGAAGATATCCCCTTTCCAACGAATCCCTCTAAGCTATCCAAATATCCACCTGCAGATTCTACAAAAAGAGTGTTTCCAAAATGCTGTATCAAAACAAAGTTTCAACTCTGTTATTTGAGGACACACATCACAAATAAGTTTCTGAGGATGCTTCTGTCTAGTTTTTATTCGAAGATATTTCCTTTCTCACCATAGGCCTGAAAGCGCTTGAAATGTCCACTTCCAGATACTACAGAATGAGTGTTTCAAACCTGCTCTATAAAAGTGAATGTTCAATTCCGTGACTTCAATGCAAACATCAGAAAGAAGTTCCTGAGAATGCTTCTCTCTAGATTTTATACGTAATCCCGCTTCCAACGAAATCCTCAGAGCCATCCGAATATCCACTTTCTGATTCCACAAAAAGAGTGTTTTAAAACGGCTCTGTAAAAACAAAAGTTCAACTCTGTTAGTTGAATACACACATCACAAACAAGTTTCTGAGAATGCTTCTGTCTAGTTTTTATGGGAAGATATTTCCTTTTTCACCATAGGCCTCAAAGCGCTCGAAATGTCCGCTTCCAGATAGTGCAGAAAGAGTGTTTCAAACGTGCTCTATAAAAGGGAATATTCAACTCTGTGACTTGAATGGAAACATCACAAAGCAGTTTCTGAGAATGCTTCCCTCTAGATTTTATATGGAGATATTCCCTTTTCCAACGAAATCTTCAAATCTATCTAAATATCAACTTGCAGATTCTACTCAAGGAATGTTTCCAAAATGCTGTATCCAGGCAATGGTTCAACTCTGTTAATTGAGGACATACAGCACAAAGAAGTTTCTGAGAATGCTTCTGTCTAGATTTTATATGAAGATATCCCGTTTCCAACGAAATCCTCAAAGCTATCCAAATATCCACTTGCAGATTCTACAAAAAGATTGTTTCAAAACTGCTGTGTCAAGAGGAAGGTTCAACTCTGTTACTTGAGTACACACATCAAAAAGAAGTTTCTGAGAATGCTTGTTTCTGGTTTTTATGAGAAGATATTTCCTTTTTCACCATAGGCCTCAAAGCGCTGCAAATGTCCACTTCCAAATATTACAAAAAGAGTGTTTCAAACCTGCTCTATGAAAGGAAGTTTTCAACTCTATGAGTGGAATGCAAACATCACAGAGAAGTTTCTGAGAATGCATCTGTCTTGAGCTTCTATGAAGAAATTCCCGTTTCCAACGAAATCTTAAAATCTATCCAAATATCCACCTGCAGATCCTACAAAAGGAGTGTTTCCAAAATGCTGTATCAAAACAAAGGTTCAACTGTGTTCGTTTAGGACACACATCACAAATAAGTTTCTGAGAATCCTTCTGTCTAGTTTTTATTTGAAGATATTTCCTTTCTCCCCACAGGCCTGAAAGCGCTTGAAATGTCCACTTCCAGATACTACAGAAAGAGTGTTTCAAACCTGCACTATGAAAAGGAATGTTCAATTCTGTGACTTGAATGCAAACATCAGAAAGAAGTTCCTGAGAATGCTTCTCTCTAGATTTTATACGTCATCCCGTTTCCAACGAAATCCACAAAGCTATCCAATTATCCACTTTCAGATTCCACAAAAAGAGTGTTTTAAATTGCTCTGTAACAGAAATGTTCAACTCTGTTAGTTGAATACACACATCACAAACAAGTTTCTGAGACGGCTTCTGTCTAGTTTTTATGGGAAGATATTTCCTTTTAACCATAGGCCTCAAAGAGCTCGAAATATCCACTTCCAGGTAGTGCCGAAAGAGTGTTTCAAACCTACTCTATAAAAGGGAATATTCAACTCTGTGACTTGAATGCAAACATCACAAAGCAGTTTCTGAGAATGCTTCCGTCTAGATTTTTTATGAAGATATTCCCGTTTCCAACGAAATCTTCAAAGCTATCTAAATATCAACTTGCAGATTCTACTAAAGGAATGTTTCCAAAATGCTGTATCCAAACAAAGGTTCAACTCTGTGAATTGAGGACATACAGCACAAAGAAGTTTCTGAGAATGCTCCTGTCTGGATTTTATAGGAAGATAACCCGTTTCCAACGAAATCCTCAAAGCTATCCAAATATCCACTTGCAGATTCTACCAAAAGAGTGTTTCAAAACTACTCTGTCAAAAGGAAGGTTCAACACTGTTACTTGAGTACACACAACACAAAGAAGTTTCTGAGAATGCTTCTTTCTGGTTTTTATGAGAAGATATTTCCTTTTTCACCATAGGCCTCAAAGCGCTCGAAATGTCCGCTTCCAGGTAGTGCAGAAAGAGTGTTTCAAACCTGCTCTATGAAAGGAAGTGTTCAACTCTACTGAGTTGAATGCAAACATCACAGAGATGTTTCCGAGAATGCTTCTGTCTTGATTTTATATGAAGATATTCCGGTTTCCAACGAAATCTTCAAAGCTATCCAAATATCCACCTGCAGATTCTACAAAAGGAGTGTTTCCAAAATGCTGTATCAAAACAAAGGTTCAACTCTGTTAGTTGAGGACACACATCACAAATAAGTTTCTGAGAATGCTTCTGTCTAGTTTTTATTTGAAGGTATTTCCTTTCTCTCCATAGGCCTGAAAGCGCTTGAAATGCCCACTTCCAGATACTAGAGAAAGAGTGTTTCAAACCTGCTCTATGAAAGGGAATGTTCAATTCCGTGACTTCAATGCAAACATCACAAAGAAGTTCCTGAGAATGCTTCTCTCTAGATTTTATACGTAATCCCGCTTCCAACGAAATCCTCAGAGCCATCCGAATATCCACTTTCTGATTCCACAAAAAGAGTGTTTTAAAACGGCTCTGTAAAAACAAAAGTTCAACTCTGTTAGTTGAATACACACATCACAAACAAGTTTCTGAGAATGCTTCTGTCTAGTTTTTATGGGAAGATATTTCCTTTTTCACCATAGGCCTCAAAGCGCTCGAAATGTCCGCTTCCAGATAGTGCAGAAAGAGTGTTTCAAACGTGCTCTATAAAAGGGAATATTCAACTCTGTGACTTGAATGGAAACATCACAAAGCAGTTTCTGAGAATGCTTCCCTCTAGATTTTATATGGAGATATTCCCTTTTCCAACGAAATCTTCAAATCTATCTAAATATCAACTTGCAGATTCTACTCAAGGAATGTTTCCAAAATGCTGTATCCAGGCAATGGTTCAACTCTGTTAATTGAGGACATACAGCACAAAGAAGTTTCTGAGAATGCTTCTGTCTAGATTTTATATGAAGATATCCCGTTTCCAACGAAATCCTCAAAGCTATCCAAATATCCACTTGCAGATTCTACAAAAAGATTGTTTCAAAACTGCTGTGTCAAGAGGAAGGTTCAACTCTGTTACTTGAGTACACACATCAAAAAGAAGTTTCTGAGAATGCTTGTTTCTGGTTTTTATGAGAAGATATTTCCTTTTTCACCATAGGCCTCAAAGCGCTGCAAATGTCCACTTCCAAATATTACAAAAAGAGTGTTTCAAACCTGCTCTATGAAAGGAAGTTTTCAACTCTATGAGTGGAATGCAAACATCACAGAGAAGTTTCTGAGAATGCATCTGTCTTGAGCTTCTATGAAGAAATTCCCGTTTCCAACGAAATCTTAAAATCTATCCAAATATCCACCTGCAGATCCTACAAAAGGAGTGTTTCCAAAATGCTGTATCAAAACAAAGGTTCAACTGTGTTCGTTTAGGACACACATCACAAATAAGTTTCTGAGAATCCTTCTGTCTAGTTTTTATTTGAAGATATTTCCTTTCTCCCCGTAGGCCTGAAAGCGCTTGAAATGTCCACTTCCAGATACTACAGAAAGAGTGTTTCAAACCTGCACTCTGAAAAGGAATGTTCAATTCTGTGACTTGAATGCAAACATCAGAAAGAAGTTCCTGAGAATGCTTCTCTCTAGATTTTATACGTCATCCCGTTTCCAACGAAATCCACAAAGCTATCCAATTATCCACTTTCAGATTCCACAAAGAGTGTTTTAAAATTGCTCTGTAACAGAAATGTTCAACTCTGTTAGTTGAATACACACATCACAAACAAGTTTCTGAGACGGCTTCTGTCTAGTTTTTATGGGAAGATATTTCCTTTTAACCATAGGCCTCAAAGAGCTCGAAATATCCACTTCCAGGTAGTGCCGAAAGAGTGTTTCAAACCTACTCTATAAAAGGGAATATTCAACTCTGTGACTTGAATGCAAACATCACAAAGCAGTTTCTGAGAATGCTTCCGTCTAGCATTTTCTATGAAGATATTCCCGTTTCCAACGAAATCTTCAAAGCTATCTAAATATCAACTTGCAGATTCTACTAAAGGAATGTCTCCAAAATGCTGTATCCAAACAAAGGTTCAGCTCTGTGAATTGAGGACATACAGCACAAAGAAGTTTCTGAGAATGCTCCTGTCTGGATTTTATATGAAGATAACCCGTTTCCAACGAAATCCTCAAAGCTCTCCAAATATCCACTTGCAGATTCTACCAAAAGAGTGTTTCAAAACTGCTCTGTCAAAAGGAAGGTTCAACACTGTTACTTGAGTACACACAACACAAAGAAGTTTCTGAGAATGCTTCTTTCTGGTTTTTATGAGAAGATATTTCCTTTTTCACCATAGGCCTCAAAGCGCTCGAAATGTCCGCTTCCAGGTAGTGCAGAAAGAGTGTTTCAAACCTGCTCTATGAAAGGAAGTGTTCAACTCTACTGAGTTGAATGCAAACATCACAGAGATGTTTCCGAGAATGCTTCTGTCTTGATTTTATAGGAAGATATTCCGGTTTCCAACGAAATCTTCAAAGCTATCCACATATCCACCTGCAGATTCTACAAAAGGAGTGTTTCCAAAATGCTGTATCAAAACAAAGGTTCAACTCTGTTAGTTGAGGACACACATCACAAATAAGTTTCTGAGAATGCTTCTGTCTAGTTTTTATTTGAAGGTATTTCCTTTCTCTCCATAGGCCTGAAAGCGCTTGAAATGCCCACTTCCAGATACTAGAGAAAGAGTGTTTCAAACCTGCTCTATGAAAGGGAATGTTCAATTCTGTGACTTGAATGCAAACATCACAAAGAAGTTCCTGAGAATGCTTCTCTCTAGATATTATATGTCATCCCGTTTCCAACGAAATCCTCAAAGCTATCCAAATATCCACTTGCAGATTCTACAAAAAGAGTGTTTCAAAACTCCTCTGTCAAAAGGATGGTTCAACACTGTTACATGAGTACACACAACACAAAGAAGTTTCTGAGAATGCTTCTTTCTGGTTTCTATGAGAAGATATTTCCTTTTTCACCATAGGACTCAAAGCGCTCGAAATGTCCTCTTCCAGGTAGTGCAGAAAGAGTGTTTCAAACCTGCTCTATGAAAGGAAGTGTTCAACTCCATGAGCTGAATGCAAACATCACTGAGAAGTTTCTGAGAATGCTTCTGTTTGATTTTATATGAAGAAATTCCCGTTTCCAACGAAATCTTCAGAGCTATCCACATATCCACCTGCAGATTCTACAAAAGGAGTGTTTCCAAAATGCTGTATCAAAACCAAGGTTCAACTCTGTTAGTTGAGGACACACATCACAAATAAGTTTCTGAGAATGCTTCTGTCTAGATTTTATATGAAGATATCCCCTTTCCAACGAATCCCTCTAAGCTATCCAAATATCCACCTGCAGATTCTACAAAAAGAGTGTTTCCAAAATGCTGTATCAAAACAAAGTTTCAACTCTGTTAGTTGAGGACACACATCACAAATAAGTTTGAGGATGCTTCTGTCTAGTTTTTATTCGAAGATATTTCCTTTCTCACCATAGGCCTGAAAGCGCTTGAAATGTCCACTTCCAGATTCTACAGAATGAGTGTTTCAAACCTGCTCTATCAAAGTGAATGTTGAATTCTGTGACTTCAATGCAAACATCACAAAGAAGTTCCTGAGAATGCTTCTCTCTAGATTTTATACGTAATCCCGCTTCCAACGAAATCCTCAGAGCCATCCGAATATCCACTTTCTGATTCCACAAAAAGAGTGTTTTAAAACGGCTCTGTAAAAACAAAAGTTCAACTCTGTTAGTTGAATACACACATCACAAACAAGTTTCTGAGAATGCTTCTGTCTAGTTTTTATGGGAAGATATTTCCTTTTTCACCATAGGCCTCAAAGCGCTCGAAATGTCCGCTTCCAGATAGTGCAGAAAGAGTGTTTCAAACGTGCTCTATAAAAGGGAATATTCAACTCTGTGACTTGAATGGAAACATCACAAAGCAGTTTCTGAGAATGCTTCCCTCTAGATTTTATATGGAGATATTCCCTTTTCCAACGAAATCTTCAAATCTATCTAAATATCAACTTGCAGATTCTACTCAAGGAATGTTTCCAAAATGCTGTATCCAGGCAATGGTTCAATTCTGTTAATTGAGGACATACAGCACAAAGAAGTTTCTGAGAATGCTTCTGTCTAGATTTTATATGAAGATATCCCGTTTCCAACGAAATCCTCAAAGCTATCCAAATATCCACTTGCAGATTCTACAAAAAGATTGTTTCGAAACTGCTGTGTCAAGAGGAAGGTTCAACTCTGTTACTTGAGTACACACATCAAAAAGAAGTTTCTGAGAATGCTTGTTTCTGGTTTTTATGAGAAGATATTTCCTTTTTCACCATAGGCCTCAAAGCGCTGCAAATGTCCACTTCCAAATATTACAAAAAGAGTGTTTCAAACCTGCTCTATGAAAGGAAGTTTTCAACTCTATGAGTGGAATGCAAACATCACAGAGAAGTTTCTGAGAATGCATCTGTCTTGAGCTTCTATGAAGAAATTCCCGTTTCCAACGAAATCTTAAAATCTATCCAAATATCCACCTGCAGATCCTACAAAAGGAGTGTTTCCAAAATGCTGTATCAAAACAAAGGTTCAACTGTGTTCGTTTAGGACACACATCACAAATAAGTTTCTGAGAATCCTTCTCTCTAGTTTTTATTTGAAGATATTTCCTTTCTCCCCGTAGGCCTGAAAGCGCTTGAAATGTCCACTTCCAGATACTACAGAAAGAGTGTTTCAAACCTGCACTCTGAAAAGGAATGTTCAATTCTGTGACTTGAATGCAAACATCAGAAAGAAGTTCCTGAGAATGCTTCTCTCTAGATTTTATACGTCATCCCGTTTCCAACGAAATCCACAAAGCTATCCAATTATCCACTTTCAGATTCCACAAAAAGAGTGTTTTAAATTGCTCTGTAACAGAAATGTTCAACTCTGTTAGTTGAATACACACATCACAAACAAGTTTCTGAGACGGCTTCTGTCTAGTTTTTATGGGAAGATATTTCCTTTTAACCATAGGCCTCAAAGAGCTCGAAATATCCACTTCCAGGTAGTGCCGAAAGAGTGTTTCAAACCTACTCTATAAAAGGGAATATTCAACTCTGTGACTTGAATGCAAACATCACAAAGCAGTTTCTGAGAATGCTTCCCGTCTAGATTTTCTATGAAGATATTCCCGTTTCCAACGAAATCTTCAAAGCTATCTAAATATCAACTTGCAGATTCTACTAAAGGAATGTCTCCAAAATGCTGTATCCAAACAAAGGTTCAGCTCTGTGAATTGAGGACATACAGCACAAAGAAGTTTCTGAGAATGCTCCTGTCTGGATTTTATATGAAGATTACCCGTTTCCAACGAAATCCTCAAAGCTATCCAAATATCCACTTGCAGATTCTACCAAAAGAGTGTTTCAAAACTGCTCTGTCAAAAGGAAGGTTCAACACTGTTACTTGAGTACACACAACACAAAGAAGTTTCTGAGAATGCTTCTTTCTGGTTTTTATGAGAAGATATTTCCTTTTTCACCATAGGCCTCAAAGAGCTCGAAATGTCCGCTTCCAGGTAGGGCAGAAAGAGTGTTTCAAACCTGCTCTATGAAAGGAAGTGTTCAACTCTACTGAGTTGAATGCAAACATCACAGAGATGTTTCCGAGAATGCTTCTGTCTTGATTTTATAGGAAGATATTCCGGTTTCCAACGAAATCTTCAAAGCTATCCACATATCCACCTGCAGATTCTACAAAAGGAGTGTTTCCAAAATGCTGTATCAAAACAAAGGTTCAACTCTGTTAGTTGAGGACACACATCACAAATAAGTTTCTGAGAATGCTTCTGTCTAGTTTTTATTTGAAGGTATTTCCTTTCTCTCCATAGGCCTGAAAGCGCTTGAAATGCCCACTTCCAGATACTAGAGAAAGAGTGTTTCAAACCTGCTCTATGAAAGGGAATGTTCAATTCTGTGACTTGAATGCAAACATCACAAAGAAGTTCCTGAGAATGCTTCTCTCTAGATATTATATGTCATCCCGTTTCCAACGAAATCCTCAAAGCTATCCAAATATCCACTTGCAGATTCTACAAAAAGAGTGTTTCAAAACTGCTCTGTCAAAAGGATGGTTCAACACTGTTACATGAGTACACACAACACAAAGAAGTTTCTGAGAATGCTTCTTTCTGGTTTCTATGAGAAGATATTTCCTTTTTCACCATAGGACTCAAAGCGCTCGAAATGTCCTCTTCCAGGTAGTGCAGAAAGAGTGTTTCAAACCGGCTCTATGAAAGGAATGTTCAACTCCATGAACTGAAGGCAAACATCACTGAGAAGTTTCTGAGAATGCTTCTGTTTGATTTTCTATGAAGAAATTCCCGTTTCCAACGAAATCTTCAGAGCTATCCACATATCCACCTGCAGATTCTACAAAAGGAGTGTTTCCAAAATGCTGTATCAAAACCAAAGTTCAACTCTGTTAGTTGAGGACACACATCACAAATAAGTTTCTGAGAATGCTTCTGTCTAGATTCTATATGAAGATATCCCCTTTCCAACGAATCCCTCTAAGCTATCCAAATATCCACCTGCAGATTCTACAAAAAGAGTGTTTCCAAAATGCTGTATCAAAACAAAGTTTCAACTCTGTTAGTTGAGGACACACATCACAAATAAGTTTGAGGATGCTTCTGTCTAGTTTTTATTCGAAGATATTTCCTTTCTCACCATAGGCCTGAAAGCGCTTGAAATGTCCACTTCCAGATACTACAGAATGAGTGTTTCAAACCTGCTCTATCAAAGTGAATGTTCAATTCTGTGACTTCAATGCAAACATCACAAAGAAGTTCCTGAGAATGCTTCTCTCTAGATTTTATATGTAATCCCGCTTCCAACGAAATCCTCAGAGCCATCCGAATATCCACTTTCTGATTCCACAAAAAGAGTGTTTTAAAACGGCTCTGTAAAAACAAAAGTTCAACTCTGTTAGTTGAATACACACATCACAAACAAGTTTCTGAGAATGCTTCTGTCTAGTTTTTATGGGAAGATATTTCCTTTTTCACCATAGGCCTCAAAGCGCTCGAAATGTCCACTTCCAGATAGTGCAGAAAGAGTGTTTCAATCGTGCTCTATAAAAGAGAATATTCAACTCTGTGACTTGAATGGAAACATCACAAAGCAGTTTCTGAGAATGCTTCCGTCTAGATTTTCTATGAAGATATTCCCGTTTCCAACGAAATCTTCAAAGCTATCTAAATATCAACTTGCAGATTCTACTAAAGGAATGTCTCCAAAATGCTGTATCCAAACAAAGGTTCAGCTCTGTGAATTGAGGACATACAGCACAAAGAAGTTTCTGAGAATGCTCCTGTCTGGATTTTATAGGAAGATAACCCGTTTCCAACGAAATCCTCAAAGCTATCCAAATATCCACTTGCAGATTCTACCAAAAGAGTGTTTCAAAACTGCTCTGTCAAAAGGAAGGTTCAACACTGTTACTTGAGTACACACAACACAAAGAAGTTTCTGAGAATGCTTCTTTCTGGTTTTTATGAGAAGATATTTCCTTTTTCACCATAGGCCTCAAAGCGCTCGAAATGTCCGCTTCCAGGTAGTGCAGAAAGAGTGTTTCAAACCTGCTCTATGAAAGGAAGTGTTCAACTCTACTGAGTTGAATGCAAACATCACAGAGATGTTTCCGAGAATGCTTCTGTCTTGATTTTATATGAAGATATTCCGGTTTCCAACGAAATCTTCAAAGCTACCCAAATATCCACCTGCAGATTCTACAAAAGGAGTGTTTCCAAAATGCTGTATCAAAACAAAGGTTCAACTCTGTTAGTTGAGGACACACATCACAAATAAGTTTCTGAGAATGCTTCTGTCTAGTTTTTATTTGAAGGTATTTCCTTTCTCTCCATAGGCCTGAAAGCGCTTGAAATGCCCACTTCCAGATACTAGAGAAAGAGTGTTTCAAACCTGCTCTATGAAAGGGAATGTTCAATTCTGTGACTTGAATGCAAACATCACAAAGAAGTTCCTGAGAATGCTTCTCTCTAGATATTATATGTCATCCCGTTTCCAACGAAATCCTCAAAGCTATCCAAATATCCACTTGCAGATTCTACAAAAAGAGTGTTTCAAAACTGCTCTGTCAAAAGGATGGTTCAACACTGTTACATGAGTACACACAACACAAAGAAGTTTCTGAGAATGTTTCTTTCTGGTTTCTATGAGAAGATATTTCCTTTTTCACCATAGGACTCAAAGCGCTCGAAATGTCCTCTTCCAGGTAGTGCAGAAAGAGTGTTTCAAACCTGCTCTATGAAAGGAAGTGTACAACTCCATGAGCTGAATGCAAACATCACTGAGAAGTTTCTGAGAATGCTTCTGTTTGATTTTATATGAAGAAATTCCCGTTTCCAACGAAATCTTCAGAGCTATCCACATATCCACCTGCAGATTCTACAAAAGGAGTGTTTCCAAAATGCTGTATCAAAACCAAGGTTCAACTCTGTTAGTTGAGGACACACATCACAAATAAGTTTCTGAGAATGCTTCTGTCTAGATTTTATATGAAGATATCCCCTTTCCAACGAATCCCTCTAAGCTATCCAAATATCCACCTGCAGATTCTACAAAAAGAGTGTTTCCAAAATGCTGTATCAAAACAAAGTTTCAACTCTGTTAGTTGAGGACACACATCACAAATAAGTTTGAGGATGCTTCTGTCTAGTTTTTATTCGAAGATATTTCCTTTCTCACCATAGGCCTGAAAGCGCTTGAAATGTCCACTTCCAGATACTACAGAATGAGTGTTTCAAACCTGCTCTATCAAAGTGAATGTTCAATTCTGTGACTTCAATGCAAACATCACAAAGAAGTTCCTGAGAATGCTTCTCTCTAGATTTTATACGTAATCCTGCTTCCAACGAAATCCTCAGAGCCATCCGAATATCCACTTTCTGATTCCACAAAAAGAGTGTTTTAAAACGGCTCTGTAAAAACAAAAGTTCAACTCTGTTAGTTGAATACACACATCACAAACAAGTTTCTGAGAATGCTTCTGTCTAGTTTTTATGGGAAGATATTTCCTTTTTCACCATAGGCCTCAAAGCGCTCGAAATGTCCGCTTCCAGATAGTGCAGAAAGAGTGTTTCAAACGTGCTCTATAAAAGGGAATATTCAACTCTGTGACTTGAATGGAAACATCACAAAGCAGTTTCTGAGAATGCTTCTGTCTTGAGCTTCTATGAAGAAATTCCCGTTTCCAACGAAATCTTAAAATCTATCCAAATATCCACCTGCAGATCCTACAAAAGGAGTGTTTCCAAAATGCTGTATCAAAACAAAGGTTCAACTGTGTTCGTTTAGGACACACATCACAAATAAGTTTCTGAGAATCCTTCTGTCTAGTTTTTATTTGAAGATATTTCCTTTCTCCCCGTAGGCCTGAAAGCGCTTGAAATGTCCACTTCCAGATACTACGGAAAGAGTGTTTCAAACCTGCACTCTGAAAAGGAATGTTCAATTCTGTGACTTGAATGCAAACATCAGAAAGAAGTTCCTGAGAATGCTTCTCTCTAGATTTTATACGTCATCCCGTTTCCAACGAAATCCACAAAGCTATCCAATTATCCACTTTCAGATTCCACAAAGAGTGTTTTAAAATTGCTCTGTAACAGAAATGTTCAACTCTGTTAGTTGAATACACACATCACAAACAAGTTTCTGAGACGGCTTCTGTCTAGTTTTTATGGGAAGATATTTCCTTTTAACCATAGGCCTCAAAGAGCTCGAAATATCCACTTCCAGGTAGTGCCGAAAGAGTGTTTCAAACCTACTCTATAAAAGGGAATATTCAACTCTGTGACTTGAATGCAAACATCACAAAGCAGTTTCTGAGAATGCTTCCGTCTAGATTTTCTATGAAGATATTCCCGTTTCCAACGAAATCTTCAAAGCTATCTAAATATCAACTTGCAGATTCTACTAAAGGAATGTCTCCAAAATGCTGTATCCAAACAAAGGTTCAGCTCTGTGAATTGAGGACATACAGCACAAAGAAGTTTCTGAGAATGCTCCTGTCTGGATTTTATAGGAAGATAACCCGTTTCCAACGAAATCCTCAAAGCTATCCAAATATCCACTTGCAGATTCTACCAAAAGAGTGTTTCAAAACTGCTCTGTCAAAAGGAAGGTTCAACACTGTTACTTGAGTACACACAACACAAAGAAGTTTCTGAGAATGCTTCTTTCTGGTTTTTATGAGAAGATATTTCCTTTTTCACCATAGGCCTCAAAGCGCTCGAAATGTCCGCTTCCAGGTAGTGCAGAAAGAGTGTTTCAAACCTGCTCTATGAAAGGAAGTGTTCAACTCTACTGAGTTGAATGCAAACATCACAGAGATGTTTCCGAGAATGCTTCTGTCTTGATTTTATATGAAGATATTCCGGTTTCCAACGAAATCTTCAAAGCTATCCAAATATCCACCTGCAGATTCTACAAAAGGAGTGTTTCCAAAATGCTGTATCAAAACAAAGGTTCAACTCTGTTAGTTGAGGACACACATCACAAATAAGTTTCTGAGAATGCTTCTGTCTAGTTTTTATTTGAAGGTATTTCCTTTCTCTCCATAGGCCTGAAAGCGCTTGAAATGCCCACTTCCAGATACTAGAGAAAGAGTGTTTCAAACCTGCTCTATGAAAGGGAATGTTCAATTCTGTGACTTGAATGCAAACATCACAAAGAAGTTCCTGAGAATGCTTCTCTCTAGATATTATATGTCATCCCGTTTCCAACGAAATCCTCAAAGCTATCCAAATATCCACTTGCAGATTCTACAAAAAGAGTGTTTCAAAACTGCTCTGTCAAAAGGATGGTTCAACACTGTTACATGAGTACACACAACACAAAGAAGTTTCTGAGAATGCTTCTTTCTGGTTTCTATGAGAAGATATTTCCTTTTTCACCATAGGACTCAAAGCGCTCGAAATGTCCTCTTCCAGGTAGTGCAGAAAGAGTGTTTCAAACCTGCTCTATGAAAGGAAGTGTTCAACTCCATGAGCTGAATGCAAACATCACTGAGAAGTTTCTAAGAATGCTTCTGTTTGATTTTATATGAAGAAATTCCCGTTTCCAACGAAATCTTCAAAGCTATCCACATATCCACCTGCAGATTCTACAAAAGAAGTGTTTCCAAAATGCTGTATCAAAACCAAGGTTCAACTCTGTTAGTTGAGGACACACATCACAAATAAGTTTCTGAGAATGCTTCTGTCTAGATTTTATATGAAGATATCCCCTTTCCAACGAATCCCTCTAAGCTATCCAAATATCCACCTGCAGATTCTACAAAAAGAGTGTTTCCAAAATGCTGTATCAAAACAAAGTTTTAACTCTGTTAGTTGAGGACACACATCACAAATAAGTTTCTGAGAGATGCTTCTGTCTAGTTTCTATTTGAAGATATTTCCTTTCTCCCCATAGGCCTGAAAGCGCTTGAATTGTCGGCTTCCAGATACTACAGAATGAGTGTTTCAAACCTGCTCTATCAAAGTGAATGTTCAATTCTGTGACTTCAATGTAAACATCACAAAGTAGTTCCTGAGAATGCTTCTCTCTAGATTTTATATGTAATCCCGCTTCCAACGAAATCCTCAAAGCCATCCGAATATCCACTTTGTGATTCCACAAAAAGATTGTGTTAAAACTGCTCTGTAAAAACAAAAGTTCAAGTCTGTTAGTTGAATACACACATCACAAACAAGTTTCTGAGAATGCTTCTGTCTAGTTTTTATGGGAAGATATTTCCTTTTTCACCATAGGCCTCAAAGCGCTCGAAATGTCCACTTCCAGATAGTGCAGAAAGAGTGTTTCAAACGTGCTCTATAAAAGAGAATATTCAACTCTGTGACTTGAATGGAAACATCACAAAGCAGTTTCTGAGAATGCCTCCGTCTAGATTTTATATGAAGATATTCCCGTTTCCAACGAAATCTTCAAATCTATCTAAATATCTACTTGCAGATTCTACTAAAGGAATGTTTCCAAAATGCTGTATCCAAGCAATGGTTCAACTCTGTTAATTGAGGACATACAGCACAAAGAAGTTTCTGAGAATGCTTCTGTCTAGATTTTATATGAAGATATCCCGTTTCCAACGAAATCCTCAAAGCTATCCTAATATCCACTTGCAGATTCTACAAAAAGATTGTTTCAAAACTGCTGTGTCAAAAGGAAGGTTCAACTCTGTTACTTGAGTACACACATCAAAAAGCAGTTTCTGAGAATGCTTGTTTCTGGTTTTTATGAGAAGATATTTCCTTTTTCACCATAGGCCTCACAGTGCTGCAAATGTCCACTTCCAAATATTACAAAAAGAGTGTTTCAAACCTGCTCTATGAAAGGAAGTTTTCAACTCTATGAGTGGAATGCAAACATCACAGAGAAGTTTCTGAGAATGCATCTGTCTTGAGTTTATATGCAGAAATTCCCGTTTCCAACGAAATCTTAAAATCTATCCAAATATCCACCTGCAGATCCTACAAAAGGAGTGTTTCCAAAATGCTGTATCAAAACAAAGGTTCAACTGTGTTCGTTTAGGACACACATCACAAATAAGTTTCTGAGAATCCTTCTGTCTAGTTTTTATTTGAAGATATTTCCTTTCTCCCCGTAGGCCTGAAAGCGCTTGAAATGTCCACTTCCAGATACTACAGAAAGAGTGTTTCAAACCTGCACTCTGAAAAGGAATGTTCAATTCTGTGACTTGAATGCAAACATCAGAAAGAAGTTCCTGAGAATGCTTCTCTCTAGATTTTATACGTCATCCCGTTTCCAACGAAATCCACAAAGCTATCCAATTATCCACTTTCAGATTCCACAGAAAGAGTGTTTTAAAATTGCTCTGTAACAGAAATGTTCAACTCTGGTAGTTGAATACACACATCACAAACAAGTTTCTGAGACGGCTTCTGTCTAGTTTTTATGGGAAGATATTTCCTTTTAACCATAGGCCTCAAAGAGCTCGAAATATCCACTTCCAGGTAGTGCCGAAAGAGTGTTTCAAACCTACTCTATAAAAGGGAATATTCAACTCTGTGACTTGAATGCAAACATCACAAAGCAGTTTCTGAGAATGCTTCCGTCTAGATTTTCTATGAAGATATTCCCGTTTCCAACGAAATCTTCAAAGCTATCTAAATATCAACTTGCAGATTCTACTAAAGGAATGTCTCCAAAATGCTGTATCCAAACAAAGGTTCAGCTCTGTGAATTGAGGACATACAGCACAAAGAAGTTTCTGAGAATGCTCCTGTCTGGATTTTATAGGAAGATAACCCGTTTCCAACGAAATCCTCAAAGCTATCCAAATATCCACTTGCAGATTCTACCAAAAGAGTGTTTCAAAACTACTCTGTCAAAAGGAAGGTTCAACACTGTTACTTGAGTACACACAACACAAAGAAGTTTCTGAGAATGCTTCTTTCTGGTTTTTATGAGAAGATATTTCCTTTTTCACCATAGGCCTCAAAGCGCTCGAAATGTCCGCTTCCAGGTAGTGCAGAAAGAGTGTTTCAAACCTGCTCTATGAAAGGAAGTGTTCAACTCTACTGAGTTGAATGCAAACATCACAGAGATGTTTCCGAGAATGCTTCTGTCTTGATTTTATATGAAGATATTCCGGTTTCCAACGAAATCTTCAAAGCTATCCAAATATCCACCTGCAGATTCTACAAAAGGAGTGTTTCCAAAATGCTGTATCAAAACAAAGGTTCAACTCTGTTAGTTGAGGACACACATCACAAATAAGTTTCTGAGAATGCTTCTGTCTAGTTTTTATTTGAAGGTATTTCCTTTCTCTCCATAGGCCTGAAAGCGCTTGAAATGCCCACTTCCAGATACTAGAGAAAGAGTGTTTCAAACCTGCTCTATGAAAGGGAATGTTCAATTCTGTGACTTGAATGCAAACATCACAAAGAAGTTCCTGAGAATGCTTCTCTCTAGATATTATATGTCATCCCGTTTCCAACGAAATCCTCAAAGCTATCCAAATATCCACTTGCAGATTCTACAAAAAGAGTGTTTCAAAACTGCTCTGTCAAAAGGATGGTTCAACACTGTTACATGAGTACACACAACACAAAGAAGTTTCTGAGAATGCTTCTTTCTGGTTTCTATGAGAAGATATTTCCTTTTTCACCATAGGACTCAAAGCGCTCAAAATGTCCTCTTCCAGGTAGTGCAGAAAGAGTGTTTCAAACCTGCTCTATGAAAGGAAGTGTACAACTCCATGAGCTGAATGCAAACATCACTGAGAAGTTTCTGAGAATGCTTCTGTTTGATTTTATATGAAGAAATTCCCGTTTCCAACGAAATCTTCAGAGCTATCCACATATCCACCTGCAGATTCTACAAAAGGAGTGTTTCCAAAATGCTGTATCAAAACCAAGGTTCAACTCTGTTAGTTGAGGACACACATCACAAATAAGTTTCTGAGAATGCTTCTGTCTAGATTTTATATGAAGATATCCCCTTTCCAACGAATCCCTCTAAGCTATCCAAATATCCACCTGCAGATTCTACAAAAAGAGTGTTTCCAAAATGCTGTATCAAAACAAAGTTTCAACTCTGTTAGTTGAGGACACACATCACAAATAAGTTTCTGAGAATGCTTCTGTCTAGTTTTTATTCGAAGATATTTCCTTTCTCACCATAGGCCTGAAAGCGCTTGAAATGTCCACTTCCAGATACTACAGAATGAGTGTTTCAAACCTGCTCTATAAAAGTGAATGTTCAATTCCGTGACTTCAATGCAAACATCACAAAGAAGTTCCTGAGAATGCTTCTCTCTAGATTTTATACGTAATCCCGCTTCCAACGAAATCCTCAGAGCCATCCGAATATCCACTTTCTGATTCCACAAAAAGAGTGTTTTAAAACGGCTCTGTAAAAACAAAAGTTCAACTCTGTTAGTTGAATACACACATCACAAACAAGTTTCTGAGAATGCTTCTGTCTAGTTTTTATGGGAAGATATTTCCTTTTTCACCATAGGCCTCAAAGCGCTCGAAATGTCCGCTTCCAGATAGTGCAGAAAGAGTGTTTCAAACGTGCTCTATAAAAGGGAATATTCAACTCTGTGACTTGAATGGAAACATCACAAAGCAGTTTCTGAGAATGCTTCCCTCTAGATTTTATATGGAGATATTCCCGTTTCCAACGAAATCTTCAAATCTATCTAAATATCAACTTGCAGATTCTACTCAAGGAATGTTTCCAAAATGCTGTATCCAGGCAATGGTTCAACTCTGTTAATTGAGGACATACAGCACAAAGAAGTTTCTGAGAATGCTTCTGCCTAGATTTTTATATGAAGATATCCCGTTTCCAACGAAATCCTCAAAGCTATCCAAATATCCACTTGCAGATTCTACAAAAAGATTGTTTCAAAACTGCTGTGTCAAAAGGAAGGTTCAACTCTGTTACTTGAGTACACACATCAAAAAGAAGTTTCTGAGAATGCTTGTTTCTGGTTTTTGTCAGAAGATATTTCCTTTTTCACCATAGGCCTCAAAGCGCTGCAAATGTCCACTTCCAAATATTACAAAAAGAGTGTTTCAAACCTGCTCTATGAAAGGAAGTTTTCAACTCTATGAGTGGAATGCAAACATCACAGAGAAGTTTCTGAGAATGCATCTGTCTTGAGCTTCTATGAAGAAATTCCCGTTTCCAACGAAATCTTAAAATCTATCCAAATATCCACCTGCAGATCCTACAAAAGGAGTGTTTCCAAAATGCTGTATCAAAACAAAGGTTCAACTGTGTTCGTTTAGGACACACATCACAAATAAGTTTCTGAGAATCCTTCTGTCTAGTTTTTATTTGAAGATATTTCCTTTCTCCCCGTAGGCCTGAAAGCGCTTGAAATGTCCACTTCCAAATACTACGGAAAGAGTGTTTCAAACCTGCACTATGAAAAGGAATGTTCAATTCTGTGACTTGAATGCAAACATCAGAAAGAAGTTCCTGAGAATGCTTCTCTCTAGATTTTATACGTCATCCCGTTTCCAACGAAATCCACAAAGCTATCCAATTATCCACTTTCAGATTCCACAAAAAGAGTGTTTTAAAATTGCTCTGTAACAGAAATGTTCAACTCTGTTAGTTGAATACACACATCACAAACAAGTTTCTGAGACGGCTTCTGTCTAGTTTTTATGGGAAGATATTTCCTTTTAACCATAGGCCTCATAAGAGCTCGAAATATCCACTTCCAGGTAGTGCCGAAAGAGTGTTTCAAACCTACTCTATAAAAGGGAATATTCAACTCTGTGACTTGAATGCAAACATCACAAAGCAGTTTCTGAGAATGCTTCCGTCTAGATTTTCTATGAAGATATTCCCGTTTCCAACGAAATCTTCAAAGCTATCTAAATATCAACTTGCAGATTCTACTAAAGGAATGTTTCCAAAATGCTGTATCCAAACAAAGGTTCAGCTCTGTGAATTGAGGACATACAGCACAAAGAAGTTTTTGAGAATGCTCCTGTCTGGATTTTATAGGAAGATAACCTGTTTCCAACGAAATCCTCAAAGCTATCCAAATATCCACTTGCAGATTCTACCAAAAGAGTGTTTCAAAACTGCTCTGTCAAAAGGAAGGTTCAACACTGTTACTTGAGTACACACAACACAAAGAAGTTTCTGAGAATGCTTCTTTCTGGTTTTTATGAGAAGATATTTCCTTTTTCACCATAGGCCTCAAAGCAGCTCGAAATGTCCGCTTCCAGGTAGGGCAGAAAGAGTGTTTCAAACCTGCTCTATGAAAGGACGTGTTCAACTCTACTGAGTTGAATGCAAACATCACAGAGATGTTTCCGAGAATGCTTCTGTCTTGATTTTATAGGAAGATATTCCGGTTTCCAACGAAATCTTCAAAGCTATCCAAATATCCACCTGCAGATTCTACAAAAGGAGTGTTTCCAAAATGCTGTATCAAAACAAAGGTTCAACTCTGTTAGTTGAGGACACACATCACAAATAAGTTTCTGAGAATGCTTCTGTCTAGTTTTTATTTGAAGGTATTTCCTTTCTCTCCATAGGCCTGAAAGCGCTTGAAATGCCCACTTCCAGATACTAGAGAAAGAGTGTTTCAAACCTGCTCTATGAAAGGGAATGTTCAATTCTGTGACTTGAATGCAAACATCACAAAGAAGTTCCTGAGAATGCTTCTCTCTAGATATTATATGTCATCCCGTTTCCAACGAAATCCTCAAACCTATCCAAATATCCACTTGCAGATTCTACAAAAAGAGTGTTTCAAAACTCCTCTGTCAAAAGGATGGTTCAACACTGTTACATGAGTACACACAACACAAAGAAGTTTCTGAGAATGCTTCTTTCTGGTTTCTATGAGAAGATATTTCCTTTTTCACCATAGGACTCAAAGCGCTCGAAATGTCCTCTTCCAGGTAGTGCAGAAAGAGTGTTTCAAACCGGCTCTATGAAAGGAAGTGTTCAACTCCATGAACTGAATGCAAACATCACTGAGAAGTTTCTGAGAATGCTTCTGTTTGATTTTATATGAAGAAATTCCCCTTTCCAACGAAATCTTCAAAGCTATCCACATATCCACCTGCAGATTCTACAAAAGGAGTGTTTCCAAAATGCTGTATCAAAACCAAGGTTCAACTTTGTTAGTTGAGGACACACATCACAAATAAGTTTCTGAGAATGCTTCTGTCTAGATTTTATATGAAGATATCCCCTTTCCAACGAATCCCTCTAAGCTATCCAAATATCCACCTGCAGATTCTACAAAAAGAGTGTTTCCAAAATGCTGTATCAAAACAAAGTTTCAACTCTGTTAGTTGAGGACACACATCACAAATAAGTTTGAGGATGCTTCTGTCTAGTTTTTATTCGAAGATATTTCCTTTCTCACCATAGGCCTGAAAGCGCTTGAAATGTCCACTTCCAGATACTACAGAATGAGTGTTTCAAACCTGCTCTATCAAAGTGAATGTTCAATTCTGTGACTTCAATGCAAACATCAGAAAGAAGTTCCTGAGAATGCTTCTCTCTAGATTTTATACGTAATCCCGCTTCCAACGAAATCCTCAGAGCCATCCGAATATCCACTTTCTGATTCCACAAAAAGAGTGTTTTAAAACGGCTCTGTAAAAACAAAAGTTCAACTCTGTTAGTTGAATACACACATCACAAACAAGTTTCTGAGAATGCTTCTGTCTAGTTTTTATGGGAAGATATTTCCTTTTTCACCATAGGCCTCAAAGCGCTCGAAATGTCCGCTTCCAGATAGTGCAGAAAGAGTGTTTCAAACGTGCTCTATAAAAGGGAATATTCAACTCTGTGACTTGAATGGAAACATCACAAAGCAGTTTCTGAGAATGCTTCCCTCTAGATTTTATATGGAGATATTCCCTTTTCCAACGAAATCTTCAAATCTATCTAAATATCAACTTGCAGATTCTACTCAAGGAATGTTTCCAAAATGCTGTATCCAGGCAATGGTTCAACTCTGTTAATTGAGGACATACAGCACAAAGAAGTTTCTGAGAATGCTTCTGTCTAGATTTTATATGAAGATATCCCGTTTCCAACGAAATCCTCAAAGCTATCCAAATATCCACTTGCAGATTCTACAAAAAGATTGTTTCAAAACTGCTGTGTCAAGAGGAAGGTTCAACTCTGTTACTTGAGTACACACATCAAAAAGAAGTTTCTGAGAATGCTTGTTTCTGGTTTTTATGAGAAGATATTTCCTTTTTCACCATAGGCCTCAAAGCGCTGCAAATGTCCACTTCCAAATATTACAAAAAGAGTGTTTCAAACCTGCTCTATGAAAGGAAGTTTTCAACTCTATGAGTGGAATGCAAACATCACAGAGAAGTTTCTGAGAATGCATCTGTCTTGAGCTTCTATGAAGAAATTCCCGTTTCCAACGAAATCTTAAAATCTCTCCAAATATCCACCTGCAGATCCTACAAAAGGAGTGTTTCCAAAATGCTGTATCAAAACAAAGGTTCAACTGTGTTCGTTTAGGACACACATCACAAATAAGTTTCTGAGAATGCCTCTGTCTAGTTTTTATTTGAAGATATTTCCTTTCTCCCCATAGCCCTGAAAGCGCTGGAAATGTCCACTTCCAGATACTACAGAAAGAGTGTTTCAAACCTGCACTATGAAAAGGAATGTTCAATTCTGTGACTTGAATGCAAACATCAGAAAGAAGTTCCTGAGAATGCTTCTCTCTAGATTTTATACGTCGTCCCGTTTCCAACGAAATCCACAAAGCTATCCAATTATCCACTTTCAGATTCCACAAAGAGTGTTTTAAAATTGCTCTGTAACAGAAATGTTCAACTCTGTTAGTTGAATACACACATCACAAACAAGTTTCTGAGACGGCTTCTGTCTAGTTTTTATGGGAAGATATTTCCTTTTAACCATAGGCCTCAAAGAGCTCGAAATATCCACTTCCAGGTAGTGCCGAAAGAGTGTTTCAAACCTACTCTATAAAAGGGAATATTCAACTCTGTGACTTGAATGCAAACATCACAAAGCAGTTTCTGAGAATGCTTCCGTCTAGATTTTCTATGAAGATATTCCCGTTTCCAACGAAATCTTCAAAGCTATCTAAATATCAACTTGCAGATTCTACTAAAGGAATGTCTCCAAAATGCTGTATCCAAACAAAGGTTCAGCTCTGTGAATTGAGGACATACAGCACAAAGAAGTTTCTGAGAATGCTCCTGTCTGGATTTTATAGGAAGATAACCCGTTCCCAACGAAATCCTCAAAGCTATCCAAATATCCACTTGCAGATTCTACCAAAAGAGTGTTTCAAAACTACTCTGTCAAAAGGAAGGTTCAACACTGTTACTTGAGTACACACAACACAAAGAAGTTTCTGAGAATGCTTCTTTCTGGTTTTTATGAGAAGATATTTCCTTTTTCACCATAGGCCTCAAAGCGCTCGAAATGTCCGCTTCCAGGTAGTGCAGAAAGAGTGTTTCAAACCTGCTCTATGAAAGGAAGTGTTCAACTCTACTGAGTTGAATGCAAACATCACAGAGATGTTTCCGAGAATGCTTCTGTCTTGATTTTATATGAAGATATTCCGGTTTCCAACGAAATCTTCAAAGCTATCCAAATATCCACCTGCAGATTCTACAAAAGGAGTGTTTCCAAAATGCTGTATCAAAACAAAGGTTCAACTGCTGTTAGTTGGGGACACACATCACAAATAAGTTTCTGAGAATGCTTCTGTCTAGTTTTTATTTGAAGGTATTTCCTTTCTCTCCATAGGCCTGAAAGCGCTTGAAATGCCCACTTCCAGATACTAGAGAAAGAGTGTTTCAAACCTGCTCTATGAAAGGGAATGTTCAATCCTGTGACTTGAATGCAAACATCACAAAGAAGTTCCTGAGAATGCTTCTCTCTAGATATTATATGTCATCCCGTTTCCAACGAAATCCTCAAAGCTATCCAAATATCCACTTGCAGATTCTACAAAAAGAGTGTTTCAAAACTCCTCTGTCAAAAGGATGGTTCAACACTGTTACATGAGTACACACAACACAAAGAAGTTTCTGAGAATGCTTCTTTCTGGTTTCTATGAGAAGATATTTCCTTTTTCACCATAGGACTCAAAGCGCTCGAAATGTCCTCTTCCAGGTAGTGCAGAAAGAGTGTTTCAAACCTGCTCTATGAAAGGAAGTGTTCAACTCCATGAGCTGAATGCAAACATCACTGAGAAGTTTCTGAGAATGCTTCTGTTTGATTTTATATGAAGAAATTCCCGTTTCCAACGAAATCTTCAGAGCTATCCACATATCCACCTGCAGATTCTACAAAAGGAGTGTTTCCAAAATGCTGTATCAAAACCAAGGTTCAACTCTGTTAGTTGAGGACACACATCACAAATAAGTTTCTGAGAATGCTTCTGTCTAGATTTTATATGAAGATATCCCCTTTCCAACGAATCCCTCTAAGCTATCCAAATATCCACCTGCAGATTCTACAAAAAGAGTGTTTCCAAAATGCTGTATCAAAACAAAGTTTCAACTCTGTTAGTTGAGGACACACATCACAAATAAGTTTCTGAGGATGCTTCTGTCTAGTTTTTATTCGAAGATATTTCCTTTCTCACCATAGGCCTGAAAGCGCTTGAAATGTCCACTTCCAGATCCTACAGAATGAGTGTTTCAAACCTGCTCTATCAAAGTGAATGTTCAATTCTGTGACTTCAATGCAAACATCACAAAGAAGTTCCTGAGAATGCTTCTCTCTAGATTTTATATGTAATCCCGCTTCCAACGAAATCCTCAGAGCCATCCGAATATCCACTTTCTGATTCCACAAAAAGAGTGTTTTAAAACGGCTCTGTAAAAACAAAAGTTCAACTCTGTTAGTTGAATACACACATCACAAACAAGTTTCTGAGAATGCTTCTGTCTAGTTTTTATGGGAAGATATTTCCTTTTTCACCATAGGCCTCAAAGCGCTCGAAATGTCCGCTTCCAGATAGTGCAGAAAGAGTGTTTCAAACGTGCTCTATAAAAGGGAATATTCAACTCTGTGACTTGAATGGAAACATCACAAAGCAGTTTCTGAGAATGCTTCCCTCTAGATTTTATATGGAGATATTCCCTTTTCCAACGAAATCTTCAAATCTATCTAAATATCAACTTGCAGATTCTACTCAAGGAATGTTTCCAAAATGCTGTATCCAGGCAATGGTTCAACTCTGTTAATTGAGGACATACAGCACAAAGAAGTTTCTGAGAATGCTTCTGTCTAGATTTTATATGAAGATATCCCGTTTCCAACGAAATCCTCAAAGCTATCCAAATATCCACTTGCAGATTCTACAAAAAGATTGTTTCAAAACTGCTGTGTCAAGAGGAAGGTTCAACTCTGTTACTTGAGTACACACATCAAAAAGAAGTTTCTGAGAATGCTTGTTTCTGGTTTTTATGAGAAGATATTTCCTTTTTCACCATAGGCCTCAAAGCGCTGCAAATGTCCACTTCCAAATATTACAAAAAGAGTGTTTCAAACCTGCTCTATGAAAGGAAGTTTTCAACTCTATGAGTGGAATGCAAACATCACAGAGAAGTTTCTGAGAATGCATCTGTCTTGAGCTTCTATGAAGAAATTCCCGTTTCCAACGAAATCTTAAAATCTATCCAAATATCCACCTGCAGATCCTACAAAAGGAGTGTTTCCAAAATGCTGTATCAAAACAAAGGTTCAACTGTGTTCGTTTAGGACACACATCACAAATAAGTTTCTGAGAATCCTTCTGTCTAGTTTTCATTTGAAGAGATTTCCTTTCTCCCCGTAGGCCTGAAAGCGCTTGAAATGTCCACTTCCAGATACTACAGAAAGAGTGTTTCAAACCTGCACTCTGAAAAGGAATGTTCAATTCTGTGACTTGAATGCAAACATCAGAAAGAAGTTCCTGAGAATGCTTCTCTCTAGATTTTATACGTAATCCCGTTTCCAACGAAATCCACAAAGCTATCCAATTATCCACTTTCAGATTCCACAAAAAGAGTGTTTTAAAACTGCTCTGTAAAAGGAAATGTTCAACGCTCTTAGTTGAATACACACATCTCAAACAAGTTTCTGAGAAGGCTTCTGTCTAGTTTTTATGGGAAGATATTTCCTTTTAACCATAGGCCTCAAAGAGCTCGAAATATCCACTTCCAGGTAGTGCCGAAAGAGTGTTTCAAACCTACTCTATAAAAGGGAATATTCAACTCTGTGACTTGAATGCAAACATCACAAAGCAGTTTCTGAGAATGCTTCCGTCTAGATTTTCTATGAAGATATTCCCGTTTCCAACGAAATCTTCAAAGCTATCTAAATATCAACTTGCAGATTCTACTAAAGGAATGTTTCCAAAATGCTGTATCCAAACAAAGGTTCAGCTCTGTGAATTGAGGACATACAGCACAAAGAAGTTTCTGAGAATGCTCCTGTCTGGATTTTATATGAAGATAACCCGTTTCCAACGAAATCCTCAAAGCTATCCAAATATCCACTTGCAGATTCTACCAAAAGAGTGTTTCAAAACTGCTCTGTCAAAAGGAAGGTTCAACACTGTTACTTGAGTACACACAACACAAAGAAGTTTCTGAGAATGCTTCTTTCTGGTTTTTAGGAGAAGATATTTCCTTTTTCACCATAGGCCTCAAAGCGCTCGAAATGTCCGCTTCCAGGTAGTGCAGAAAGAGTGTCTCAAACCTGCTCTATGAAAGGAAGTGTTCAACTCTACTGAGTTGAATGCAAACATCACAGAGATGTTTCCGAGAATGCTTCTGTCTTGATTTTATATGAAGATATTCCGGTTTCCAACGAAATCTTCAAAGCTATCCAAATATCCACCTGCAGATTCTACAAAAGGAGTGTTTCCAAAATGCTGTATCAAAACAAAGGTTCAACTCTGTTAGTTGAGGACACACATCACAAGTAAGTTTCTGAGAATGCTTCTGTCTAGTTTTTATTTGAAGGTATTTCCTTTCTCTCCATAGGCCTGAAAGCGCTTGAAATGCCCACTTCCAGATACTAGAGAAAGAGTGTTTCAAACCTGCTCTATGAAAGGGAATGTTCAATTCTGTGACTTGAATGCAAACATCACAAAGAAGTTCCTGAGAATGCTTCTCTCTAGATATTATATGTCATCCCGTTTCCAACGAAATCCTCAAAGCTATCCAAATATCCACTTGCAGATTCTACAAAAAGAGTGTTTCAAAACTGCTCTGTCAAAAGGATGGTTCAACACTGTTACATGAGTACACACAACACAAAGAAGTTTCTGTGAATGCTTCTTTCTGGTTTTTATGAGAAGATATTTCCTTTTTCACCATAGGCCTCAAAGCGCTCGAAATGTCCACTTCCTGGTAGTGCAGAAAGAGTGTTTCAAAGCTGCTCTCTGAAAGGAAGTGTTCAACTCCATGAGCTGAATGCAAACATCACAGAGAAGTTTCTGAGAATGCTTCTGTTTGATTTTATATGAAGAAATTCCCGTTTCCAACGAAATCTTCAAAGCTATCCACATATCCACCTGCAGATTCTACAAAAGGAGTGTTTCCAAAATGCTGTATCAAAACCAAGGTTCCACTCTGTTAGTTGAGGACACACATCACAAATAAGTTTCTGAGAATGCTTCTGTCTAGATTTTATATGAAGATATCCCCTTTCCAACGAATCCCTCTAAGCTATCCAAATATCCACCTGCAGATTCTACAAAAAGAGTGTTTCCAAAATGCTGTATCAAAACAAAGTTTCAACTCTGTTAGTTGAGGACACACATCACAAATAAGTTTCTGAGGATGCTTCTGTCTAGTTTTTATTTGAAGATATTTCCTTTCTCCCCATAGGCCTGAAAGCGCTTGAATTGTCCACTTCCAGATACTACAGAATGAGTGTTTCAAACCTGCTCTATCAAAGTGAATGTTCAATTCTGTGACTTGAATGCAAACATCACAAAGTAGTTCCTGAGAATGCTTCTCTCTAGATTTTATATGTAATCCCGCGTCCAACGAAGTCCTCAAAGCCATCCGAGTATCCACTTTCTGATTCCACAAAAGGATTGTCTTAAAACTGCTCTGTAAAAACAAAAGTTCAAGTCTGTTAGTTGAATACACACATCACAAACAAGATTCTGAGAATGCTTCTGTCTAGTTTTTATGGGAAGATACTTCCTTTTTCACCATAGGCCTCAAAGCGCTCGAAATGTCCACTTCCAGATAGTGCAGAAAGAGTGTTTCAAACGTGCTCTATAAAAGAGAATATTCAACTCTGTGACTTGAATGGAAACATCACAAAGCAGTTTCTGAGAATGCCTCCGTCTAGATTTTATATGAAGATATTCCCGTTTCCAACGAAATCTTCAAAGCTATCTAAATATCAACTTGCAGATTCTACTAAAGGAATGTTTCCAAAATGCTGTATCCAAGCAATGGTTCAACTCTGTTAATTGAGGACATACAGCACAAAGAAGTTTCTGAGAATGCTTCTGTCTAGATTTTATATGAAGATATCCCGTTTCCAACGAAATCCTCAAAGCTATCCAAATATCCACTTGCAGATTCTACAAAAAGATTGTTTCAAAACTGCTGTGTCAAAAGGAAGGTTCAACTCTGTTACTTGAGTACACACATCAAAAAGCAGTTTCTGAGAATGCTTGTTTCTGGTTTTTATGAGAAGATATTTCCTTTTTCACCATAGGCCTCAAAGCGCTGCAAATGTCCACTTCCAAATATTACAAAAAGAGTGTTTCAAACGTGCTCTATGAAAGGAAGTTTTCAACTCTTTGAGTGGAATGCAAACATCACAGAGAAGTTTCTGAGAATGCATCTGTCTTGAGTTTATATGAAGAAATTCCCGTTTCCAATGAAATCTTAAAATCTATCCAAATATCCACCTGCAGATTCTACAAAAGGAGTGTTTCCAAAATGCTGTATCAAAACAAAGGTTCAACTGTGTTCGTTTAGGACACACATCACAAATAAGTTTCTGAGAATCCTTCTGTCTGGTTTTTATTTGAAGAGATTTCCTTTCTCCCCGTAGGCCTGAAAGCGCTTGAAATGTCCACTTCCAGATACTACAGAAAGAGTGTTTCAAACCTGCACTCTGAAAAGGAATGTTCAATTCTGTGACTTGAATGCAAACATCAGAAAGAAGTTCCTGAGAATGCTTCTCTCTAGATTTTATACGTCATCCCGTTTCCAACGAAATCCACAAAGCTATCCAATTATCCACTTTCAGATTCCACAAAGAGTGTTTTAAAATTGCTCTGTAACAGAAATGTTCAACTCTGTTAGTTGAATACACACATCACAAACAAGTTTCTGAGACGGCTTCTGTCTAGTTTTTATGGGAAGATATTTCCTTTTAACTATAGGCCTCAAAGAGCTCGAAATATCCACTTCCAGGTAGTGCCGAAAGAGTGTTTCAAACCTACTCTATAAAAGGGAATATTCAACTCTGTGACTTGAATGCAAACATCACAAAGCAGTTTCTGAGAATGCTTCCGTCTAGATTTTCTATGAAGATATTCCCGTTTCCAACGAAATCTTCAAAGCTATCTAAATATCAACTTGCAGATTCTACTAAAGGAATGTCTCCAAAATGCTGTATCCAAACAAAGGTTCAGCTCTGTGAATTGAGGACATACAGCACAAAGAAGTTTCTGAGAATGCTCCTGTCTGGATTTTATATGAAGATAACCCGTTTCCAACGAAATCCTCAAAGCTCTCCAAATATCCACTTGCAGATTCTACCAAAAGAGTGTTTCAAAACTGCTCTGTCAAAAGGAAGGTTCAACACTGTTACTTGAGTACACACAACACAAAGAAGTTTCTGAGAATGCTTCTTTCTGGTTTTTATGAGAAGATATTTCCTTTTTCACCATAGGCCTCAAAGCGCTCGAAATGTCCGCTTCCAGGTAGTG
The DNA here is from genome assembly GCF_000001405.40 of Homo sapiens. NCBI lineage: Eukaryota > Metazoa > Chordata > Mammalia > Primates > Hominidae > Homo > Homo sapiens. The sequence continues at coordinate 50,563,658 of NC_000004.12, read as the reverse complement.
CAGAAAGAGTGTTTCAAACCTGCTCTATGAAAGGAAGTGTTCAACTCTACTGAGTTGAATGCAAACATCACAGAGATGTTTCCGAGAATGCTTCTGTCTTGATTTTATATGAAGATATTCCGGTTTCCAACGAAATCTTCAAAGCTATCCAAATATCCACCTGCAGATTCTACAAAAGGAGTGTTTCCAAAATGCTGTATCAAAACAAAGGTTCAACTCTGTTAGTTGAGGACACACATCACAAATAAGTTTCTGAGAATGCTTCTGTCTAGTTTTTATTTGAAGGTATTTCCTTTCTCTCCATAGGCCTGAAAGCGCTTGAAATGCCCACTTCCAGATACTAGAGAAAGAGTGTTTCAAACCTGCTCTATGAAAGGGAATGTTCAATTCTGTGACTTGAATGCAAACATCACAAAGAAGTTCCTGAGAATGCTTCTCTCTAGATATTATATGTCATCCCGTTTCCAACGAAATCCTCAAAGCTATCCAAATATCCACTTGCAGATTCTACAAAAAGACTGTTTCAAAACTGCTCTGTCAAAAGGATGGTTCAACACTGTTACATGAGTACACACAACACAAAGAAGTTTCTGAGAATGCTTCTTTCTGGTTTCTATGAGAAGATATTTTCTTTTTCACCATAGGCCTCAAAGTGCTCGATATGTCCTCTTCCAGGTAGTGCAGAAAGAGTGTTTCAAACCGGCTCTATGAAAGGAAGTGTTCAACTCCATGAGCTGAATGCAAACATCACTGAGAAGTTTCTGAGAATGCTTCTTTTTTGATTTTATATGAAGAAATTCCCGTTTCCAACGAAATCTTCAGAGCTATCCACATATCCACCTGCAGATCCTACAAAAGGAGTGTTTCCAAAATGCTGTATCAAAACAAAGGTTCAACTGTGTTCGTTTAGGACACACATCACAAATAAGTTTCTGAGAATCCTTCTGTCTAGTTTTTATTTGAAGATATTTCCTTTCTCCCCGTAGGCCTGAAAGCGCTTGAAATGTCCACTTCCAGATACTACAGAAAGAGTGTTTCAAACCTGCACTCTGAAAAGGAATGTTCAATTCTGTGACTTGAATGCAAACATCAGAAAGAAGTTCCTGAGAATGCTTCTCTCTAGATTTTATACGTCATCCCGTTTCCAACGAAATCCACAAAGCTATCCAATTATCCACTTTCAGATTCCACAAAAAGACTGTTTTAAAATTGCTCTGTAACAGAAATGTTCAACTCTGTTAGTTGAATACACACATCACAAACAAGTTTCTGAGACGGCTTCTGTCTAGTTTTTATGGGAAGATATTTCCTTTTAACCATAGGCCTCAAAGAGCTCGAAATATCCACTTCCAGGTAGTGCCGAAAGAGTGTTTCAAACCTACTCTATAAAAGGGAATATTCAACTCTGTGACTTGAATGCAAACATCACAAAGCAGTTTCTGAGAATGCTTCCGTCTAGATTTTCTATGAAGATATTCCCGTTTCCAACGAAATCTTCAAAGCTATCTAAATATCAACTTGCAGATTCTACTAAAGGAATGTCTCCAAAATGCTGTATCCAAACAAAGGTTCAGCTCTGTGAATTGAGGACATACAGCACAAAGAAGTTTCTGAGAATGCTCCTGTCTGGATTTTATAGGAAGATAACCCGTTCCCAACGAAATCCTCAAAGCTATCCAAATATCCACTTGCAGATTCTACCAAAAGAGTGTTTCAAAACTACTCTGTCAAAAGGAAGGTTCAACACTGTTACTTGAGTACACACAACACAAAGAAGTTTCTGAGAATGCTTCTTTCTGGTTTTTATGAGAAGATATTTCCTTTTTCACCATAGGCCTCAAAGCGCTCGAAATGTCCGCTTCCAGGTAGTGCAGAAAGAGTGTTTCAAACCTGCTCTATGAAAGGAAGTGTTCAACTCTACTGAGTTGAATGCAAACATCACAGAGATGTTTCCGAGAATGCTTCTGTCTTGATTTTATATGAAGATATTCCGGTTTCCAACGAAATCTTCAAAGCTATCCAAATATCCACCTGCAGATTCTACAAAAGGAGTGTTTCCAAAATGCTGTATCAAAACAAAGGTTCAACTCTGTTAGTTGAGGACACACATCACAAATAAGTTTCTGAGAATGCTTCTGTCTAGTTTTTATTTGAAGGTATTTCCTTTCTCTCCATAGGCCTGAAAGCGCTTGAAATGCCCACTTCCAGATACTAGAGAAAGAGTGTTTCAAACCTGCTCTATGAAAGGGAATGTTCAATTCTGTGACTTGAATGCAAACATCACAAAGAAGTTCCTGAGAATGCTTCTCTCTAGATATTATATGTCATCCCGTTTCCAACGAAATCCTCAAAGCTATCCAAATATCCACTTGCAGATTCTACAAAAAGAGTGTTTCAAAACTGCTCTGTCAAAAGGATGGTTCAACACTGTTACATGAGTACACACAACACAAAGAAGTTTCTGAGAATGCTTCTTTCTGGTTTCTATGAGAAGATATTTCCTTTTTCACCATAGGACTCAAAGCGCTCGAAATGTCCTCTTCCAGGTAGTGCAGAAAGAGTGTTTCAAACCGGCTCTATGAAGGGAAGTGTTCAACTCCATGAACTGAATGCAAACATCACTGAGAAGTTTCTGAGAATGCTTCTGTTTGATTTTATATGAAGAAATTCCCGTTTCCAACGAAATCTTCAGAGCTATCCACATATCCACCTGCAGATTCTACAAAAGGAGTGTTTCCAAAATGCTGTATCAAAACCAAGGTTCAACTCTGTTAGTTGAGGACACACATCACAAATAAGTTTCTGAGAATGCTCTGTCTAGATTTTATATGAAGATATCCCCTTTCCAAAGAATCCTTCTAAGCTATCCAAATGTCCACCCGCAGATTCTACAAAAAGAGTGTCTCCAAAATGCTGTATGAAATCAAAGTTTCCACTCTGTTAGTTGAGGACACACATCACAAATAAGTTTCTGAGGATGCTTTCTGTCTAGTTTCTATTTGAAGATATTTCCTTTCTCCCCATAGGCCTGAAAGCGCTTGAATTGTCCGCTTCCAGATACTACAGAATGAGTGTTTCAAACCTGCTCTATCAAAGTGAATGTTCTATTCTGTGACTTCAATGCAAACATCACAAAGTAGTTCCTGAGAATGCTTCTCTCTAGATTTTATATGTAATCCCGCTTCCAACGAGGTCCTCAAAGCCATCCGAATATCCACTTTCTGATTCCACAAAAAGATTGTCTTAAAACTGCTCTGTAAAAACAAAAGTTCAAGTCTGTTAGTTGAATACACACATCACAAACAAGTTTCTGAGAATGCTTCTGTCTAATTTTTATGGGAAGATATTTCCTTTTTCACCATAGGCCTCACAGCGCTCGAAATGTCCACTTCCAGATAGTGCAGAAAGAGTGTTTCAAACGTGCTCTATAAAAGAGAATATTCAACTCTCTGACTTGAATGGAAACATCACAAAGCAGTTTCTGAGAATGCCTCCGTCTAGATTTTATATGAAGATATTCCCGTTTCCAACGAAATCTTCAAATCTATCTAAATATCAACTTGCAGATTCTACTAAAGGAATGTTTCCAAAATGCTGTATCCAAGCAATGGTTCAACTCTGTTAATTGAGGACATACAGCACAAAGAAGTTTCTGAGAATGCTTCTGTCTAGATTTTATATGAAGATATCCCGTTTCCAACGAAATCCTCAAAGCTATCCAAATATCCACTTGCAGATTCTACAAAAAGATTGTTTCAAAACTGCTGTGTCAAAAGGAAGGTTCAACTCTGTTACTTGAGTACACACATCAAAAAGAAGTTTCTGAGAATGTTTGTTTCTGGTTTTTATGAGAAGATATTTCCTTTTTCACCATAGGCCTCAAAGCGCTGCAAATGTCCACTTCCAAATATTACAAAAAGAGTGTTTCAAACCTGCTCTATGAAAGGAAGTTTTCAACTCTATGAGTGGAATGCAAACATCACAGAGAAGTTTCGGAGAATGCATCTGTCTTGAGTTTATATGAAGAAATTCCCGTTTCCAACGAAATCTTAAAATCTATCCAAATATCCACCTGCAGATTCTACAAAGGGAGTGTTTCCAAAATGCTGTATCAAAACAAAGGTTCAACTGTGTTCGTTTAGGACACACATCACCAATAAGTTTCTGAGAATCCTTCTGTCTAGTTTTTATTTGAAGATATTTCCTTTCTCCCCATAGGCCTGAAAGCGCTTGAAATGTCCACTTCCAGATACTACAGAAAGAGTGTTTCAAACCTGCACTATGAAAAGGAATGTTCAATTCTGTGACTTGAATGCAAACATCAGAAAGAAGTTCCTGAGAATGCTTCTCTCTAGATTTTATACGTCATCCCGTTTCCAACGAAATCCACAAAGCTATCCAATTATCCACTTTCAGATCCCACAAAAAGAGTGTTTTAAAACTGCTCTGTAAAAAGAAATATTCAACACTCTTAGTTGAATACACACATCTCAAACAAGTTTCTGAGAAGGCTTCCGTCTAGTTTTTATGGGAAGATATTTCCTTTTTCACCATAGGCCTCAAAGCGCTCGAAATCTCCACTTCCAGGGAGTGCAGAAAGAGTGTTTCAAACCTGCTCTGTAAAAGAATATTTAACTCTGTGACTTGAATGCAAACATCACAAAGCAGTTTCTGACAATGCTTCCGTCTAGATTTTTTATGAAGATATTCCCGTTTCCAACGAAATCTTCAAAGCTATCTAAATATCAACTTGCAGATTCTACTAAAGGAATGTTTCCAAAATGCTGTATCCAAACAAAGGTTCAACTCTGTGAATTGAGGACATACAGCACAAAGAAGTTTCTGAGAATGCTTCTGTCTAGTATTTAATATGAAGATAACCCGTTTCCAACGAAATCCTCAAAGCTATCCAAATATCCACTTGCAGATTCTACAAAAAGAGTGTTTCAAAACTGCTCTGTCAAAAGGATGGTTCAACACTGTTACATGAGTACACACAACACAAAGAAGTTTCTGAGAACGCTTCTTTCTGGTTTTTATGAGAAGATATTTCCCTTTTCACCATAGGCCTCAAAGCGCTCGAAATGTCCACTTCCAGGTAGTGCAGAAAGAGTGTTTCAAACCTGCTCTATGAAAGGAAGTGTTCAACTCCATGAGCTGAATGCAAACATCACAGAGAAGTTTCTGAGAATGCTTCTGTTTGATTTTATATGAAGAAATTCCCGTTTCCAACGAAATCTTCAGAGCTATCCACATATCCACATGCAGATTCTACAAAAGGAGTGTTTCCAAAATGCTGTATCAAAACCAAGGTTCAACTCTGTTAGTTGAGGACACACATCACAAATAAGTTTCTGAGAATGCTTCTGTCTAGATTTTATATGAAGATATCCCCTTTCCAACGAATCCCTCTAAGCTATCCAAATATCCACCTGCAGATTCTACAAAAAGAGTGTTTCCAAAATGCTGTATCAAAACAAAGTTTCAACTCTGTTAGTTGAGGACACACATCACAAATAAGTTTCTGAGGATGCTTCTGTCTAGTTTTTATTCGAAGATATTTCCTTTCTCACCATAGGCCTGAAAGCGCTTGAAATGTCCACTTCCAGATCCTACAGAATGAGTGTTTCAAACCTGCTCTATCAAAGTGAATGTTCAATTCTGTGACTTCAATGCAAACATCACAAAGAAGTTCCTGAGAATGCTTCTCTCTAGATTTTATATGTAATCCCGCTTCCAACGAAATCCTCAGAGCCATCCGAATATCCACTTTCTGATTCCACAAAAAGAGTGTTTTAAAACGGCTCTGTAAAAACAAAAGTTCAACTCTGTTAGTTGAATACACACATCACAAACAAGTTTCTGAGAATGCTTCTGTCTAGTTTTTATGGGACGATATTTCCTTTTTCACCATAGGCCTCAAAGCGCTCGAAATGTCCACTTCCAGATAGTGCAGAAAGAGTGTTTCAAACGTGCTCTATAAAAGGGAATATTCAACTCTGTGACTTGAATGGAAACATCACAAAGCAGTTTCTGAGAATGCTTCCCTCTAGATTTTATATGGAGATATTCCCTTTTCCAACGAAATCTTCAAATCTATCTAAATATCAACTTGCAGATTCTACTCAAGGAATGTTTCCAAAATGCTGTATCCAAGCAATGGTTCAACTCTGTTAATTGAGGACATACAGCACAAAGAAGTTTCTGAGAATGCTTCTGTCTAGATTTTATATGAAGATATCCCGTTTCCAACGAAATCCTCAAAGCTATCCAAATATCCACTTGCAGATTCTACAAAAAGATTGTTTCAAAACTGCTGTGTCAAAAGGAAGGTTCAACTCTGTTACTTGAGTACACACATCAAAAAGAAGTTTCTGAGAATGCTTGTTTCTGGTTTTTATGAGAAGATATTTCCTTTTTCACCATAGGCCTCAAAGCGCTGCAAATGTCCACTTCCAAATATTACAAAAAGAGTGTTTCAAACCTGCTCTATGAAAGGAAGTTTTCAACTCTATGAGTGGAATGCAAACATCACAGAGAAGTTTCTGAGAATGCATCTGTCTTGAGTTTCTATGCAGAAATTCCCGTTTCCAATGAAATCTTAAAATCTATCCAAATATCCACCTGCAGATTCTACAAAAGGAGTGTTTCCAAAATGCTGTATCAAAACAAAGGTTCAACTGTGTTCGCTTAGGACACACATCACAAATAAGTTTCTGAGAATCCTTCTGTCTAGTTTTTATTTGAAGATATTTCCTTTCTCCCCATAGGCCTGAAAGCGCTTGAAATGTCCACTTCCAGATACTACAGAAAGAGTGTTTCAAACCTGCACTGTGAAAAGGAATGTTCAATTCTGTGACTTGAATGCAAACATCAGAAAGAAGTTCCTGAGAATGCTTCTCTCTAGATTTTATACGTCATCCCGTTTCCAACGAAATCCACAAAGCTATCCAATTATCCACTTTCAGATTCCACAAAAAGAGTGTTTTAAAATTGCTCTGTAACAGAAATGTTCAACTCTGTTAGTTGAATACACACATCACAAACAAGTTTCTGAGACGGCTTCTGTCTAGTTTTTATGGGAAGATATTTCCTTTTAACCATAGGCCTCATAAGAGCTCGAAATATCCACTTCCAGGTAGTGCCGAAAGAGTGTTTCAAACCTACTCTATAAAAGGGAATATTCAACTCTGTGACTTGAATGCAAACATCACAAAGCAGTTTCTGAGAATGCTTCCGTCTAGATTTTCTATGCAGATATTCCCGTTTCCAACGAAATCTTCAAAGCTATCTAAATATCAACTTGCAGATTCTACTAAAGGAATGTCTCCAAAATGCTGTATCCAAACAAAGGTTCAGCTCTGTGAATTGAGGACATACAGCACAAAGAAGTTTCTGAGAATGCTCCTGTCTGGATTTTATATGAAGATAACCCGTTTCCAACGAAATCCTCAAAGCTCTCCAAATATCCACTTGCAGATTCTACCAAAAGAGTGTTTCAAAACTGCTGTGTCAAAAGGAAGGTTCAACACTGTTACTTGAGTACACACAACACAAAGAAGTTTCTGAGAATGCTTCTTTCTGGTTTTTATGAGAAGATATTTCCTTTTTCACCATAGGCCTCAAAGCGCCCGAAATGTCCGCTTCCAGGTAGTGCAGAAAGAGTGTTTCAAACCTGATCTATGAAAGGAAGTGTTCAACTCTACTGAGTTGAATGCAAACATCACAGAGATGTTTCCGAGAATGCTTCTGTCTTGATTTTATATGAAGATATTCCGGTTTCCAACGAAATCTTCAAAGCTATCCAAATATCCACCTGCAGATTCTACAAAAGGAGTGTTTCCAAAATGCTGTATCAAAACAAAGGTTCAACTCTGTTAGTTGAGGACACACATCACAAATAAGTTTCTGAGAATGCTTCTGTCTAGTTTTTTATTTGAAGGTATTTCCTTTCTCTCCATAGGCCTGAAAGCGCTTGAAATGCCCACTTCCAGATACTAGAGAAAGAGTGTTTCAAACCTGCTCTATGAAAGGGAATGTTCAATTCTGTGACTTGAATGCAAACATCACAAAGAAGTTCCTGAGAATGCTTCTCTCTAGATATTATATGTCATCCCGTTTCCAACGAAATCCTCAAAGCTATCCAAATATCCACTTGCAGATTCTACAAAAAGAGTGTTTCAAAACTCCTCTGTCAAAAGGATGGTTCAACACTGTTACATGAGTACACACAACACAAAGAAGTTTCTGAGAATGCTTCTTTCTGGTTTCTATGAGAAGATATTTCCTTTTTCACCATAGGACTCAAAGCGCTCGAAATGTCCTCTTCCAGGTAGTGCAGAAAGAGTGTTTCAAACCTGCTCTATGAAAGGAAGTGTACAACTCCATGAGCTGAATGCAAACATCACTGAGAAGTTTCTGAGAATGCTTCTGTTTGATTTTATATGAAGAAATTCCCGTTTCCAACGAAATCTTCAGAGCTATCCACATATCCACCTGCAGATTCTACAAAAGGAGTGTTTCCAAAATGCTGTATCAAAACCAAGGTTCAACTCTGTTAGTTGAGGACACACATCACAAATAAGTTTCTGAGAATGCTTCTGTCTAGATTTTATATGAAGATATCTCCTTTCCAACGAATCCCTCTAAGCTATCCAAATATCCACCTGCAGATTCTACAAAAAGAGTGTTTCCAAAATGCTGTATCAAAACAAAGTGTCAACTCTGTTAGTTGAGGACACACATCACAAATAAGTTTCTGAGGATGCTTCTGTCTACTTTTAATTTGAAGATATTTCCTTTCTCACCATAGGCCTGAAAGCGCTTGAAATGTCCACTTCCAGATACTACAGAATGAGTGTTTCAAACCTGCTCTATCAAAGTGAATGTTCAATTCTGTGACTTCAATGCAAACATCACAAAGTAGTTCCTGAGAATGCTTCTCTCTAGATTTTAAATGTAATCCCGCTTCCAACGAAATCCTCAAAGCCATCCGAATATCCACTTTCTGATTCCACAAAAAGATTGTTTTAAAACTGCTCTGTAAAAACAAAAGTTCAAGTCTGTTAGTTGAATACACACATCACAAACAAGTTTCTGAGAATGCTTCTGTCTAGTTTTTATGGGAAGATACTTCCTTTTTCACCATAGGCCTCAAAGCGCTCGAAATGTCCACTTCCAGATAGTGCAGAAAGAGTGTTTCAAACGTGCTCTATAAAAGAGAATATTCAACTCTGTGACTTGAATGGAAACATCACAAAGCAGTTTCTGAGAATGCCTCCGTCTAGATTTTATATGAAGATATTCCCGTTTCCAACGAATTCTTCAAATCTATCTAAATATCAACTTGCAGATTCTACTAAAGGAATGTTTCCAAAATGCTGTATCCAAGCAATGGTTCAACTCTGTTAATTGAGGACATACAGCACAAAGAAGTTTCTGAGAATGCTTCTGTCTAGATTTTATATGAAGATATCCCGTTTCCAACGAAATCCTCAAAGCTATCCAAATATCCACTTGCAGATTCTACAGAAAGATTGTTTCAAAACTGCTGTGTCAAAAGGAAGGTTCAACTCTGTTACTTGAGTACACACATCAAAAAGCAGTTTCTCAGAATGCTTGTTTCTGGTTTTTATGAGAAGATATTTCCTTTTTCACCATAGGCCTCAAAGCGCTGCAAATGTCCACTTCCAAATATTACAAAAAGAGTGTTTCAAACCTGCTCTATGAAAGGAAGTTTTCAACTCTGTGAGTGGAATGCAAACATCACAGAGAAGTTTCTGAGAATGCATCTGTCTTGAGTTTATATGAAGAAATTCCCGTTTCCAATGAAATCTTAAAATCTATCCAAATATCCACCTGCAGATTCTACAAAAGGAGTGCTTCCAAAATGCTATATCAAAACAAAGGTTCAACTGTGTTCGTTGAGAACACACATCACAAATAAGTTTCTGAGAATCCTTTCTGTCTAGTTTTTATTTGAAGATATTTCCTTTCTCCCCGTAGGCCTGAAAGCGCTTGAAATGTCCACTTCCAGATACTACAGAAAGAGTGTTTCAAACCTGCATTCTGAAAAGGAATGTTCAATTCTGTGACTTGAATGCAAACATCAGAAAGAAGTTCCTGAGAATGCTTCTCTCTAGATTTTATACGTCATCCCGTTTCCAATGAAATCCACAAAGCTATCCAATTATCCACTTTCAGATTCCACAAAAAGAGTGTTTTAAAATTGCTCTGTAACAGAAATGTTCAACTCTGTTAGTTGAATACACACATCACAAACAAGTTTCTGAGACGGCTTCTGTCTAGTTTTTATGGGAAGATATTTCCTTTTAACCATAGGCCTCAAAGAGCTCGAAATATCCACTTCCAGGTAGTGCCGAAAGAGTGTTTCAAACCTACTCTATAAAAGGGAATATTCAACTCTGTGACTTGAATGCAAACATCACAAAGCAGTTTCTGAGAATGCTTCCGTCTAGATTTTCTATGAAGATATTCCCGTTTCCAACGAAATCTTCAAAGCTATCTAAATATCAACTTGCAGATTCTACTAAAGGAATGTCTCCAAAATGCTGTATCCAAACAAAGGTTCAGCTCTGTGAATTGAGGACATACAGCACAAAGAAGTTTCTGAGAATGCTCCTGTCTGGATTTTATATGAAGATAACCCGTTTCCAACGAAATCCTCAAAGCTCTCCAAATATCCACTTGCAGATTCTACCAAAAGAGTGTTTCAAAACTGCTCTGTCAAAAGGAAGGTTCAACACTGTTACTTGAGTACACACAACACAAAGAAGTTTCTGAGAATGCTTCTTTCTGGTTTTTATGAGAAGATATTTCCTTTTTCACCATAGGCCTCAAAGCGCTCGAAATGTCCGCTTCCAGGTAGTGCAGAAAGAGTGTTTCAAACCTGCTCTATGAAAGGAAGTGTTCAACTCTACTGAGTTGAATGCAAACATCACAGAGATGTTTCCGAGAATGCTTCTGTCTTGATTTTATATGAAGATATTCCGGTTTCCAACGAAATCTTCAAAGCTATCCAAATATCCACCTGCAGATTCTACAAAAGGAGTGTTTCCAAAATGCTGTATCAAAACAAAGGTTCAACTCTGTTATTTGAGGTCACACATCACAAATAAGTTTCTGAGAATGCTTCTGTCTAGTTTTTATTTGAAGGTATTTCCTTTCTCTCCATAGGCCTGAAAGCGCTTGAAATGCCCACTTCCAGATACTAGAGAAAGAGTGTTTCAAACCTGCTCTATGAAAGGGAATGTTCAATTCTGTGACTTGAATGCAAACATCACAAAGAAGTTCCTGAGAATGCTTCTCTCTAGATATTATATGTCATCCCGTTTCCAACGAAATCCTCAAAGCTATCCAAATATCCACTTGCAGATTCTACAAAAAGAGTGTTTCAAAACTGCTCTGTCAAAAGGATGGTTCAACACTGTTACATGAGTACACACAACACAAAGAAGTTTCTGAGAATGCTTCTTTCTGGTTTCTATGAGAAGATATTTCCTTTTTCACCATAGGACTCAAAGCGCTCGAAATGTCCTCTTCCAGGTAGTGCAGAAAGAGTGTTTCAAACCGGCTCTATGAAGGGAAGTGTTCAACTCCATGAACTGAATGCAAACATCACTGAGAAGTTTCTGAGAATGCTTCTGTTTGATTTTATATGAAGAAATTCCCGTTTCCAACGAAATCTTCAGAGCTATCCACATATCCACCTGCAGATTCTACAAAAGGAGTGTTTCCAAAATGCTGTATCAAAACCAAGGTTCAACTCTGTTAGTTGAGGACACACATCACAAATAAGTTTCTGAGAATGCTTCTGTCTAGATTTTATATGAAGATATCCCCTTTCCAACGAATCCCTCTAAGCTATCCAAATATCCACCTGCAGATTCTACAAAAAGAGTGTTTCCAAAATGCTGTATCAAAACAAAGTTTCAACTCTGTTAGTTGAGGACACACATCACAAATAAGTTTCTGAGGATGCTTCTGTCTAGTTTTTATTCGAAGATATTTCCTTTCTCACCATAGGCCTGAAAGCGCTTGAAATGTCCACTTCCAGATACTACAGAATGAGTGTTTCAAACCTGCTCTATAAAAGTGAATGTTCAATTCCGTGACTTCAATGCAAACATCAGAAAGAAGTTCCTGAGAATGCTTCTCTCTAGATTTTATACGTAATCCCGCTTCCAACGAAATCCTCAGAGCCATCCGAATATCCACTTTCTGATTCCACAAAAAGAGTGTTTTAAAACGGCTCTGTAAAAACAAAAGTTCAACTCTGTTAGTTGAATACACACATCACAAACAAGTTTCTGAGAATGCTTCTGTCTAGTTTTTATGGGAAGATATTTCCTTTTTCACCATAGGCCTCAAAGCGCTCGAAATGTCCGCTTCCAGATAGTGCAGAAAGAGTGTTTCAAACGTGCTCTATAAAAGGGAATATTCAACTCTGTGACTTGAATGGAAACATCACAAAGCAGTTTCTGAGAATGCTTCCCTCTAGATTTTATATGGAGATATTCCCTTTTCCAACGAAATCTTCAAATCTATCTAAATATCAACTTGCAGATTCTACTCAAGGAATGTTTCCAAAATGCTGTATCCAGGCAATGGTTCAACTCTGTTAATTGAGGACATACAGCACAAAGAAGTTTCTGAGAATGCTTCTGTCTAGATTTTTATATGAAGATATCCCGTTTCCAACGAAATCCTCAAAGCTATCCAAATATCCACTTGCAGATTCTACAAAAAGATTGTTTCAAAACTGCTGTGTCAAGAGGAAGGTTCAACTCTGTTACTTGAGTACACACATCAAAAAGAAGTTTCTGAGAATGCTTGTTTCTGGTTTTTATGAGAAGATATTTCCTTTTTCACCATAGGCCTCAAAGCGCTGCAAATGTCCACTTCCAAATATTACAAAAAGAGTGTTTCAAACCTGCTCTATGAAAGGAAGTTTTCAGCTCTATGAGTGGAATGCAAACATCACAGAGTAGTTTCGGAGAATGCATCTGTCTTGAGTTTATATGAAGAAATTCCCGTTTCCAATGAAATCTTAAAATCTATCCAAATATCCACCTGCAGATTCTACAAAAGGAGTGTTTCCAAAATGCTGTATCAAAACAAAGGTTCAACTGTGTTCGTTTAGGACACACATCACAAATAAGTTTCTGAGAATCCTTCTGTCTAGTTTTTATTTCAAGATATTTCCTTTCTCCCCACAGGCCTGAAAGCGCTTGAAATGTCCACTTCCAGATACTACAGAGTGTTTCAAACCTGCACTATGAAAAGGAATGTTCAATTCTGTGACTTGAATGCAAACATCAGAAAGAAGTTCCTGAGAATGCTTCTCTCTAGATTTTAAACGTAATCCCGTTTCCAACGAAATCCACAAAGCTATCCAATTATCCACTTTCAGATTCCACCAAAAGACTGTTTTAAAACTGCTCTGTAAAAAGAAATGTTCAACGCTCTTAGTTGAATACACACATCTCAAACAAGTTTCTGAGAAGGCTTCCATCTAGTTTTTATGGGAAGATATTTCCTTTTTCACAATAGCCCTCAAAGCGCTCGAAATCTCCACTTCCAGGGAGTGCAGAAAGAGTGTTTCAAACCTGCTCTATAAAAGAATATTTAACTCTGTGACTTGAATGCAAACATCACAAAGCAGTTTCTGACAATGCTTCCGTCTAGATTTTTTATGAAGATATTCCCGTTTCCAACGAAATCTTCAAAGCTATCTAAATATCAACTTGCAGATTCTACTAAAGGAATGTTTCCAAAATGCTGTATCCAAACAAAGGTTCAACTCTGTGAATTGAGGACATACAGCACAAAGAAGTTTCTGAGAATGCTTCTGTCTAGATTTAATATGAAGATAACCCGTTTCCAACGAAATCCTCAAAGCTATCCAAATATCCACTGGCAGATTCTACAAAAAGAGTGTTTCAAAACTGCTCTGTCAAAAGGATGGTTCAACACTGTTACATGAGTACACACAACACAAAGAAGTTTCTGAGAACGCTTCTTTCTGGTTTTTATGAGAGGATATTTCCTTTTTCACCATAGGCCTCAAAGCGCTCGAAATGTCCACTTCCAGGTAGTGCAGAAAGAGTGTTTCAAACCTGCTCTATGAAAGGAAGTGTTCAACTCCATGAGCTGAATGCAAACATCACAGAGAAGTTCCTGAGAATGCTTCTGTTTGATTTTATATGAAGAAATTCCCGTTTCCAACGAAATCTTCAAAGCTATCCACATATCCACCTGCAGATTCTTCAAAAGGAGTGTTTCCAAAATGCTGTATCAAAACCAAGGTTCAACTCTGTTAGTTGAGGACACACATCACAAATAAGTTTCTGAGAATGCTTCTGTCTAGATTTTATATGAAGATATCCCCTTTCCAACGAATCCCTCTAAGCTATCCAAATATCCACCTGCAGATTCTACAAAAAGAGTGTTTCCAAAATGCTGTATCAAAACAAAGTTTCAACTCTGTTAGTTGAGGACACACATCACAAATAAGTTTCTGAGGATGTTTCTGTCTAGTTTTAATTTGAAGATATTTCCTTTCTCACCATAGGCCTGAAAGCGCTTGAAATGTCCACTTCCAGATACTACAGCGTGAGTGTTTCAAACCTGCTCTATCATAGTGAATGTTCAATTCTGTGACTTCAATGCAAACATCACAAAGAAGTTCCTGAGAATGCTTCTCTCTAGATTTTATATGTAATCCCGCTTCCAACGAAGTCCTCAAAGCCATCCGAATATCCACTTTCTGATTCCACAAAAGGATTGTCTTAAAACTGCTCTGTAAAAACAAAAGTTCAAGTCTGTTAGTTGAATACACACATCACAAACAAGATTCTGAGAATGCTTCTGTCTAGTTTTTATGGGAAGATATTTCCTTTTTCACCATAGGCCTCACAGCGCTCGAAATGTCCACTTCCAGATAGTGCAGAAAGAGTGTTTCAAACGTGCTCTATAAAAGAGAATATTCAACTCTGTGACTTGAATGGAAACATCACAAAGCAGTTTCTGAGAATGCCTCCGTCTAGATTTTATATGAAGATATTCCCGTTTCCAACGAAATCTTCAAATCTATCTAAATATCAACTTGCAGATTCTACTAAAGGAATGTTTCCAAAATGCTGTATCCAAGCAATGGTTCAACTCTGTTAATTGAGGACATACAGCACAAAGAAGTTTCTGAGAATGCTTCTTTCTAGATTTTATATGAAGATATCCCGTTTCCAACGAAATCCTCAAAGCTATCCAAATATCCACTTGCAGATTCTACAGAAAGATTGTTTCAAAACTGCTGTGTCAAAAGGAAGGTTCAACTCTGTTACTTGAGTACACACATCAAAAAGCAGTTTCTGAGAATGCTTGTTTCTGGTTTTTATGAGAAGATATTTCCTTTTTCACCATAGGCCTCAAAGCGCTGCAAATGTCCACTTCCAAATATTACAAAAAGAGTGTTTCAAACCTGCTCTATGAAAGGAAGTTTTCAACTCTATGAGTGGAATGCAAACATCACAGAGAAGTTTCTGAGAATGCATCTGTCTTGAGTTTATATGAAGAAATTCCCGTTTCCAATGAAATCTTAAAATCTATCCAAATATCCACCTGCAGATTCTACAAAAGGAGTGTTTCCAAAATGCTGTATCAAAACAAAGGTTCAACTGTGTTCGTTTAGGACACACATCACAAATAAGTTTCTGAGAATCCTTCTGTCTAGTTTTTATTTCAAGATATTTCCTTTCTCCCCATAGGCCTGAAAGCGCTTGAAATGTCCACTTCCAGATACTACAGAGTGTTTCAAACCTGCACTATGAAAAGGAATGTTCAATTCTGTGACTTGAATGCAAACATCAGAAAGAAGTTCCTGATAATGCTTCTCTCTAGATTTTAAACGTAATCCCGTTTCCAACGAAATCCACAAAGCTATCCAATTATCCACTTTCAGATTCCACCAAAAGACTGTTTTAAAACTGCTCTGTAAAAAGAAATGTTCAACGCTCTTAGTTGAATACACACATCTCAAACAAGTTTCTGAGAAGGCTTCCGTCTAGTTTTTATGGGAAGATATTTCCTTTTTCACCATAGGCCTCAAAGCGCTCGAAATCTCCACTTCCAGGGAGTGCAGAAAGAGTGTTTCAAACCTGCTCTGTAAAAGAATATTTAACTCTGTGACTTGAATGCAAACATCACAGAGCAGTTTCTGACAATGCTTCCGTCTAGATTTTTTATGAAGATATTCCCGTTTCCAACGAAATCTTCAAAGCTATCTAAATATCAACTTGCAGATTCTACTAAAGGAATGTTTCCAAAATGCTGTATCCAAACAAAGGTTCAACTCTGTGAATTGAGGACATACAGCACAAAGAAGTTTCTGAGAATGCTTCTGTCTAGATTTAATATGAAGATAACCCGTTTCCAACGAAATCCTCAAAGCTATCCAAATATCCACTGGCAGATTCTACAAAAAGAGTGTTTCAAAACTGCTCTGTCAAAAGGATGGTTCAACACTGTTACATGAGTACACACAACACAAAGAAGTTTCTGAGAACGCTTCTTTCTGGTTTTTATGAGAAGATATTTCCTTTTTCACCATAGGCCTCAAAGCGCTCGAAATGTCCACTTCCTGGTAGTGCAGAAAGAGTGTTTCAAACCTGCTCTATGAAAGGAAGTGTTCAACTCCATGAGCTGAATGCAAACATCACAGAGAAGTTTCTGAGAATGCTTCTGTTTGATTTTATATGAAGAAATTCCCGTTTCCAACGAAATCTTCAAAGCTATCCACATATCCACCTGCAGATTCTTCAAAAGGAGTGTTTCCAAAATGCTGTATCAAAACCAAGGTTCAACTCTGTTAGTTGAGGACACACATCACAAATAAGTTTCTGAGAATGCTTCTGTCTAGATTTTATATGAAGATATCCCCTTTCCAACGAATCCCTCTAAGCTATCCAAATATCCACCTGCAGATTCTACAAAAAGAGTGTTTCCAAAATGCTGTATCAAAACAAAGTTTCAACTCTGTTAGTTGAGGACACACATCACAAATAAGTTTCTGAGGATGCTTCTGTCTAGTTTTTATTCGAAGATATTTCCTTTCTCACCATAGGCCTGAAAGCGCTTGAAATGTCCACTTCCAGATACTACAGAATGAGTGTTTCAAACCTGCTCTATAAAAGTGAATGTTCAATTCTGTGACTTCAATGCAAACATCAGAAAGAAGTTCCTGAGAATGCTTCTCTCTAGATTTTATACGTAATCCCGCTTCCAACGAAATCCTCAGAGCCATCCGAATATCCACTTTCTGATTCCACAAAAAGAGTGTTTTAAAACGGCTCTGTAAAAACAAAAGTTCAACTCTGTTAGTTGAATACACACATCACAAACAAGTTTCTGAGAATGCTTCTGTCTAGTTTTTATGGGAAGATATTTCCTTTTTCACCATAGGCCTCAAAGCGCTCGAAATGTCCACTTCCAGACAGTGCAGAAAGAGTGTTTCAAACGTGCTCTATAAAAGAGAATATTCAACTCTGTGACTTGAATGGAAACATCACAAAGCAGTTTCTGAGAATGCCTCCGTCTAGATTTTATATGAAGATATTCCCGTTTCCAACGAAATCTTCAATGCTATCTAAATATCAACTTGCAGATTCTACTAAAGGAATGTTTCCAAAATGCTGTATCCAAGCAATGGTTCAACTCTGTTAATTGAGGACATACAGCACAAAGAAGTTTCTGAGAATGCTTCTGTCTAGATTTTATATGAAGATATCCCGTTTCCAACGAAATCCTCAAAGCTATCCAAATATCCACTTGCAGATTCTACAAAAAGATTGTTTCAAAACTGCTGTGTCAAAAGGAAGGTTCAACTCTGTTACTTGAGTACACACATCAAAAAGCAGTTTCTGAGAATGCTTGTTTCTGGTTTTTATGAGAAGATATTTCCTTTTTCACCATAGGCCTCAAAGCGCTGCAAATGTCCACTTCCAAATATTACAAAAAGAGTGTTTCAAACCTGCTCTATGAAAGGAAGTTTTCAACTCTGTGAGTGGAATGCAAACATCACAGAGAAGTTTCTGAGAATGCATCTGTCTTGAGTTTATATGAAGAAATTCCCGTTTCCAATGAAATCTTAAAATCTATCCAAATATCCACCTGCAGATTCTACAAAAGAGTGCTTCCAAAATGCTATATCAAAACAAAGGTTCAACTGTGTTCGTTGAGAACACACATCACAAATAAGTTTCTGAGAATCCTTCTGTCTAGTTTTTATTTCAAGATATTTCCTTTCTCCCCATAGGCCTGAAAGCCCTTGAAATGTCCACTTCCAGATACTACAGAGTGTTTCAAACCTGCACTATGAAAAGGAATGTTCAATTCTGTGACTTGAATGCAAACATCAGAAAGAAGTTCCTGAGAATGCTTCTCTCTAGATTTTAAACGTAATCCCGTTTCCAACGAAATCCACAAAGCTATCCAATTATCCACTTTCAGATTCCACCAAAAGACTGTTTTAAAACTGCTCTGTAAAAAGAAATGTTCAACGCTCTTAGTTGAATACACACATCTCAAACAAGTTTCTGAGAAGGCTTCCGTCTAGTTTTTATGGGAAGATATTTCCTTTTTCACCATAGGCCTCAAAGCGCTCGAAATCTCCACTTCCAGGGAGTGCAGAAAGAGTGTTTCAAACCTGCTCTATAAAAGAATATTTAACTCTGTGACTTGAATGCAAACATCACAGAGCAGTTTCTGACAATGCTTCCGTCTAGATATTTTATGAAGATATTCCCGTTTCCAACGAAATCTTCAAAGCTATCTAAATATCAACTTGCAGATTCTACTAAAGGAATGTTTCCAAAATGCTGTATCCAAACAAAGGTTCAACTCTGTGAATTGAGGACATACAGCACAAAGAAGTTTCTGAGAATGCTTCTGTCTAGATTTAATATGAAGATAACCCGTTTCCAACGAAATCCTCAAATCTATCCAAATATCCACTTGCAGATTCTCCAAAAAGAGTGTTTCAAAACTGCTCTGTCAAAAGGATGGTTCAACACTGTTACATGAGTACACACAACACAAAGAAGTTTCTGAGAACGCTTCTTTCTGGTTTTTATGAGAAGATATTTCCTTTTTCACCATAGGCCTCAAAGCGCTCGAAATGTCCACTTCCTGGTAGTGCAGAAAGAGTGTTTCAAAGCTGCTCTATGAAAGGAAGTGTTCAACTCCATGAGCTGAATGCAAACATCACAGAGAAGTTTCTGAGAATGCTTCTGTTTGATTTTATATGAAGAAATTCCCGTTTCCAACGAAATCTTCAAAGCTATCCACATATCCACCTGCAGATTCTACAAAAGGAGTGTTTCCAAAATGCTGTATCAAAACCAAGGTTCCACTCTGTTAGTTGAGGACACACATCACAAATAAGTTTCTGAGAATGCTTCTGTCTAGATTTTCTATGAAGATATCCCCTTTCCAACGAATCCCTCTAAGCTATCCAAATATCCACCTGCAGATTCTACAAAAAGAGTGTTTCCAAAATGCTGTATCAAAACAAAGTTTCAACTCTGTTAGTTGAGAACACACATCACAAATAAGTTTCTGAGGATGCTTCTCTCTAGTTTTTATTTGAAGATATTTCCTTTCTCCCCATAGGCCTGAAAGCGCTTGAATTGTCCGCTTCCAGATACTACAGAATGAGTGTTTCAAACCTGCTCTATCAAAGTGAATGTTCAATTCTGTGACTTCAATACAAACATCACAAAGTAGTTCCTGAGAATGCTTCTCTCTAGATTTTATATGTAATCCCGCTTCCAACGAAGTCCTCAAAGCCATCCGAATATCCACTTTCTGATTCCACAAAAAGATTGTCTTAAAACTGCTCTGTAAAAACAAAAGTTCAAGTCTGTTAGTTGAATACACACATCACAAACAAGTTTCTGAGAATGATTCTGTCTAGTTTTTATGGGAAGATATTTCCTTTTTCACCATAGGCCTCAAAGCGCTCGAAATGTCCACTTCCAGATAGTGCAGAAAGAGTGTTTCAAACGTGCTCTATAAAAGAGAATATTCAACTCTGTTACTTGAATGGAAACATCACAAAGCAGTTTCTGAGAATGCCTCCGTCTAGATTTTATATGAAGATATTCCCGTTTCCAACGAAATCTTCAAATCTATCTAAATATCAACTTGCAGATTCTACTAAAGGAATGTTTCCAAAATGCTGTATCCAAGCAATGGTTCAACTCTGTTAATTGAGGACATACAGCACAAAGAAGTTTCTGAGAACGCTTCTGTCTAGATTTTATATGAAGATATCCCGTTTCCAACGAAATCCTCAAAGCTATCCAAATATCCACTTGCAGATTCTACAAAAAGATTGTTTCAAAACTGCTGTGTCAAAAGGAAGGTTCAACTCTGTTACTTGAGTACACACATCAAAAAGCAGTTTCTGAGAATGCTTGTTTCTGGTTTTTATGAGAAGATATTTCCTTTTTCACCATAGGCCTCAAAGCGCTGCAAATGTCCACTTCCAAATATTACAAAAAGAGTGTTTCAAACCTGCTCTATGAAAGGAAGTTTTCAACTCTATGAGTGGAATGCAAACATCACAGAGAAGTTTCTGAGAATGCATCTGTCTTGAGCTTCTATGAAGAAATTCCCGTTTCCAACGAAATTTTAAAATCTATCCAAATATCCACCTGCAGATCCTACAAAAGGAGTGTTTCCAAAATGCTGTATCAAAACAAAGGTTCAACTGTGTTCGTTTAGGACACACATCACAAATAAGTTTCTGAGAATCCTTCTGTCTAGTTTTTATTTGAAGATATTTCCTTTCTCCCCGTAGGCCTGAAAGCGCTTGAAATGTCCACTTCCAGATACTACAGAAAGAGTGTTTCAAACCTGCACTCTGAAAAGGAATGTTCAATTCTGTGACTTGAATGCAAACATCAGAAAGAAGTTCCTGAGAATGCTTCTCTCTAGATTTTAAACGTCATCCCGTTTCCAACGAAATCCACAAAGCTATCCAATTATCCACTTTCAGATTCCACCAAAAGAGTGTTTTAAAACTGCTCTGTAAAAAGAAATGTTCAACGCTCTTAGTTGAATACACACATCTCAAACAAGTTTCTGAGAAGGCTTCCGTCTAGTTTTTACGGGAAGATATTTCCTTTTTCACCATAGGCCTCAAAGCGCTCGAAATCTCCACTTCCAGGGAGTGCAGAAAGAGTGTTTCAAACCTGCTCTATAAAAGAATATTTAACTCTGTGACTTGAATGCAAACATCACAGAGCAGTTTCTGACAATGCTTCCGTCTAGATTTTTTATGAAGATATTCCCGTTTCCAACGAAATCTTCAAAGCTATCTAAATATCAACTTGCAGATTCTACTAAAGGAATGTTTCCAAAATGCTGTATCCAAACAAAGGTTCAACTCTGTGAATTGAGGACATACAGCACAAAGAAGTTTCTGAGAATGCTTCTGTCTAGATTTAATATGAAGATAACCCGTTTCCAACGAAATCCTCAAAGCTATCCAAATATCCACTTGCAGATTCTACAAAAAGAGTGTTTCAAAACTGCTCTGTCAAAAGGATGGTTCAACACTGTTACATGAGTACACACAACACAAAGAAGTTTCTGAGAACGCTTCTTTCTGGTTTTTATGAGAAGATATTTCCTTTTTCACCATAGGCCTCAAAGCGCTCGAAATGTCCACTTCCTGGTAGTGCAGAAAAAGTGTTTCAAAGCTGCTCTCTGAAAGGAATTGTTCAACTCCATGAGCTGAATGGAAACATCACAGAGAAGTTTCTGAGAATGCTTCTGTTTGATTTTATATGAAGAAATTCCCGTTTCCAACGAAATCTTCAAAGCTATCCACATATCCACCTGCAGATTCTTCAAAAGGAGTGTTTCCAAAATGCTGTATCAAAACCAAGGTTCAACTCTGTTAGCTCAGGACACACATCACAAATAAGTTTCTGAGAATGCTTCTGTCTAGATTTTATATGAATTTATCCCCTTTCCAACGAATTCCTCTAAGCTATCCAAGTATCCACCTGCAGATTCTACAAAAAGAGTGTTTCCAAAATGCTGTATCAAAACAAAGTTTCAACTCTGTTAGTTGAGGACACACATCACAAATAAGTTTCTGAGGATGCTTCTGTCTAGTTTTAATTTGAAGATATTTCCTTTCTCCCCATAGGCCTGAAAGCGCTTGAAATGTCCACTTCCAGATACTACAGAATGAGTGTTTCAAACCTGCTCTATCAAAGTGAATGTTCAATTCTGTGACTTCAATGCAAACATCACAAAGTAGTTCCTGAGAATGCTTCTCTCTACATTTTATATGTAATCCCGCTTCCAACGAAATCCTCAAAGCCATCCGAATATCCACTTTCTGATTCCACAAAAAGATTGTTTTAAAACTGCTCTGTAAAAACAAAAGTTCAAGTCTGTTAGTTGAATACACACATCACAAACAAGTTTCTGACAATGCTTCTGTCTAGTTTTTATGGGAAGATATTTCCTTTTTCACCATAGGCCTCAAAGCGCTCGACATGTCCACTTCCAGATAGTGCAGAAAGAGTGTTTCAAACGTGCTCTATAAAAGAGAATATTCAACTCTGTGACTTGAATGGAAACATCACAAAGCAGTTTCTGAGAATGCCTCCGTCTAGATTTTATATGAAGATATTCCCGTTTCCAACGAAATCTTCAAATCTATCTAAATATCAACTTGCAGATTCTACTAAAGGAATGTTTCCAAAATGCTGTATCCAAGCAATGGTTCAACTCTGTTAATTGAGGACATACAGCACAAAGAAGTTTCTGAGAATGCTTCTGTCTAGATTTTATATGAAGATATCCCGTTTCCAACGAAATCCTCAAAGCTATCCAAATATCCACTTGCAGATTCTACAAAAAGATTGTTTCAAAACTGCTGTGTCAAAAGGAAGGTTCAACTCTGTTACTTGAGTACACACATCAAAAAGAAGTTTCTGAGAATGCTTGTTTCTGGTTTTTATGAGAAGATATTTCCTTTTTCACCATAGGCCTCAAAGCGCTGCAAATGTCCACTTCCAAATATTACAAAAAGAGTGTTTCAAACCTGCTCTATGAAAGGAAGTTTTCAACTCTATGATTGGAATGCAAACATCACAGAGAAGTTTCTGAGAATGCATCTGTCTTGAGTTTCTATGAAGAAATTCCCGTTTCCAACGAAATCTGAAAATCTATCCAAATATCCACCTGCAGATTCTACAAAAGGAGTGTTTCCAAAATGCTGTATCAAAACAAAGGTTCAACTGTGTTCGTTTAGGACACACATCACAAATAAGTTTCTGAGAATCCTTCTGTCTAGTTTTTATTTGAAGATATTTCCTTTCTCCCCATAGGCCTGAAAGCGCTTGAAATGTCCACTTCCAGATACTACAGAAAGAGTGTTTCAAACCTGCACTGTGAAAAGGAATGTTCAATTCTGTGACTTGAATGCAAACATCAGAAAGAAGTTCCTGAGAATGCTTCTCTCTAGATTTTATACGTCATCCCGTTTCCAACGAAATCCACAAAGCTATCCAATTATCCACTTTCAGATTCCACAAAAAGAGTGTTTTAAAATTGCTCTGTAACACAAATGTTCCACTCTGGTAGTTGAATACACACATCACAAACAAGTTTCTGAGACGGCTTCTGTCTAGTTTTTATGGGAAGATATTTCCTTTTAACCATAGGCCTCAAAGAGCTCGAAATATCCACTTCCAGGTAGTGCCGAAAGAGTGTTTCAAACCTACTCTATAAAAGGGAATATTCAACTCTGTGACTTGAATGCAAACATCACAAAGCAGTTTCTGAGAATGCTTCCGTCTAGATTTTCTATGAAGATATTCCCGTTTCCAACGAAATCTTCAAAGCTATCTAAATATCAACTTGCAGATTCTACTAAAGGAATGTCTCCAAAATGCTGTATCCAAACAAAGGTTCAGCTCTGTGAATTGAGGACATACAACACAAAGAAGTTTCTGAGAATGCTCCTGTCTGGATTTTATAGGAAGATAACCCGTTTCCAACGAAATCCTCAAAGCTATCCAAATATCCACTTGCAGATTCTACCAAAAGAGTGTTTCAAAACTGCTCTGTCAAAAGGAAGGTTCAACACTGTTACTTGAGTACACACAACACAAAGAAGTTTCTGAGAATGCTTCTTTCTGGTTTTTATGAGAAGACATTTCCTTTTTCACCATAGGCCTCAAAGCGCTCGAAATGTCCGCTTCCAGGTAGTGCAGAAAGAGTGTTTCAAACCTGCTCTATGAAAGGAAGTGTTCAACTCTACTGAGTTGAATGCAAACATCACAGAGATGTTTCCGAGAATGCTTCTGTCTTGATTTTATATGAAGATATTCCGGTTTCCAACGAAATCTTCAAAGCTATCCAAATATCCACCTGCAGATTCTACAAAAGGAGTGTTTCCAAAATGCTGTATCAAAACAAAGGTTCAACTCTGTTAGTTGAGGACACACATCACAAATAAGTTTCTGAGAATGCTTCTGTCTAGTTTTTATTTGAAGGTATTTCCTTTCTCTCCATAGGCCTGAAAGCGCTTGAAATGCCCACTTCCAGATACTAGAGAAAGAGTGTTTCAAACCTGCTCTATGAAAGGGAATGTTCAATTCTGTGACTTGAATGCAAACATCACAAAGAAGTTCCTGAGAATGCTTCTCTCTAGATACTATATGTCATCCCGTTTCCAACGAAATCCTCAAAGCTATCCAAATATCCACTTGCAGATTCTACAAAAAGAGTGTTTCAAAACTGCTCTGTCAAAAGGATGGTTCAACACTGTTACATGAGTACACACAACACAAAGAAGTTTCTGAGAATGCTTCTTTCTGGTTTCTATGAGAAGATATTTCCTTTTTCACCATAGGACTCAAAGCGCTCGAAATGTCCTCTTCCAGGTAGTGCAGAAAGAGTGTTTCAAACCGGCTCTATGAAAGGAAGTGTTCAACTCCATGAACTGAATGCAAACATCACTGAGAAGTTTCTGAGAATGCTTCTGTTTGATTTTATATGAAGAAATTCCCGTTTCCAACGAAATCTTCAGAGCTATCCACATATCCACCTGCAGATTCTACAAAAGGAGTGTTTCCAAAATGCTGTATCAAAACCAAAGTTCAACTCTGTTAGTTGAGGACACACATCACAAATAAGTTTCTGAGAATGCTTCTGTCTAGATTCTATATGAAGATATCCCCTTTCCAACGAATCCCTCTAAGCTATCCAAATATCCACCTGCAGATTCTACAAAAAGAGTGTTTCCAAAATGCTGTATCAAAACAAAGTTTCAACTCTGTTAGTTGAGGACACACATCACAAATAAGTTTGAGGATGCTTCTGTCTAGTTTTTATTCGAAGATATTTCCTTTCTCACCATAGGCCTGAAAGCGCTTGAAATGTCCACTTCCAGATACTACAGAATGAGTGTTTCAAACCTGCTCTATCAAAGTGAATGTTCAATTCTCTGACTTCAATGCAAACATCACAAAGAAGTTCCTGAGAATGCTTCTCTCTAGATTTTATACGTAATCCCGCTTCCAACGAAATCCTCAGAGCCATCCGAATATCCACTTTCTGATTCCACAAAAAGAGTGTTTTAAAACGGCTCTGTAAAAACAAAAGTTCAACTCTGTTAGTTGAATACACACATCACAAACAAGTTTCTGAGAATGCTTCTGTCTAGTTTTTATGGGAAGATATTTCCTTTTTCACCATAGGCCTCAAAGCGCTCGAAATGTCCGCTTGCAGATAGTGCAGAAAGAGTGTTTCAAACGTGCTCTATAAAAGGGAATATTCAACTCTGTGACTTGAATGGAAACATCACAAAGCAGTTTCTGAGAATGCTTCCCTCTAGATTTTATATGGAGATATTCCCTTTTCCAACGAAATCTTCAAATCTATCTAAATATCAACTTGCAGATTCTACTCAAGGAATGTTTCCAAAATGCTGTATCCAGGCAATGGTTCAACTCTGTTAATTGAGGACATACAGCACAAAGAAGTTTCTGAGAATGCTTCTGTCTAGATTTTATATGAAGATATCCCGTTTCCAACGAAATCCTCAAAGCTATCCAAATATCCACTTGCAGATTCTACAAAAAGATTGTTTCAAAACTGCTGTGTCAAGAGGAAGGTTCAACTCTGTTACTTGAGTACACACATCAAAAAGAAGTTTCTGAGAATGCTTGTTTCTGGTTTTTATGAGAAGATATTTCCTTTTTCACCATAGGCCTCAAAGCGCTGCAAATGTCCACTTCCAAATATTACAAAAAGAGTGTTTCAAACCTGCTCTATGAAAGGAAGTTTTCAACTCTATGAGTGGAATGCAAACATCACAGAGAAGTTTCTGAGAATGCATCTGTCTTGAGCTTCTATGAAGAAATTCCCGTTTCCAACGAAATCTTAAAATCTATCCAAATATCCACCTGCAGATCCTACAAAAGGAGTGTTTCCAAAATGCTGTATCAAAACAAAGGTTCAACTGTGTTCGTTTAGGACACACATCACAAATAAGTTTCTGAGAATCCTTCTGTCTAGTTTTTATTTGAAGATATTTTCTTTCTCCCCATAGGCCTGAAAGCGCTTGAAATGTCCACTTCCAGATACTACAGAAAGAGTGTTTCAAACCTGCACTATGAAAAGGAATGTTCAATTCTGTGACTTGAATGCAAACATCAGAAAGAAGTTCCTGAGAATGCTTCTCTCTAGATTTTATACGTCATCCCGTTTCCAACGAAATCCACAAAGCTATCCAATTATCCACTTTCAGATTCCACAAAAAGAGTGTTTTAAAACTGCTCTGTAAAAAGAAATGTTCAACGCTCTTAGTTGAATACACACATCTCAAACAAGTTTTCTGAGAAGGCTTCCGTCTAGTTTTTATGGGAAGATATTTCCTTTTTCACCATAGGCCTCAAAGCGCTCGAAATCTCCATTTCCAGGGAGTGCAGAAAGAGTGTTTCAAACCTGCTCTGTAAAAGAATATTTAACTCTGTGACTTGAATGCAAACATCACAAAGCAGTTTCTGACAATGCTTCCGTCTAGATTTTTTATGAAGATATTCCCGTTTCCAACGAAATCTTCAAAGCTATCTAAATATCAACTTGCAGATTCTACTAAAGGAATGTTTCCAAAATGCTGTATCCAAACAAAGGTTCAACTCTGTGAATTGAGGACATACAGCACAAAGAAGTTTCTGAAAATGCTTCTGTCTAGATTTAATATGAAGATAACCCGTTTCCAACGAAATCCTCAAAGCTATCCAAATATCCACTTGCAGATTCTACAAAAAGAGTGTTTCAAAACTGCTCTGTCAAAAGGATGCTTCAACACTGTTACATGAGTACACACAACACAAAGAAGTTTCTGAGAACGCTTCTTTCTGGTTTCTATGAGAACATATTTCCTTTTTCACCATAGGACTCAAAGCGCTCGAAATGTCCTCTTCCAGGTAGTGCAGAAAGAGTGTTTCAAACCTGCTCTATGAAAGGAAGTGTTCAACTCCATGAGCTGAATGCAAACATCACTGAGAAGTTTCTGAGAATGCTTCTGTTTGATTTTATATGAAGAAATTCCCGTTTCCAACGAAATCTTCAGAGCTATCCACATATCCACCTGCAGATTCTACAAAAGGAGTGTTTCCAAAATGCTGTATCAAAACCAAGGTTCAACTCTGTTAGTTGAGGACACACATCACAAATAAGTTTCTGAGAATGCTTCTGTCTAGATTTTATATGAAGATATCCCCTTTCCAACGAATCCCTCTAAGCTATCCAAATATCCACCTGCAGATTCTACAAAAAGAGTGTTTCCAAAATGCTGTATCAAAACAAAGTTTCAACTCTGTTAGTTGAGGACACACATCACAAATAAGTTTGAGGATGCTTCTGTCTAGTTTTTATTCGAAGATATTTCCTTTCTCACCATAGGCCTGAAAGCGCTTGAAATGTCCACTTCCAGATACTACAGAATGAGTGTTTCAAACCTGCTCTATCAAAGTGAATGTTCAATTCTGTGACTTCAATGCAAACATCACAAAGAAGTTCCTGAGAATGCTTCTCTCTAGATTTTATACGTAATCCCGCTTCCAACGAAATCCTCAGAGCCATCCGAATATCCACTTTCTGATTCCACAAAAAGAGTGTTTTAAAACGGCTCTGTAAAAACAAAAGTTCAACTCTGTTAGTTGAATACACACATCACAAACAAGTTTCTGAGAATGCTTCTGTCTAGTTTTTATGGGAAGATATTTCCTTTTTCACCATAGGCCTCAAAGCGCTCGAAATGTCCACTTCCAGATAGCGCAGAAAGAGTGTTTCAAACGTGCTCTATAAAAGGGAATATTCAACTCTGTGACTTGAATGGAAACATCACAAAGCAGTTTCTGAGAATGCTTCCCTCTAGATTTTATATGGAGATATTCCGTTTTCGAACGAAATCTTCAAATCTATCTAAATATCAACTTGCAGATTCTACTCAAGGAATGTTTCCAAAATGCTGTATGCAAGCAATGGTTCAACTCTGTTAATTGAGGTCATACAGCACAAAGAAGTTTCTGAGAATGCTTCTGTCTAGATTTTATATGAAGATATCCCGTTTCCAACGAAATCCTCAAAGCTATCCAAATATCCACTTGCAGATTCTACAAAAAGATTGTTTCAAAACTGCTGTGTCAAGAGGAAGGTTCAACTCTGTTACTTGAGTACACACATCAAAAAGAAGTTTCTGAGAATGCTTGTTTCTGGTTTTTATGAGAAGATATTTCCTTTTTCACCATAGGCCTCAAAGCGCTGCAAATGTCCACTTCCACATATTACAAAAAGAGTGTTTCAAACCTGCTCTATGAAAGGAAGTTTTCAACTCTATGAGTGGAATGCAAACATCACAGAGAAGTTTCTGAGAATGCATCTGTCTTGAGTTTATATGAAGAAATTCCCGTTTCCAATGAAATCTTAAAATCTATCCAAATATCCACCTGCAGATTCTACAAAAGGAGTGTTTCCAAAATGCTGTATCAAAACAAAGGTTCAACTGTGTTCGTTTAGGACACACATCACAAATAAGTTTCTGAGAATCCTTCTCTCTAGTTTTTATTTGAAGATATTTCCTTTCTCCCCGTAGGCCTGAAAGCGCTTGAAATGTCCACTTCCAGATACTACAGAAAGAGTGTTTCAAACCTGCACTCTGAAAAGGAATGTTCAATTCTGTGACTTGAATGCAAACATCAGAAAGAAGTTCCTGAGAATGCTTCTCTCTAGATTTTATACGTCATCCCGTTTCCAACGAAATCCACAAAGCTATCCAATTATCCACTTTCAGATTCCACAAAGAGTGTTTTAAAATTGCTCTGTAACAGAAATGTTCAACTCTGTTAGTTGAATACACACATCACAAACAAGTTTCTGAGACGGCTTCTGTCTAGTTTTTATGGGAAGATATTTCCTTTTAACCATAGGCCTCAAAGAGCTCGAAATATCCACTTCCAGGTAGTGCCGAAAGAGTGTTTCAAACCTACTCTATAAAAGGGAATATTCAACTCTGTGACTTGAATGCAAACATCACAAAGCAGTTTCTGAGAATGCTTCCGTCTAGATTTTCTATGAAGATATTCCCGTTTCCAACGAAATCTTCAAAGCTATCTAAATATCAACTTGCAGATTCTACTAAAGGAACGTCTCCAAAATGCTGTATCCAAACAAAGGTTCAGCTCTGTGAATTGAGGACATACAGCACAAAGAAGTTTCTGAGAATGCTCCTGTCTGGATTTTATATGAAGATAACCCGTTTCCAACGAAATCCTCAAAGCTCTCCAAATATCCACTTGCAGATTCTACCAAAAGAGTGTTTCAAAACTGCTCTGTCAAAAGGAAGGTTCAACACTGTTACTTGAGTACACACAACACAAAGAAGTTTCTGAGAATGCTTCTTTCTGGTTTTTATGAGAAGATATTTCCTTTTTCACCATAGGCCTCAAAGCGCTCGAAATGTCCACTTCCAGGTAGTGCAGAAAGAGTGTTTCAAACCTGCTCTATGAAAGGAAGTGTTCAACTCTACTGAGTTGAATGCAAACATCACAGAGATGTTTCCGAGAATGCTTCTGTCTTGATTTTATATGAAGATATTCCGGTTTCCAACGAAATCTTCAAAGCTATCCAAATATCCACCTGCAGATTCTACAAAAGGAGTGTTTCCAAAATGCTGTATCAAAACAAAGGTTCAACTCTGTTAGTTGAGGACACACATCACAAATAAGTTTCTGAGAATGCTTCTGTCTAGTTTTTATTTGAAGGTATTTCCTTTCTCTCCATAGGCCTGAAAGCGCTTGAAATGCCCACTTCCAGATACTAGAGAAAGAGTGTTTCAAACCTGCTCTATGAAAGGGAATGTTCAATTCTGTGACTTGAATGCAAACATCACAAAGAAGTTCCTGAGAATGCTTCTCTCTAGATATTATATGTCATCCCGTTTCCAACGAAATCCTCAAAGCTATCCAAATATCCACTTGCAGATTCTACAAAAAGAGTGTTTCAAAACTCCTCTGTCAAAAGGATGGTTCAACACTGTTACATGAGTACACACAACACAAAGAAGTTTCTGAGAATGCTTCTTTCTGGTTTCTATGAGAAGATATTTCCTTTTTCACCATAGGACTCAAAGCGCTCGAAATGTCCTCTTCCAGGTAGTGCAGAAAGAGTGTTTCAAACCTGCTCTATGAAAGGAAGTGTACAACTCCATGAGCTGAATGCAAACATCACTGAGAAGTTTCTGAGAATGCTTCTGTTTGATTTTATATGAAGAAATTCCCGTTTCCAACGAAATCTTCAAAGCTATCCACATATTCACCTGCAGATTCTACAAAAGGAGTGTTTCCAAAATGCTGTATCAAAACCAAGGTTCAACTCTGTTAGTTGAGGACACACATCACAAATAAGTTTCTGAGAATGCTTCTGTCTAGATTTTATATGAAGATATCCCCTTTCCAACGAATCCCTCTAAGCTATCCAAATATCCACCTGCAGATTCTACAAAAAGAGTGTTTCCAAAATGCTGTATCAAAACAAAGTTTCAACTCTGTTAGTTGAGGACACACATCACAAATAAGTTTGAGGATGCTTCTGTCTAGTTTTTATTCGAAGATATTTCCTTTCTCACCATAGGCCTGAAAGCGCTTGAAATGTCCACTTCCAGATACTACAGAATGAGTGTTTCAAACCTGCTCTATCAAAGTGAATGTTCAATTCTGTGACTTCAATGCAAACATCACAAAGAAGTTCCTGAGAATGCTTCTCTCTAGATTTTATACGTAATCCCGCTTCCAACGAAATCCTCAGAGCCATCCGAATATCCACTTTCTGATTCCACAAAAAGAGTGTTTTAAAACGGCTCTGTAAAAACAAAAGTTCAACTCTGTTAGTTGAATACACACATCACAAACAAGTTTCTGAGAATGCTTCTGTCTAGTTTTTATGGGAAGATATTTCCTTTTTCACCATAGGCCTCAAAGCGCTCGAAATGTCCACTTCCAGATAGCGCAGAAAGAGTGTTTCAAACGTGCTCTATAAAAGGGAATATTCAACTCTGTGACTTGAATGGAAACATCACAAAGCAGTTTCTGAGAATGCTTCCCTCTAGATTTTATATGGAGATATTCCGTTTTCGAACGAAATCTTCAAATCTATCTAAATATCAACTTGCAGATTCTACTCAAGGAATGTTTCCAAAATGCTGTATGCAAGCAATGGTTCAACTCTGTTAATTGAGGTCATACAGCACAAAGAAGTTTCTGAGAATGCTTCTGTCTAGATTTTATATGAAGATATCCCGTTTCCAACGAAATCCTCAAAGCTATCCAAATATCCACTTGCAGATTCTACAAAAAGATTGTTTCAAAACTGCTGTGTCAAAAGGAAGGTTCAACTCTGTTACTTGAGTACACACATCAAAAAGAAGTTTCTGAGAATGCTTGTTTCTGGTTTTTATGAGAAGATATTTCCTTTTTCACCATAGGCCTCAAAGCGCTGCAAATGTCCACTTCCAAATATTACAAAAAGAGTGTTTCAAACCTGCTCTATGAAAGGAAGTTTTCAACTCTATGAGTGGAATGCAAACATCACAGAGAAGTTTCTGAGAATGCATCTGTCTTGAGTTTCTATGAAGAAATTCCCGTTTCCAACGAAATCTTAAAATCTATCCAAATATCCACCTGCAGATTCTACAAAAGGAGTGTTTCCAAAAGGCTGTATCAAAACAAAGGTTCAACTGTGTTCGTTTAGGACACACATCACCAATAAGTTTCTGAGAATCCTTCTGTCTAGTTTTTATTTGAAGATATTTCCTTTCTCCCCATAGGCCTGAAAGCGCTTGAAATGTCCACTTCCAGATACTACAGAAAGAGCGTTTCAAACCTGCACTATGAAAAGGAATGTTCAATTCTGTGACTTGAATGCAAACATCAGAAAGAAGTTCCTGAGAATGCTTCTCTCTAGATTTTATACGTCATCCCGTTTCCAACGAAATCCACAAAGCTATCCAATTATCCACTTTCAGATTTCACAGAAAGAGTGTTTTAAAATTGCTCAGTAACAGAAATGTTCAACTCTGTTAGTTGAATACACACATCACAAACAAGTTTCTGAGACGGCTTCTGTCTAGTTTTTATGGGAAGATATTTCCTTTTAAGCATAAGCCTCAAAAAGCTCGAAATATCCACTTCCAGGTAGTGCCGAAAGAGTGTTTCAAACCTACTCTATAAAAGGGAATATTCAACTCTGTGACTTGAATGCAAACATCACAAAGCAGTTTATGAGAATGCTTCCGTCTAGATTTTCTATGAAGATATTCCCGTTTCCAATGAAATCTTCAAAGCTATCTAAATATCAACTTGCAGATTCTACTAAAGGAATGTTTCCAAAATGCTGTATCCAAACAAAGGTTCAGCTCTGTGAATTGAGGACATACAGCACAAAGAAGTTTCTGTGAATGCTCCTGTCTGGATTTTATATGAAGATAACCCGTTTCCAACGAAATCCTCAAAGCTATCCAAATATCCACTTGCAGATTCTACCAAAAGAGTGTTTCAAACCTGCTCTGTCAAAAGGAAGGTTCAACACTGTTACTTGAGTACACACAACACAAAGAAGTTTCTGAGAATGCTTCTTTCTGGTTTTTATGAGAAGATATTTCCTTTTTCACCATAGGCCTCAAAGCGCTCGAAATGTCCGCTTCCAGGTAGTGCAGAAAGAGTGTTTCAAACCTGCTCTATGAAAGGAAGTGTTCAACTCCATGAGCTGAATGCAAACATCACAGAGAAGTTTCTGAGAATGCTTCTGTTTGATTTTATATGAAGAAATTCCCGTTTCCAACGAAATCTTCAAAGCTATCCACATATCCACCTGCAGATTCTTCAAAAGGAGTGTTTCCAAAATGCTGTATCAAAACCAAGGTTCAACTCTGTTAGTTGAGGACACACATCACAAATAAGTTTCTGAGAATGCTTCTGTCTAGATTTTATATGAATTTATCCCCTTTCCAACGAATCCCACTAAGCTATCCAAGTATCCACCTGCAGATTCTACAAAAAGAGTGTTTCCAAAATGCTGTATCAAAACAAAGTTTCAACTGCTGTTAGTTGAGGACACACATCACAAATAAGTTTCTGAGGATGCTTCTGTCTAGTTTTAATTTGAAGATATTTCCTTTCTCCCCATAGGCCTGAAAGCACTTGAAATGTCCACTTCCAGATACTACAGAATGAGTGTTTCAAACCTGCTCTATCAAAGTGAATGTTCAATTCTGTGACTTCAATGCAAACATCACAAAGTAGTTCCTGAGAATGCTTCTCTCTACATTTTATATGTAATCCCGCTTCCAACGAAATCCTCAAAGCCATCCGAATATCCACTTTCTGATTCCACAAAAAGATTGTTTTAAAACTGCTCTGTAAAAACAAAAGTTCAAGTCTGTTAGTTGAATACACACATCACAAACAAGTTTCTGAGAATGCTTCTGTATAGTTTTTATGGGAAGATATTTCCTTTTTCACCATAGGCCTCAAAGCGCTCGAAATGTCCACTTCCAGATAGTGCCGAAAGAGTGTTTCAAACGTGCTCTATAAAAGGGAATATTCAACTCTGTGACTTGAATGGAAACATCACAAAGCAGTTTCTGAGAATGCCTCCGTCTAGATTTTATATGAAGATATTCCCGTTTCCAACGAAATCTTCAAAGCTATCTAAATATCAACTTGCAGATTCTACTAAAGGAATGTTTCCAAAATGCTGTATCCAAGCAATGGTTCAACTCTGTTAATTGAGGACATACAGCACAAAGAAGTTTCTGAGAATGCTTTCTGTCTAGATTTTATATGAAGATATCCCGTTTCCAACGAAATCCTCAAAGCTATCCAAATATCCACTTGCAGATTCTACAAAAAGATTGTTTCAAAACTGCTGTGTCAAAAGGAAGGTTCAACTCTGTTACTTGAGTACACACATCAAAAAGCAGTTTCTGAGAATGCTTGTTTCTGGTTTTTATGAGAAGATATTTCCTTTTTCACCATAGGCCTCAAAGCGCTGCAAATGTCCACTTCCAAATATTACAAAAAGAGTGTTTCAAACCTGCTCTATGAAAGGAAGTTTTCAACTCTGTGAGTGGAATGCAAACATCACAGAGAAGTTTCTGAGAATGCATCTGTCTTGAGTTTATATGAAGAAATTCCCGTTTCCAATGAAATCTTAAAATCTATCCAAATATCCACCTGCAGATTCTACAAAAGGAGTGCTTCCAAAATGCTATATCAAAACAAAGGTTCAACTGTGTTCGTTGAGAACACACATCACAAATAAGTTTCTGAGAATCCTTCTGTCTAGTTTTTATTTGAAGATATTTCCTTTCTCCCCGTAGGCCTGAAAGTGCTTGAAATGTCCACTTCCAGATACTACAGAAAGAGTGTTTCAAACCTGCACTCTGAAAAGGAATGTTCAATTCTGTGACTTGAATGCAAACATCAGAAAGAAGTTCCTGAGAATGCTTCTCTCTAGATTTTATACGTCATCCCGTTTCCAATGAAATCCACAAAGCTATCCAATTATCCACTTTCAGATTCCACAAAGAGTGTTTTAAAATTGCTCTGTAACAGAAATGTTCAACTCTGTTAGTTGAATACACACATCACAAACAAGTTTCTGAGACGGCTTCTGTCTAGTTTTTATGGGAAGATATTTCCTTTTAACCATAGGCCTCAAAGAGCTCGAAATATCCACTTCCAGGTAGTGCCGAAAGAGTGTTTCAAACCTACTCTATAAAAGGGAATATTCAACTCTGTGACTTGAATGCAAACATCACAAAGCAGTTTCTGAGAATGCTTCCGTCTAGATTTTCTATGAAGATATTCCCGTTTCCAACGAAATCTTCAAAGCTATCTAAATATCAACTTGCAGATTCTACTAAAGGAATGTCTCCAAAATGCTGTATCCAAACAAAGGTTCAGCTCTGTGAATTGAGGACATACAGCACAAAGAAGTTTCTGAGAATGCTCCTGTCTGGATTTTATAGGAAGATAACCCGTTTCCAATGAAATCCTCAAAGCTCTCCAAATATCCACTTGCAGATTCTACCAAAAGAGTGTTTCAAAACTGCTCTGTCAAAAGGAAGGTTCAACACTGTTACTTGAGTACACACAACACAAAGAAGTTTCTGAGAATGCTTCTTTCTGGTTTTTATGAGAAGATATTTCCTTTTTCACCATAGGCCTCAAAGCGCTCGAAATGTCCGCTTCCAGGTAGTGCAGAAAGAGTGTTTCAAACCTGCTCTATGAAAGGAAGTGTTCAACTCTACTGAGTTGAATGCAAACATCACAGAGATGTTTCCGAGAATGCTTCTGTCTTGATTTTATATGAAGATATTCCGGTTTCCAACGAAATCTTCAAAGCTATCCAAATATCCACCTGCAGATTCTACAAAAGGAGTGTTTCCAAAATGCTGTATCAAAACAAAGGTTCAACTCTGTTAGTTGAGGACACACATCACAAATAAGTTTCTGAGAATGCTTCTGTCTAGTTTTTATTTGAAGGTATTTCCTTTCTCTCCATAGGCCTGAAAGCGCTTGAAATGCCCACTTCCAGATACTAGAGAAAGAGTGTTTCAAACCTGCTCTATGAAAGGGAATGTTCAATTCTGTGACTTGAATGCAAACATCACAAAGAAGTTCCTGAGAATGCTTCTCTCTAGATATTATATGTCATCCCGTTTCCAACGAAATCCTCAAAGCTATCCAAATATCCACTTGCAGATTCTACAAAAAGAGTGTTTCAAAACTGCTCTGTCAAAAGGATGGTTCAACACTGTTACATGAGTACACACAACACAAAGAAGTTTCTGAGAATGCTTCTTTCTGGTTTCTATGAGAAGATATTTCCTTTTTCACCATAGGACTCAAAGCGCTCGAAATGTCCTCTTCCAGGTAGTGCAGAAAGAGTGTTTCAAACCGGCTCTATGAAAGGAAGTGTTCAACTCCATGAACTGAATGCAAACATCACTGAGAAGTTTCTGAGAATGCTTCTGTTTGATTTTATATGAAGAAATTCCCGTTTCCAACGAAATCTTCAGAGCTATCCACATATCCACCTGCAGATTCTACAAAAGGAGTGTTTCCAAAATGCTGTATCAAAACCAAAGTTCAACTCTGTTAGTTGAGGACACACATCACAAATAAGTTTCTGAGAATGCTTCTGTCTAGATTCTATATGAAGATATCCCCTTTCCAACGAATCCCTCTAAGCTATCCAAATATCCACCTGCAGATTCTACAAAAAGAGTGTTTCCAAAATGCTGTATCAAAACAAAGTTTCAACTCTGTTAGTTGAGGACACACATCACAAATAAGTTTGAGGATGCTTCTGTCTAGTTTTTATTCGAAGATATTTCCTTTCTCACCATAGGCCTGAAAGCGCTTGAAATGTCCACTTCCAGATACTACAGAATGAGTGTTTCAAACCTGCTCTATCAAAGTGAATGTTCAATTCTGTGACTTCAATGCAAACATCACAAAGAAGTTCCTGAGAATGCTTCTCTCTAGATTTTATATGTAATCCCGCTTCCAACGAAATCCTCAGAGCCATCCGAATATCCACTTTCTGATTCCACAAAAAGAGTGTTTTAAAACGGCTCTGTAAAAACAAAAGTTCAACTCTGTTAGTTGAATACACACATCACAAACAAGTTTCTGAGAATGCTTCTGTCTAGTTTTTATGGGAAGATATTTCCTTTTTCACCATAGGCCTCAAAGCGCTCGAAATGTCCACTTCCAGATAGCGCAGAAAGAGTGTTTCAAACGTGCTCTATAAAAGGGAATATTCAACTCTGTGACTTGAATGGAAACATCACAAAGCAGTTTCTGAGAATGCTTCCCTCTAGATTTTATATGGAGATATTCCGTTTTCGAACGAAATCTTCAAATCTATCTAAATATCAACTTGCAGATTCTACTCAAGGAATGTTTCCAAAATGCTGTATGCAAGCAATGGTTCAACTCTGTTAATTGAGGTCATACAGCACAAAGAAGTTTCTGAGAATGCTTCTGTCTAGATTTTATATGAAGATATCCCGTTTCCAACGAAATCCTCAAAGCTATCCAAATATCCACTTGCAGATTCTACAAAAAGATTGTTTCAAAACTGCTGTGTCAAAAGGAAGGTTCAACTCTGTTACTTGAGTACACACATCAAAAAGAAGTTTCTGAGAATGCTTGTTTCTGGTTTTTATGAGAAGATATTTCCTTTTTCAACATAGGCCTCAAAGCGCTGCAAATGTCCACTTCCAAATATTACAAAAAGAGTGTTTCAAACCTGCTCTATGAAAGGAAGTTTTCAACTCTATGAGTGGAATGCAAACATCACAGAGAAGTTTCTGAGAATGCATCTGTCTTGAGCTTCTATGAAGAAATTCCCGTTTCCAACGAAATTTTAAAATCTCTCCAAATATCCACCTACAGATCCTACAAAAGGAGTGTTTCCAAAATGCTGTATCAAAACAAAGGTTCAACTGTGTTCGTTTAGGACACACATCACAAATAAGTTTCTGAGAATCCTTCTGTCTAGTTTTTATTTGAAGATATTTCCTTTCTCCCCGTAGGCCTGAAAGCGCTTGAAATGTCCACTTCCAGATACTACAGAAAGAGTGTTTCAAACCTGCACTCTGAAAAGGAATGTTCAATTCTGTGACTTGAATGCAAACATCAGAAAGAAGTTCCTGAAAATGCTTCTCTCTAGATTTTATACGTCATCCCGTTTCCAACGAAATCCACAAAGCTATCCAATTATCCACTTTCAGATTCCACAAAAAGAGTGTTTTAAAATTGCTCTGTAACAGAAATGTTCAACTCTGTTAGTTGAATACACACATCACAAACAAGTTTCTGAGACGGCTTCTGTCTAGTTTTTATGGGAAGATATTTCCTTTTAACCATAGGCCTCAAAGAGCTCGAAATATCCACTTCCAGGTAGTGCCGAAAGAGTGTTTCAAACCTACTCTATAAAAGGGAATATTCAACTCTGTGACTTGAATGCAAACATCACAAAGCAGTTTCTGAGAATGCTTCCGTCTAGATTTTCTATGAAGATATTCCCGTTTCCAACGAAATCTTCAAAGCTATCTAAATATCAACTTGCAGATTCTACTAAAGGAATGTCTCCAAAATGCTGTATCCAAACAAAGGTTCAGCTCTGTGAATTGAGGACATACAACACAAAGAAGTTTCTGAGAATGCTCCTGTCTGGATTTTATAGGAAGATAACCCGTTCCCAACGAAATCCTCAAAGCTATCCAAATATCCACTTGCAGATTCTACCAAAAGAGTGTTTCAAAACTACTCTGTCAAAAGGAAGGTTCAACACTGTTACTTGAGTACACACAACACAAAGAAGTTTCTGAGAATGCTTCTTTCTGGTTTTTATGAGAAGATATTTCCTTTTTCACCATAGGCCTCAAAGCGCTGCAAATGTCCACTTCGAAATATTACAAAAAGAGTGTTTCAAACCTGCTCTATGAAAGGAAGTTTTCAACTCTATGAGTGGAATGCAAACATCACAGAGAAGTTTCTGAGAATGCATCTGTCTTGGGTTTATATGAAGAAATTCCCGTTTCCAACGAAATCTTAAAATCTATCCAAATATCCACCTGCAGATCCTACAAAAGGAGTGTTTCCAAAATGCTGTATCAAAACAAAGGTTCAACTGTGTTCGTTTAGGACACACATCACAAATAAGTTTCTGAGAATCCTTCTGTCTAGTTTTTATTTGAAGATATTTCCTTTCTCCCCGTAGGCCTGAAAGCGCTTGAAATGTCCACTTCCAGATACTACAGAAAGAGTGTTTCAAACCTGCACTCTGAAAAGGAATGTTCAATTCTGTGACTTGAATGCAAACATCAGAAAGAAGTTCCTGAGAATGCTTCTCTCTAGATTTTATACGTCATCCCATTTCCAACGAAATCCACAAAGCTATCCAATTATCCACTTTCAGATTCCACAAAAAGAGTGTTTTAAAATTGCTCTGTAACAGAAATGTTCAACTCTGGTAGTTGAATACACACATCACAAACAAGTTTCTGAGACGGCTTCTGTCTAGTTTTTATGGGAAGATATTTCCTTTTAACCATAGGCCTCATAAGAGCTCGAAATATCCACTTCCAGGTAGTGCCGAAAGAGTGTTTCAAACCTACTCTATAAAAGGGAATATTCAACTCTGTGACTTGAATGCAAACATCACAAAGCAGTTTCTGAGAATGCTTCCGTCTAGATTTTATATGAAGATATTCCCGTTTCCAACGAAACCTTCAAAGCTATCCGAATATCCACCTGCAGATTCTACTAAAGGAATGTTTCCAAAATGCTGTATCCACACAAAGGTTCAACTCTGTTAATTGAGGACATACAGCACAAAGAAGTTTCTGAGAATGCTCCTGTCTGGATTTTATATGAAGATAACCCGTTTCCAACGAAATCCTCAAAGCTATCCAAATATCCACTTGCAGATTCTACCAAAAGAGTGTTTCAAAACTGCTCTGTCAAAAGGAAGGTTCAACACTGTTACTTGAGTACACACAACACAAAGAAGTTTCTGAGAATGCTTCTTTCTGGTTTCTATGAGAAGATATTTCCTTTTTCACCATAGGACTCAAAGCGCTCGAAATGTCCTCTTCCAGGTAGTGCAGAAAGAGTGTTTCAAACCTGCTCTATGAAAGGAAGTGTACAACTCCATGAGCTGAATGCAAACATCACTGAGAAGTTTCTGAGAATGCTTCTGTTTGATTTCATATGAAGAAATTCCCGTTTCCAACGAAATCTTCAGAGCTATCCACATATCCACCTGCAGATTCTACAAAAGGAGTGTTTCCAAAATGCTGTATCAAAACCAAGGTTCAACTCTGTTAGTTGAGGACACACATCACAAATAAGTTTCTGAGAATGCTTCTGTCTAGATTTTATGTGAAGATATCCCCTTTCCAACGAATCCCTCTAAGCTATCCAAATAGCCACCTGCAGATTCTACGAAAGGAGTGTTTCCAAAAGGCTGTATCAAAACAAAGTTTCAACTCTGTTAGTTGAGGACACACATCACAAATAAGTTTCTGAGGATGCTTCTGTCTAGTTTTTATTCGAAGGATATTTCCTTTCTCACCATAGGCCTGAAAGCGCTTGAAATGTCCACTTCCAGATACTACAGAATGAGTGTTTCAAACCTGCTCTATCAAAGTGAATGTTCAATTCTGTGACTTCAATGCAAACATCACAAAGAAGTTCCTGAGAATGCTTCTCTCCAGATTTTATACGTAATCCCGCTTCCAACGAAATCCTCAGAGCCATCCGAATATCCACTTTCTGATTCCACAAAAAGAGTGTTTTAAAACGGCTCTGTAAAAACAAAAGTTCAACTCCGTTAGTTGAATACACACATCACAAACAAGTTTCTGAGAATGCTTCTGTCTAGTTTTTATGGGAAGATATTTCCTTTTTCACCATAGGCCTCAAAGCGCTCGAAATGTCCGCTTCCAGATAGTGCAGAAAGAGTGTTTCAAACGTGCTCTATAAAAGGGAATATTCAACTCTGT
The DNA here is from genome assembly GCF_000001405.40 of Homo sapiens. NCBI lineage: Eukaryota > Metazoa > Chordata > Mammalia > Primates > Hominidae > Homo > Homo sapiens. Next base: position 50,522,464 of record NC_000004.12, on the reverse strand, counting down.
GACTTGAATGGAAACATCACAAAGCAGTTTCTGAGAATGCTTCCCTCTAGATTTTATATGGAGATATTCCCTTTTCCAACGAAATCTTCAAATCTATCTAAATATCAACTTGCAGATTCTACTCAAGGAATGTTTCCAAAATGCTGTATCCAGGCAATGGTTCAACTCTGTTAATTGAGGACATACAGCACAAAGAAGTTTCTGAGAATGCTTCTGTCTAGATTTTATATGAAGATATCCCGTTTCCAACGAAATCCTCAAAGCTATCCAAATATCCACTTGCAGATTCTACAAAAAGATTGTTTCAAAACTGCTGTGTCAAAAGGAAAGTTCAACTCTGTTACTTGAGTACACACATCAAAAAGAAGTTTCTGAGAATGCTTGTTTCTGGTTTTTATGAGAAGATATTTCCTTTTTCACCATAGGCCTCAAAGCGCTGCAAATGTCCACTTCCAAATATTACAAAAAGAGTGTTTCAAACCTGCTCTATGAAAGGAAGTTTTCAACTCTATGAGTGGAATGCAAACATCACAGAGAAGTTTCTGAGAATGCATCTGTCTTGAGCTTCTATGAAGAAATTCCCGTTTCCAACGAAATCTTAAAATCTATCCAAATATCCACCTGCAGATCCTACAAAAGGAGTGTTTCCAAAATGCTGTATCAAAACAAAGGTTCAACTGTGTTCGTTTAGGACACACATCACAAATAAGTTTCTGAGAATCCTTCTGTCTAGTTTTTATTTGAAGATATTTCCTTTCTCCCCGTAGGCCTGAAAGCGCTTGAAATGTCCACTTCCAGATACTACAGAAAGAGTGTTTCAAACCTGCACTCTGAAAAGGAATGTTCAATTCTGTGACTTGAATGCAAACATCAGAAAGAAGTTCCTGAGAATGCTTCTCTCTAGATTTTATACGTCATCCCGTTTCCAACGAAATCCACAAAGCTACCCAATTATCCACTTTCAGATTCCACAAAAAGAGTGTTTTAAAACTGCTCTGTAACCGAAATGTTCAGCTCTGTTAGTTGAATACACACATCACAAACAAGTTTCTGAGACGGCTTCTGTCTAGTTTTTATGGGAAGATATTTCCTTTTAACCATAGGCCTCAAAGAGCTCGAAATATCCACTTCCAGGTAGTGCCGAAAGAGTGTTTCAAACCTACTCTATAAAAGGGAATATTCAACTCTGTGACTTGAATGCAAACATCACAAAGCAGTTTCTGAGAATGCTTCCGTCTAGATTTTCTATGAAGATATTCCCGTTTCCAACGAAATCTTCAAAGCTATCTAAATATCAACTTGCAGATTCTACTAAAGGAATGTCTCCAAAATGCTGTATCCAAACAAAGGTTCAGCTCTGTGAATTGAGGACATACAGCACAAAGAAGTTTCTGAGAATGCTCCTGTCTGGATTTTATAGGAAGATAACCCGTTTCCAACGAAATCCTCAAAGCTATCCAAATATCCACTTGCAGATTCTACCAAAAGAGTGTTTCAAAACTGCTCTGTCTAAAGGAAGGTTCAACACTGTTACTTGAGTACACACAACACAAAGAAGTTTCTGAGAATGCTTCTTTCTGGTTTTTATGAGAAGATATTTCCTTTTTCACCATAGGCCTCAAAGTGCTCGAAATGTCCGCTTCCAGGTAGTGCAGAAAGAGTGTTTCAAACCTGCTCTATGAAAGGAAGTGTTCAACTCTACTGAGTTGAATGCAAACATCACAGAGATGTTTCCGAGAATGCTTCTGTCTTGATTTTATATGAAGATATTCCGGTTTCCAACGAAATCTTCAAAGCTATCCAAATATCCACCTGCAGATTCTACAAAAGGAGTGTTTCCAAAATGCTGTATCAAAACAAAGGTTCAACTCTGTTAGTTGAGGACACACATCACAAATAAGTTTCTGAGAATGCTTCTGTCTAGTTTTTATTTGAAGGTATTTCCTTTCTCTCCATAGGCCTGAAAGCGCTTGAAATGCCCACTTCCAGATACTAGAGAAAGAGTGTTTCAAACCTGCTCTATGAAAGGGAATGTTCAATTCTGTGACTTGAATGCAAACATCACAAAGAAGTTCCTGAGAATGCTTCTCTCTAGATATTATATGTCATCCCGTTTCCAACGAAATCCTCAAAGCTATCCAAATATCCACTTGCAGATTCTACAAAAAGAGTGTTTCAAAACTGCTCTGTCAAAAGGATGGTTCAACACTGTTACATGAGTACACACAACACAAAGAAGTTTCTGAGAATGCTTCTTTCTGGTTTCTATGAGAAGATATTTCCTTTTTCACCATAGGACTCAAAGCGCTCGAAATGTCCTCTTCCAGGTAGTGCAGAAAGAGTGTTTCAAACCGGCTCTATGAAAGGAAGTGTTCAACTCCATGAACTGAATGCAAACATCACTGAGAAGTTTCTGAGAATGCTTCTGTTTGATTTTATATGAAGAAATTCCCGTTTCCAACGAAATCTTCAGAGCTATCCACATATCCACCTGCAGATTCTACAAAAGGAGTGTTTCCAAAATGCTGTATCAAAACCAAAGTTCAACTCTGTTAGTTGAGGACACACATCACAAATAAGTTTCTGAGAATGCTTCTGTCTAGATTCTATATGAAGATATCCCCTTTCCAACGAATCCCTCTAAGCTATCCAAATATCCACCTGCAGATTCTACAAAAAGAGTGTTTCCAAAATGCTGTATCAAAACAAAGTTTCAACTCTGTTAGTTGAGGACACACATCACAAATAAGTTTGAGGATGCTTCTGTCTAGTTTTTATTCGAAGATATTTCCTTTCTCACCATAGGCCTGAAAGCGCTTGAAATGTCCACTTCCAGATACTACAGAATGAGTGTTTCAAACCTTCTCTATCAAAGTGAATGTTCAATTCTGTGACTTCAATGCAAACATCAGAAAGAAGTTCCTGAGAATGCTTCTCTCTAGATTTTATACGTAATCCCGCTTCCAACGAAATCCTCAGAGCCATCCGAATATCCACTTTCTGATTCCACAAAAAGAGTGTTTTAAAACGGCTCTGTAAAAACAAAAGTTCAACTCTGTTAGTTGAATACACACATCACAAACAAGTTTCTGAGAATGCTTCTGTCTAGTTTTTATGGGAAGATATTTCCTTTTTCACCATAGGCCTCAAAGCGCTCGAAATGTCCACTTCCAGATAGTGCAGAAAGAGTGTTTCAAACGTGCTCTATAAAAGGGAATATTCAACTCTGTGACTTGAATGGAAACATCACAAAGCAGTTTCTGAGAATGCTTCCCTCTAGATTTTATATGGAGATATTCCCTTTTCCAACGAAATCTTCAAATCTATCTAAATATCAACTTGCAGATTCTACTCAAGGAATGTTTCCAAAATGCTGTATGCAAGCAATGGTTCAACTCTGTTAATTGAGGTCATACAGCACAAAGAAGTTTCTGAGAATGCTTCTGTCTAGATTTTATATGAAGATATCCCGTTTCCAACGAAATCCTCAAAGCTATCCAAATATCCACTTGCAGATTCTACAAAAAGATTGTTTCAAAACTGCTGTGTCAAAAGGAAGGTTCAACTCTGTTACTTGAGTACACACATCAAAAAGAAGTTTCTGAGAATGCTTGTTTCTGGTTTTTATGAGAAGATATTTCCTTTTTCACCATAGGCCTCAAAGCGCTGCAAATGTCCACTTCCAAATATTACAAAAAGAGTGTTTCAAACCTGCTCTATGAAAGGAAGTTTTCAACTCTATGAGTGGAATGCAAACATCACAGAGAAGTTTCTGAGAATGCATCTGTCTTGAGCTTCTATGAAGAAATTCCCGTTTCCAACGAAATCTTAAAATCTATCCAAATATCCACCTGCAGATCCTACAAAAGGAGTGTTTCCAAAATGCTGTATCAAAACAAAGGTTCAACTGTGTTCGTTTAGGACACACATCACAAATAAGTTTCTGAGAATCCTTTCTGTCTAGTTTTTATTTGAAGATATTTCCTTTCTCCCCGTAGGCCTGAAAGCGCTTGAAATGTCCACTTCCAGATACTACAGAAAGAGTGTTTCAAACCTGCACTCTGAAAAGGAATGTTCAATTCTGTGACTTGAATGCAAACATCAGAAAGAAGTTCCTGAGAATGCTTCTCTCTAGATTTTATACGTCATCCCGTTTCCAACGAAATCCACAAAGCTATCCAATTATCCACTTTCAGATTCCACAAAGAGTGTTTTAAAATTGCTCTGTAACAGAAATGTTCAACTCTGTTAGTTGAATACACACATCACAAACAAGTTTCTGAGACGGCTTCTGTCTAGTTTTTATGGGAAGATATTTCCTTTTAACCATAGGCCTCAAAGAGCTCGAAATATCCACTTCCAGGTAGTGCCGAAAGAGTGTTTCAAACCTACTCTATAAAAGGGAATATTCAACTCTGTGACTTGAATGCAAACATCACAAAGCAGTTTCTGAGAATGCTTCCGTCTAGATTTTCTATGAAGATATTCCCGTTTCCAACGAAATCTTCAAAGCTATCTAAATATCAACTTGCAGATTCTACTAAAGGAATGTCTCCAAAATGCTGTATCCAAACAAAGGTTCAGCTCTGTGAATTGAGGACATACAGCACAAAGAAGTTTCTGAGAATGCTCCTGTCTGGATTTTATATGAAGATAACCCGTTTCCAACGAAATCCTCAAAGCTATCCAAATATCCACTTGCAGATTCTACCAAAAGAGTGTTTCAAAACTGCTCTGTCAAAAGGAAGGTTCAACACTGTTACTTGAGTACACACAACACAAAGAAGTTTCTGAGAATGCTTCTTTCTGGTTTTTATGAGAAGATATTTCCTTTTTCACCATAGGCCTCAAAGCGCTCGAAATGTCCGCTTCCAGGTAGTGCAGAAAGAGTGTTTCAAACCTGCTCTATGAAAGGAAGTGTTCAACTCTACTGAGTTGAATGCAAACATCACAGAGATGTTTCCGAGAATGCTTCTGTCTTGATTTTATATGAAGATATTCCGGTTTCCAACGAAATCTTCAAAGCTATCCAAATATCCACCTGCAGATTCTACAAAAGGAGTGTTTCCAAAATGCTGTATCAAAACAAAGGTTCAACTCTGTTAGTTGAGGACACACATCACAAATAAGTTTCTGAGAATGCTTCTGTCTAGTTTTTATTTGAAGGTATTTCCTTTCTCTCCATAGGCCTGAAAGCGCTTGAAATGCCCACTTCCAGATACTAGAGAAAGAGTGTTTCAAACCTGCTCTATGAAAGGGAATGTTCAATTCTGTGACTTGAATGCAAACATCACAAAGAAGTTCCTGAGAATGCTTCTCTCTAGATATTATATGTCATCCCGTTTCCAACGAAATCCTCAAAGCTATCCAAATATCCACTTGCAGATTCTACAAAAAGAGTGTTTCAAAACTGCTCTGTCAAAAGGATGGTTCAACACTGTTACATGAGTACACACAACACAAAGAAGTTTCTGAGAATGCTTCTTTCTGGTTTCTATGAGAAGATATTTCCTTTTTCACCATAGGACTCAAAGCGCTCGAAATGTCCTCTTCCAGGTAGTGCAGAAAGAGTGTTTCAAACCGGCTCTATGAAGGGAAGTGTTCAACTCCATGAACTGAATGCAAACATCACTGAGAAGTTTCTGAGAATGCTTCTGTTTGATTTTATATGAAGAAATTCCCGTTTCCAACGAAATCTTCAGAGCTATCCACATATCCACCTGCAGATTCTACAAAAGGAGTGTTTCCAGAATGCTGTATCAAAACCAAGGTTCAACTCTGTTAGTTGAGGACACACATCACAAATAAGTTTCTGAGAATGCTTCTGTCTAGATTTTATATGAAGATATCCCCTTTCCAACGAATCCCTCTAAGCTATCCAAATATCCACCTGCAGATTCTACAAAAAGAGTGTTTCCAAAATGCTGTATCAAAACAAAGTTTCAACTCTGTTAGTTGAGGACACACATCACAAATAAGTTTCTGAGGATGCTTCTGTCTAGTTTTTATTCGAAGATATTTCCTTTCTCACCATAGGCCTGAAAGCGCTTGAAATGTCCACTTCCAGATCCTACAGAATGAGTGTTTCAAACCTGCTCTATCAAAGTGAATGTTCAATTCTGTGACTTCAATGCAAACATCACAAAGAAGTTCCTGAGAATGCTTCTCTCTAGATTTTATATGTAATCCCGCTTCCAACGAAATCCTCAGAGCCATCCGAATATCCACTTTCTGATTCCACAAAAAGAGTGTTTTAAAACGGCTCTGTAAAAACAAAAGTTCAACTCTGTTAGTTGAATACACACATCACAAACAAGTTTCTGAGAATGCTTCTGTCTAGTTTTTACGGGAAGATATTTCCTTTTTCACCATAGGCCTCAAAGCGCTTGAAATGTCCACTTCCACATAGTGCAGAAAGAGTGTTTCAAACGTGCTCTATAAAAGAGAATATTCAACTCTGTGACTTGAATGGAAACATCACAAAGCAGTTTCTGAGAATGCTTCCCTCTAGATTTTATATGGAGATATTCCCTTTTCCAACGAAATCTTCAAATCTATCTAAGTATCAACTTGCAGATTCTACTCAAGGAATGTTTCCAAAATGCTGTATCCAAGCAATGGTTCAACTCTGTTAATTGAGGACATACAGCACAAAGAAGTTCCTGAGAATGCTTCTGTCTAGATTTTATATGAAGATATCCCGTTTCCAACGAAATCATCAAAGCTATCCAAATATCCACTTGCAGATTCTACAAAAAGATTGTTTCAAAACTGCTGTGTCAAAAGGAAGGTTCAACTCTGTTATTTGAGTACACACATCAAAAAGAAGTTTCTGAGAATGCTTGTTTCTGGTTTTTATGAGAAGATATTTCCTTTTTCACCATAGGCCTCAAAGCGCTGCAAAGGTCCACTTCCAAATATTACAAAAAGAGTGTTTCAAACCTGCTCTATGAAAGGAAGTTTTCAACTCTATGAGTGGAATGCAAACATCACAGAGAAGTTTCTGAGAATGCATCTGTCTTGAGTTTCTATGCAGAAATTCCCGTTTCCAATGAAATCTTAAAATCTATCCAAATATCCACCTGCAGATCCTACAAAAGGAGTGTTTCCAAAATGCTGTATCAAAACAAAGGTTCAACTGTGTTCGCTTAGGACACACATCACAAATAAGTTTCTGAGAATCCTTCTGTCTAGTTTTTATTTGAAGATATTTCCTTTCTCCCCATAGGCCTGAAAGCCCTTGAAATGTCCACTTCCAGAAACTACAGAAAGAGTGTTTCAAACCTGCACTCTGAAAAGGAATGTCAATTCTGTGACTTGAATGCAAACATCAGAAAGAAGTTCCTGAGAATGCTTCTCTCTAGATTTTATACGTCATCCCGTTTCCAACGAAATCCACAAAGCTATCCAATTATCCACTTTCAGATTCCACAAAAAGAGTGTTTTAAAATTGCTCTGTAACAGAAATGTTCAACTCTGTTGGTTGAATACACACATCACAAACTAGTTTCTGAGACGGCTTCTGTCTAGTTTTTATGGGAAGATATTTCCTTTTAACCATAGGCCTCAAAGAGCTCGAAATATCCACTTCCAGGTAGTGCCGAAAGAGTGTTTCAAACCTACTCTATAAAAGGGAATATTCAACTCTGTGACTTGAATGCAAACATCACAAAGCAGTTTCTGAGAATGCTTCCGTCTAGCATTTTCTATGAAGATATTCCCGTTTCCAACGAAATCTTCAAAGCTATCTAAATATCAACTTGCAGATTCTACTAAAGGAATGTCTCCAAAATGCTGTATCCAAACAAAGGTTCAGCTCTGTGAATTGAGGACATACAGCACAAAGAAGTTTCTGAGAATGCTCCTGTCTGGATTTTATATGAAGATAACCCGTTTCCAACGAAATCCTCAAAGCTATCCAAATATCCACTTGCAGATTCTACCAAAAGAGTGTTTCAAAACTGCTCTGTCAAAAGGAAGGTTCAACACTGTTACTTGAGTACACACAACACAAAGAAGTTTCTGAGAATGCTTCTTTCTGGTTTTTATGAGAAGACATTTCCTTTTTCACCATAGGCCTCAAAGCGCTCGAAATGTCCACTTCCAGGTAGTGCAGAAAGAGTGTTTCAAACCTGCTCTATGAAAGGAAGTGTTCAACTCTACTGAGTTGAATGCAAACATCACAGAAGATGTTTCCGAGAATGCTTCTGTCTTGATTTTATAGGAAGATATTCCGGTTTCCAACGAAATCTTCAAAGCTATCCAAATATCCACCTGCAGATTCTACAAAAGGAGTGTTTCCAAAATGCTGTATCAAAACAAAGGTTCAACTCTGTTAGTTGAGGACACACATCACAAATAAGTTTCTGAGAATGCTTCTGTCTAGTTTTTATTTGAAGGTATTTCCTTTCTCTCCATAGGCCTGAAAGCGCTTGAAATGCCCACTTCCAGATACTAGAGAAAGAGTGTTTCAAACCTGCTCTATGAAAGGGAATGTTCAATTCTGTGACTTGAATGCAAACATCACAAAGAAGTTCCTGAGAATGCTTCTCTCTAGATATTATATGTCATCCCGTTTCCAACGAAATCCTCAAAGCTATCCAAATATCCACTTGCAGATTCTACAAAAAGAGTGTTTCAAAACTCCTCTGTCAAAAGGATGGTTCAACACTGTTACATGAGAACACACAACACAAAGAAGTTTCTGAGAATGCTTCTTTCTGGTTTCTATGAGAAGATATTTCCTTTTTCACCATAGGACTCAAAGCGCTCGAAATGTCCTCTTCCAGGTAGTGCAGAAAGAGTGTTTCAAACCTGCTCTATGAAAGGAAGTGTACAACTCCATGAGCTGAATGCAAACATCACTGAGAAGTTTCTGAGAATGCTTCTGTTTGATTTTATATGAAGAAATTCCCGTTTCCAACGAAATCTTCAGAGCTATCCACATATCCACCTGCAGATTCTACAAAAGGAGTGTTTCCAAAATGCTGTATCAAAACCAAGGTTCAACTCTGTTAGTTGAGGACACACATCACAAATAAGTTTCTGAGAATGCTTCTGTCTAGATTTTATATGAAGATATCCCCTTTCCAACGAATCCCTCTAAGCTATCCAAATATCCACCTGCAGATTCTACAAAAAGAGTGTTTCCAAAATGCTGTATCAAAACAAAGTTTCAACTCTGTTAGTTGAGGACACACATCACAAATAAGTTTGAGGATGCTTCTGTCTAGTTTTTATTCGAAGATATTTCCTTTCTCACCATAGGCCTGAAAGCGCTTGAAATGTCCACTTCCAGGTACTACAGAATGAGTGTTTCAATCCTGCTCTATCAAAGTGAATGTTCAATTCTGTGACTTCAATGCAAACATCACAAAGAAGTTCCTGAGAATGCTTCTCTCTAGATTTTATATGTAATCCCGCTTCCAACGAAATCCTCAGAGCCATCCGAATATCCACTTTCTGATTCCACAAAAAAGGTGTTTTAAAACGGCTCTGTAAAAACAAAAGTTCAAGTCTGTTAGTTGAATACACACATCACAAACAAATTTCTGAGAATGCTTCTGTCTAGTTTTTATGGGAAGATATTTCCTTTTTCACCATAGGCCTCAAAGCGCTCGAAATGTCCACTTCCAGATAGTGCAGAAAGAGTGTTTCAAACGTGCTCTATAAAAGGGAATATTCAACTCTGTGACTTGAATGGAAACATCACAAAGCAGTTTCTGAGAATGCTTCCGTCTAGATTTTCTATGAAGATATTCCCTTTTCCAACGAAATCTTCAAATCTATCTAAATATCAACTTGCAGATTCTACTAAAGGAATGTTTCCAAAATGCTGTATCCAAGCAATGGTTCAACTCTGTTAATTGAGGACATACAGCACAAAGAAGTTTCTGAGAATGCTTCTGTCTAGATTTTATATGAAGATATCCCGTTTCCAACGAAATCCTCAAAGCTATCCAAATATCCACTTGCAGATTCTACAAAAAGATTGTTTCAAAACTGCTGTGTCAAAAGGAAGGTTCAACTCTGTTACTCGAGTACACACATCAAAAAGAAGTTTCTGAGAATGCTCGTTTCTGGTTTTTATAAGAAGATATTTTTTTTTCACCATAGGCCTCAAAGCGCTGCAAATGTCCACTTCCAAATATTACAAAAAGAGTGTTTCAAACCTGCTCTATGAAAGGAAGTTTTCAACTCTATGAGTGGAATGCAAACATCACAGGGAAGTTTCTGAGAATGCATCTGTCTTGAGTTTATATGAAGAAATTCCCGTTTCCAACGAAATCTTAAAATCTATCCAAATATCCACCTGCAGATTCTACAAAAGGAGTGTTTCCAAAATGCTGTATCAAAACAAAGGTTCAACTGTGTTCGTTTAGGGCACACATCACAAATAAGTTTCTGAGAAGTCTTCTGTCTAGTTTTTATTTGAAGATATTTCCTTTCTCCCCATAGGCCTGAAAGCGCTTGAAATGTCCACTTCCAGATACTACAGAAAGAGTGTTTCAAACCTGCACTGTGAAAAGGAATGTTCAATTCTGTGACTTGAATGCAAACATCAGAAAGAAGTTCCTGAGAATGCTTCTCTCTAGATTTTATACGTAATCCCGTTTCCAACGTAATCCACAAAGCTATCCAATTATCCACTTTCAGATTCCACAAAAAGAGTGTTTTAAAATTGCTCTGTAACAGAAATGTTCAACTCTGTTAGTTGAATACACACATCACAAACAAGTTTCTGAGACGGCTTCTGTCTAGTTTTTATGGGAAGATATTTCCTTTTAACCATAGGCCTCAAAGAGCTTGAAATATCCACTTCCAGGTAGTGCCGAAAGAGTGTTTCAAACCTACACTATAAAAGGGAATATTCAACTCTGTGACTTGAATGCAAACATCACAAAGCAGTTTATGAGAATGCTTTCCGTCTAGATTTTTTATGAAGATATTCCCGTATCCAAGGAAATCTTCAAAGCTATCTAAATATCAACTTGCAGATTCTACTAAAGGAATGTTTCCAAAATGCTGTATCCAAACAAAGGTTCAACTCTGTGAATTGAGGACATACAGCACAAAGAAGTTTCTGAGAATGCTTCTGTCTAGATTTAATATGAAGATAAACCGTTTCCAACGAAATCCTCAAAGCTATCCAAATATCCACTTGCAGATTCTACAAAAAGAGTGTTTCAAAACTGCTCTGTCAAAAGGATGGTTCAACACTCTTACATGAGTACACACAACACAAAGAAGTTTCTGAGAACGCTTCTTTCTGGTTTTTATGAGAAGATATTTCCTTTTTCACCATAGGCCTCAAAGCGCTCGAAATGTCCACTTCCTGGTAGTGCAGAAAGAGTGTTTCAAACCTGCTCTATGAAAGGAAGTGTTCAACTCCATGAGCTGAATGCAAACATCACAGAGAAGTTTCTGAGAATGCTTCTGTTTGATTTTATATGAAGAAATTCCCGTTTCCAACGAAATCTTCAGAGCTATCCACATATCCACATGCAGATTCTACAAAAGGAGTGTTTCCAAAATGCTGTATCAAAACCAAGGTTCAACTCTGTTAGTTGAGGACACACATCACAAATAAGTTTCTGAGAATGCTTCTGTCTAGATTTTATATGAAGATATCCCCTTTCCAACGAATCCCTCTAAGCTATCCAAATATCCACCTGCAGATTCTACAAAAAGAGTGTTTCCAAAATGCTGTATCAAAACAAAGTTTCAACTCTGTTAGTTGAGGACACACATCACAAATAAGTTTCTGAGGATGCTTCTGTCTAATTTTTTTGAAGATATTTCCTTTCTCCCCATAGGCCTGAAAGCGCTTGAATTCTCCGCTTCCAGATACTACAGAATGAGTGTTTCAAACCTGCTCTATCAAAGTGAATGTTCAATTCTGTGACTTCAATGCAAACATCACAAAGTAGTTCCTGAGAATGCTTCTCTCTAGATTTTACATGTAATCCCGCTTCTAACGAAATCCTCAAAGCCATCCGAATATCCACTTTCTGATTCCACAAAAAGATTGTTTTAAAACTGCTCTGTAAAAACAAAAGTTCAAGTCTGTTAGTTGAATACACACATCACAAACAAGTTTCTGAGAATGCTTCTGTCTAGTTTTTATGGGAAGATATTTCCTTTTTCACCATAGGCCTCACAGCGCTCGAAATGTCCACTTCCAGATGGTGCAGAAAGAGTGTTTCAAACGTGCTCTATAAAAGAGAATATTCAACTCTGTGACTTGAATGGAAACATCACAAAGCAGTTTCTGAGAATGCCTCCGTCTAGATTTTCTATGAAGATATTCCCGTTTCCAACGAAATCTTCAAAGCTATCTAAATATCAACTTGCAGATTCTACTAAAGGAATGTCTCCAAAATGCTGTATCCAAACAAAGGTTCAGCTCTGTGAATTGAGGACATACAGCACAAAGAAGTTTCTGAGAATGCTCCTGTCTGGATTTTATAGGAAGATAACCCGTTTCCAACGAAATCCTCAAAGCTATCCAAATATCCACTTGCAGATTCTACCAAAAGAGTGTTTCAAAACTGCTCTGTCAAAAGGAAGGTTCAACACTGTTACTTGAGTACACACAACACAAAGAAGTTTCTGAGAATGCTTCTTTCTGGTTTTTATGAGAAGATATTTCCTTTTTCACCATAGGCCTCAAAGCGCTCGAAATGTCCGCTTCCAGGTAGTGCAGAAAGAGTGTTTCAAACCTGCTCTATGAAAGGGAAGTGTTCAACTCTACTGAGTTGAATGCAAACATCACAGAGATGTTTCCGAGAATGCTTCTGTCTTGATTTTATATGAAGATATTCCGGTTTCCAACGAAATCTTCAAAGCTATCCAAATATCCACCTGCAGATTCTACAAAAGGAGTGTTTCCAAAATGCTGTATCAAAACAAAGGTTCAACTCTGTTAGTTGAGGACACACATCACAAATAAGTTTCTGAGAATGCTTCTGTCTAGTTTTTATTTGAAGGTATTTCCTTTCTCTCCATAGGCCTGAAAGCGCTTGAAATGCCCACTTCCAGATACTAGAGAAAGAGTGTTTCAAACCTGCTCTATGAAAGGGAATGTTCAATTCTGTGACTTGAATGCAAACATCACAAAGAAGTTCCTGAGAATGCTTCTCTCTAGATATTATATGTCATCCCGTTTCCAACGAAATCCTCAAAGCTATCCAAATATCCACTTGCAGATTCTACAAAAAGAGTGTTTCAAAACTGCTCTGTCAAAAGGATGGTTCAACACTGTTACATGAGTACACACAACACAAAGAAGTTTCTGAGAATGTTTCTTTCTGGTTTCTATGAGAAGATATTTCCTTTTTCACCATAGGACTCAAAGCGCTCGAAATGTCCTCTTCCAGGTAGTGCAGAAAGAGTGTTTCAAACCTGCTCTATGAAAGGAAGTGTACAACTCCATGAGCTGAATGCAAACATCACTGAGAAGTTTCTGAGAATGCTTCTGTTTGATTTTATATGAAGAAATTCCCGTTTCCAACGAAATCTTCAGAGCTATCCACATATCCACCTGCAGATTCTACAAAAGGAGTGTTTCCAAAATGCTGTATCAAAACCAAGGTTCAACTCTGTTAGTTGAGGACACACATCACAAATAAGTTTCTGAGAATGCTTCTGTCTAGATTTTATATGAAGATATCCCCTTTCCAACGAATCCCTCTAAGCTATCCAAATATCCACCTGCAGATTCTACAAAAAGAGTGTTTCCAAAATGCTGTATCAAAACAAAGTTTCAACTCTGTTAGTTGAGGACACACATCACAAATAAGTTTGCTGAGGATGCTTCTGTCTAGTTTTTATTCGAAGATATTTCCTTTCTCACCATAGGCCTGAAAGCGCTTGAAATGTCCACTTCCAGATACTACAGAATGAGTGTTTCAAACCTGCTCTATCAAAGTGAATGTTCAATTCTGTGACTTCAATGCAAACATCAGAAAGAAGTTTCTGAGAATGCTTCTCTCTAGATTTTATACGTAATCCCGCTTCCAACGAAATCCTCAGAGCCATCCGAATATCCACTTTCTGATTCCACAAAAAGAGTGTTTTAAAACGGCTCTGTAAAAACAAAAGTTCAACTCTGTTAGTTGAATACACACATCACAAACAAGTTTCTGAGAATGCTTCTGTCTAGTTTTTATGGGAAGATATTTCCTTTTTCACCATAGGCCTCAAAGCGCTCGAAATGTCCACTTCCAGATAGTGCAGAAAGAGTGTTTCAAACGTGCTCTATAAAAGGGAATATTCAACTCTGTGACTTGAATGGAAACATCACAAAGCAGTTTCTGAGAATGCTTCCCTCTATATTTTATATGGAGATATTCCCTTTTCCAACGAAATCTTCAAATCTATCTAAATATCAACTTGCAGATTCTACTCAAGGAATGTTTCCAAAATGCTGTATCCAGGCAATGGTTCAACTCTGTTAATTGAGGACATACAGCACAAAGAAGTTTCTGAGAATGCTTCTGTCTAGATTTTATATGAAGATATCCCGTTTCCAACGAAATCCTCAAAGCTATCCAAATATCCACTTGCAGATTCTACAAAAAGATTGTTTCAAAACTGCTGTGTCAAAAGGAAGGTTCAACTCTGTTACTTGAGTACACACATCAAAAAGAAGTTTCTGAGAATGCTTGTTTCTGGTTTTTATGAGAAGATATTTCCTTTTTCACCATAGGCCTCAAAGCGCTGCAAATGTCCACTTCCAAATATTACAAAAAGAGTGTTTCAAACCTGCTCTATGAAAGGAAGTTTTCAACTCTATGAGTGGAATGCAAACATCACAGAGAAGTTTCTGAGAATGCATCTGTCTTGAGTTTCTATGCAGAAATTCCCGTTTCCAACGAAATCTTAAAATCTATCCAAATATCCACCTGCAGATCCTACAAAAGGAGTGTTTCCAAAATGCTGTATCAAAACAAAGGTTCAACTGTGTTCGTTTAGGACACACATCACAAATAAGTTTCTGAGAACCCTTCTGTCTAGTTTTTATTTGAAGATATTTCCTTTCTCCCCGTAGGCCTGAAAGCGCTTGAAATGTCCACTTCCAGATACTACAGAAAGAATGTTTCAAACCTGCACTCTGAAAAGGAATGTTCAATTCTGTGACTTGAATGCAAACATCAGAAAGAAGTTCCTGAGAATGCTTCTCTCTAGATTTTATACGTCATCCCGTTTCCAACGAAATCCACAAAGCTATCCAATTATCCACTTTCAGATTCCACAAAGAGTGTTTTAAAATTGCTCTGTAACAGAAATGTTCAACTCTGTTAGTTGAATACACACATCACAAACAAGTTTCTGAGACGGCTTCTGTCTAGTTTTTATGGGAAGATATTTCCTTTTAACCATAGGCCTCAAAGAGCTCGAAATATCCACTTCCAGGTAGTGCCGAAAGAGTGTTTCAAACCTACTCTATAAAAGGGAATATTCAACTCTGTGACTTGAATGCAAACATCACAAAGCAGTTTCTGAGAATGCTTCCGTCTAGATTTTCTATGAAGATATTCCCGTTTCCAACGAAATCTTCAAAGCTATCTAAATATCAACTTGCAGATTCTACTAAAGGAATGTCTCCAAAATGCTGTATCCAAACAAAGGTTCAGCTCTGTGAATTGAGGACATACAGCACAAAGAAGTTTCTGAGAATGCTCCTGTCTGGATTTTATAGGAAGATAACCCGTTTCCAACGAAATCCTCAAAGCTCTCCAAATATCCACTTGCAGATTCTACCAAAAGAGTGTTTCAAAACTACTCTGTCAAAAGGAAGGTTCAACACTGTTACTTGAGTACACACAACACAAAGAAGTTTCTGAGAATGCTTCTTTCTGGTTTTTATGAGAAGATATTTCCTTTTTCACCATAGGCCTCAAAGCGCTCGAAATGTCCGCTTCCAGGTAGTGCAGAAAGAGTGTTTCAAACCTGCTCTATGAAAGGAAGTGTTCAACTCTACTGAGTTGAATGCAAACATCACAGAGATGTTTCCGAGAATGCTTCTGTCTTGATTTTATATGAAGATATTCCGGTTTCCAACGAAATCTTCAAAGCTATCCAAATATCCACCTGCAGATTCTACAAAAGGAGTGTTTCCAAAATGCTGTATCAAAACAAAGGTTCAACTCTGTTAGTTGAGGACACACATCACAAATAAGTTTCTGAGAATGCTTCTGTCTAGTTTTTATTTGAAGGTATTTCCTTTCTCTCCATAGGCCTGAAAGCGCTTGAAATGCCCACTTCCAGATACTAGAGAAAGAGTGTTTCAAACCTGCTCTATGAAAGGGAATGTTCAATTCTGTGACTTGAATGCAAACATCACAAAGAAGTTCCTGAGAATGCTTCTCTCTAGATATTATATGTCATCCCGTTTCCAACGAAATCCTCAAAGCTATCCAAATATCCACTTGCAGATTCTACAAAAAGAGTGTTTCAAAACTGCTCTGTCAAAAGGATGGTTCAACACTGTTACATGAGTACACACAACACAAAGAAGTTTCTGAGAATGCTTCTTTCTGGTTTCTATGAGAAGATATTTCCTTTTTCACCATAGGACTCAAAGCGCTCGAAATGTCCTCTTCCAAGTAGTGCAGAAAGAGTGTTTCAAACCTGCTCTATGAAAGGAAGTGTACAACTCCATGAGCTGAATGCAAACATCACTGAGAAGTTTCTGAGAATGCTTCTGTTTGATTTTATATGAAGAAATTCCCGTTTCCAACGAAATCTTCAGAGCTATCCACATATCCACCTGCAGATTCTACAAAAGGAGTGTTTCCAAAATGCTGTATCAAAACCAAGGTTCAACTCTGTTAGTTGAGGACACACATCACAAATAAGTTTCTGAGAATGCTTCTGTCTAGATTTTATATGAAGATATCCCCTTTCCAACGAATCCCTCTAAGCTATCCAAATATCCACCTGCAGATTCTACAAAAAGAGTGTTTCCAAAATGCTGTATCAAAACAAAGTTTCAACTCTGTTAGTTGAGGACACACATCACAAATAAGTTCCTGAGGATGCTTCTGTCTAGTTTTTATTCGAAGATATTTCCTTTCTCACCATAGGCCTGAAAGCGCTTGAAATGTCCACTTCCAGATACTACAGAATGAGTGTTTCAAACCTGCTCTATAAAAGTGAATGTTCAATTCTGTGACTTCAATGCAAACATCAGAAAGAAGTTCCTGAGAATGCTTCTCTCTAGATTTTATACGTAATCCCGCTTCCAACGAAATCCTCAGAGCCATCCGAATATCCACTTTCTGATTCCACAAAAAGAGTGTTTTAAAACGGCTCTGTAAAAACAAAAGTTCAACTCTGTTAGTTGAATACACACATCACAAACAAGTTTCTGAGAATGCTTCTGTCTAGTTTTTATGGGAAGATATTTCCTTTTTCACCATAGGCCTCAAAGCGCTCGAAATGTCCGCTTCCAGATAGTGCAGAAAGAGTGTTTCAAACGTGCTCTATAAAAGAGAATATTCAACTCTGTGACTTGAATGGAAACATCACAAAGCAGTTTCTGAGAATGCTTCCCTCTAGATTTTATATGGAGATATTCCCTTTTCCAACGAAATCTTCAAATCTATCTAAATATCAACTTGCAGATTCTACTCAAGGAATGTTTCCAAAATGCTGTATCCAGGCAATGGTTCAACTCTGTTAATTGAGGACATACAGCACAAAGAAGTTTCTGAGAATGCTTCTGTCTAGATTTTATATGAAGATATCCCGTTTCCAACGAAATCCTCAAAGCTATCCAAATATCCACTTGCAGATTCTACAAAAAGATTGTTTCAAAACTGCTGTGTCAAGAGGAAGGTTCAACTCTGTTACTTGAGTACACACATCAAAAAGAAGTTTCTGAGAATGCTTGTTTCTGGTTTTTATGAGAAGATATTTCCTTTTTCACCATAGGCCTCAAAGCGCTGCAAATGTCCACTTCCAAATATTACAAAAAGAGTGTTTCAAACCTGCTCTATGAAAGGAAGTTTTCAACTCTATGAGTGGAATGCAAACATCACAGAGAAGTTTCTGAGAATGCATCTGTCTTGAGCTTCTATGAAGAAATTCCCGTTTCCAACGAAATCTTAAAATCTATCCAAATATCCACCTGCAGATCCTACAAAAGGAGTGTTTCCAAAATGCTGTATCAAAACAAAGGTTCAACTGTGTTCGTTTAGGACACACATCACAAATAAGTTTACTGAGAATCCTTCTGTCTGGTTTTTATTTGAAGAGATTTCCTTTCTCCCCGTAGGCCTGAAAGCGCTTGAAATGTCCACTTCCAGATACTACAGAAAGAGTGTTTCAAACCTGCACTCTGAAAAGGAATGTTCAATTCTGTGACTTGAATGCAAACATCAGAAAGAAGTTCCTGAGAATGCTTCTCTCTAGATTTTATACGTCATCCCGTTTCCAACGAAATCCACAAAGCTATCCAATTATCCACTTTCAGATTCCACAAAAAGAGTGTTTTAAAATTGCTCTGTAACAGAAATGTTCAACTCTGTTAGTTGAATACACACATCACAAACAAGTTTGCTGAGACGGCTTCTGTCTAGTTTTTATGGGAAGATATTTCCTTTTAACCATAGGCCTCAAAGAGCTCGAAATATCCACTTCCAGGTAGTGCCGAAAGAGTGTTTCAAACCTACTCTATAAAAGGGAATATTCAACTCTGTGACTTGAATGCAAACATCACAAAGCAGTTTCTGAGAATGCTTCCGTCTAGATTTTCTATGAAGATATTCCCGTTTCCAACGAAATCTTCAAAGCTATCTAAATATTAACTTGCAGATTCTACTAAAGGAATGTCTCCAAAATGCTGTATCCAAACAAAGGTTCAGCTCTGTGAATTGAGGACATACAGCACAAAGAAGTTTCTGAGAATGCTCCTGTCTGGATTTTATATGAAGATAACCCGTTTCCAACGAAATCCTCAAAGCTATCCAAATATCCACTTGCAGATTCTACCAAAAGAGTGTTTCAAAACTGCTCTGTCAAAAGGAAGGTTCAACACTGTTACTTGAGTACACACAACACAAAGAAGTTTCTGAGAATGCTTCTTTCTGGTTTTTATGAGAAGATATTTCCTTTTTCACCATAGGCCTCAAAGCGCTCGAAATGTCCACTTCCAGGTAGTGCAGAAAGAGTGTTTCAAACCTGCTCTATGAAAGGAAGTGTTCAACTCTACTGAGTTGAATGCAAACATCACAGAGATGTTTCCGAGAATGCTTCTGTCTTGATTTTATATGAAGATATTCCGGTTTCCAACGAAATCTTCAAAGCTATCCAAATATCCACCTGCAGATTCTACAAAAGGAGTGTTTCCAAAATGCTGTATCAAAACAAAGGTTCAACTCTGTTAGTTGAGGACACACATCACAAATAAGTTTCTGAGAATGCTTCTGTCTAGTTTTTATTTGAAGGTATTTCCTTTCTCTCCATAGGCCTGAAAGCGCTTGAAAAGCCCACTTCCAGATACTAGAGAAAGAGTGTTTCAAACCTGCTCTATGAAAGGGAATGTTCAATTCTGTGACTTGAATGCAAACATCACAAAGAAGTTCCTGAGAATGCTTCTCTCTAGATATTATATGTCATCCCGTTTCCAACGAAATCCTCAAAGCTATCCAAATATCCACTTGCAGATTCTACAAAAAGAGTGTTTCAAAACTGCTCTGTCAAAAGGATGGTTCAACACTGTTACATGAGTACACACAACACAAAGAAGTTTCTGAGAATGCTTCTTTCTGGTTTCTATGAGAAGATATTTCCTTTTTCACCATAGGACTCAAAGCGCTCGAAATGTCCTCTTCCAGGTAGTGCAGAAAGAGTGTTTCAAACCTGCTCTATGAAAGGAAGTGTACAACTCCATGAGCTGAATGCAAACATCACTGAGAAGTTTCTGAGAATGCTTCTGTTTGATTTTATATGAAGAAATTCCCGTTTCCAACGAAATCTTCAGAGCTATCCACATATCCACCTGCAGATTCTACAAAAGGAGTGTTTCCAAAATGCTGTATCAAAACCAAGGTTCAACTCTGTTAGTTGAGGACACACATCACAAATAAGTTTCTGAGAATGCTTCTGTCTAGATTTTATATGAAGATATCCCCTTTCCAACGAATCCCTCTAAGCTATCCAAATATCCACCTGCAGATTCTACAAAAAGAGTGTTTCCAAAATGCTGTATCAAAACAAAGTTTCAACTCTGTTAGTTGAGGACACACATCACAAATAAGTTTCTGAGAATGCTTCTGTCTAGTTTTTATTCGAAGATATTTCCTTTCTCACCATAGGCCTGAAAGCGCTTGAAATGTCCACTTCCAGATACTACAGAATGAGTGTTTCAAACCTGCTCTATAAAAGTGAATGTTCAATTCCGTGACTTCAATGCAAACATCACAAAGAAGTTCCTGAGAATGCTTCTCTCTAGATTTTATATGTAATCACGCTTCCAACGAAATCCTCAAAGCCATCCGAATATCCACTTTCTGATTCCACAAAAAGACTGTTTTAAAACTGCTCTGTAAAAACAAAAGTTCAAGTCTGTTAGTTGAATACACACATCACAAACAAGTTTCTGAGAATGCTTCTGTCTAGTTTATATGGGAAGATATTTCCTTTTTCACCATAGGCCTCAAAGCGCTCGAAATGTCCACTTCCAGATAGTGCAGAAAGAGTGTTTCAAACGTGCTCTAGAAAAGAGAATATTCAACTCTGTGACTTGAATGGAAACATCACAAAGCCGTTTCTGAGAATGCCTCCGTCTAGATTTTTTATGAAGATATTCCCGTTTCCAACGAAATCTTCAAAGCTATCTAAATATCAACTTGCAGATTCTACTAAAGGAATGTTTCCAAAATGCTGTATCCAAGCAATGGTTCAACTCTGTTAATTGAGGACATACAGCACAAAGAAGTTTCTGAGAATGCTTCTGTCTAGATTTTATATGAAGATATCCCATTTCCAACGAAATCCTCAAAGCTATCCAAATATCCACTTGCAGATTCTACAAAAAGATTGTTTCAAAACTGCTCTGTCAAAAGGATGGTTCAACACTGTTACATGAGTACACACAACACAAAGAAGTTTCTGAGAACGCTTCTTTCTGGTTTTTATGAGAAGATATTTCCTTTTTCACCATAAGCCTCAAAGCGCTCGAAATGTCCACTTCCTGGTAGTGCAGAAAGAGTTTATCAAACCTGCTCTATGAAAGGAAGTGTTCAACTCCATGAGCTGAATGCAAACATCACAGAGAAGTTTCTGAGAATGCTTCTGTTTGATTTTATATGAAGAAATTCCCGTTTCCAACGAAATCTTCAAAGCTATCCACATATCCACCTGCAGATTCTACAAAAGGAGTGTTTCCAAAATGCTGTATCAAAACCAAGGTTCCACTCTGTTAGTTGAGGACACACATCACAAATAAGTTTCTGAGAATGCTTCTGTCTAGATTTTATATGAAGATATCCCCTTTCCAACGAATCCCTCTAAGCTATCCAAATATCCACCTGCAGATTCTACAAAAGGAGTGTTTCCAAAATGCTGTATCAAAACCAAGGTTCCACTCTGTTAGTTGAGGACAGACATCACAAATAAGTTTCTGAGGATGCTTCTGTCTAGTTTTTATTTGAAGATATTTCCTTTCTCCCCATAGGCCTGAAAGCGCTAGAATTGTCCGCTTCCAGATACTACAGAATGAGTGTTTCAAACCTGCTCTATCAAAGTGAATGTTCAATTCTGTGACATCAATGCAAACATCACAAAGTAGTTCCTGAGAATGCTTCTCTCTAGATTTTATATGTAATCCCGCTTCCAACGAAATCCTCAAAGCCATCCGAATATCCACTTTCTGATTCCACAAAAAGATTGTCTTAAAACTGCTCTGTAAAAACAAAAGTTCAAGTCTGTTAGTTGAATACACACATCATAAACAAGTTTCTGAGAATGCTTCTGTCTAGTTTTTATGGGAAGATATTTCCTTTTTCACCATAGGCCTCACAGCGCTTGAAATGTCCACTTCCAGATAGTGCAGAAAGAGTGTTTCAAACGTGCTCTATAAAAGAGAATATTCAACTCTGTGACTTGAATGGAAACATCACAAAGCAGTTTCTGAGAATGCCTCCGTCTAGATTTTATATGAAGATATTCCCGTTTCCAACGAAATCTTCAAATCTATCTAAATATCAACTTGCAGATTCTACTAAAGGAATGTTTCCAAAATGCTGTATCCAAGCAATGGTTCAACTCTGTTAATTGAGGACATACAGCACAAAATAGTTTCTGAGAATGCTTCTGTCTAGATTTTATATGAAGATATCCCGTTTCCAACGAAATCCTCAAAGCTATCCAAATATCCACTTGCAGATTCTACAAAAAGATTGTTTCAAAACTGCTGTGTCAAAAGGAAGGTTCAACTCTGTTACTTGAGTACACACATCAAAAAGAAGTTTCTGAGAATGCTTGTTTCTGGTTTTTATGAGAAGATATTTCCTTTTTCACCATAGGCCTCAAAGCGCTGCAAATGTCCACTTCCAAATATTACAAAAAGAGTGTTTCAAACCTGCTCTATGAAAGGAAGTTTTCAACTCTGTGAGTGGAATGCAAACATCACAGAGAAGTTTCTGAGAATGCATCTGTCTTGAGTTTATATGAAGAAATTCCCGTTTCCAATGAAATCTTAAAATCTATCCAAATATCCACCTGCAGATTCTACAAAAGGAGTGTTTCCAAAATGCTGTATCAAAACAAAGGTTCAACTGTGTTCGTTTAGGACACACATCACAAATAAGTTTCTGAGAATCCTTCTGTCTAGTTTTTATTTCAAGATATTTCCTTTCTCCCCATAGGCTTGAAAGCGCTTGAAATGTCCACTTCCAGATACTACAGAGTGTTTCAAACCTGCACTATGAAAAGGAATGTTCAATTCTGTGACTTGAATGCAAACATCAGAAAGAAGTTCCTGAGAATGCTTCTCTCTAGATTTTAAACGTCATCCCGTTTCCAACGAAATCCACAAAGCTATCCAATTATCCACTTTCAGATTCCACCAAAAGACTGTTTTAAAACTGCTCTGTAAAAAGAAATGTTCAACGCTCTTAGTTGAATACACACATCTCAAACAAGTTTCTGAGAAGGCTTCCGTCTAGTTTTTATGGGAAGATATTTCCTTTTTCACCATAGGCCTCAAAGCGCTCGAAATCTCCACTTCCAGGGAGTGCAGAAAGAGTGTTTCAAACCTGCTCTGTAAAAGAATATTTAACTCTGTGACTTGAATGCAAACATCACAGAGCAGTTTCTGACAATGCTTCCGTCTAGATTTTTTATGAAGATATTCCCGTTTCCAACGAAATCTTCAAAGCTATCTAAATATCAACTTGCAGATTCTACTAAAGGAATGTTTCCAAAATGCTGTATCCAAACAAAGGTTCAACTCTGTGAATTGAGGACATACAGCACAAAGAAGTTTCTGAGAATGCTTCTGTCTAGATTTAATATGAAGATAACCCGTTTCCAACGAAATCCTCAAAGCTATCCAAATATCCACTTGCAGATTCTACAAAAAGAGTGTTTCAAAACTGCTCTGTCAAAAGGATGGTTCAACACTGTTACATGAGTACACACAACACAAAGAAGTTTCTGAGAACGCTTGTTTCTGGTTTTTATGAGAGGATATTTCCTTTTTCACCATAGGCCTCAAAGCGCTCGAAATGTCCACTTCCAGGTAGTGCAGAAAGAGTGTTTCAAACCTGCTCTATGAAAGGAAGTGTTCAACTCCATGAGCTGAATGCAAACATCACAGAGAAGTTCCTGAGAATGCTTCTGTTTGATTTTATATGAAGAAATTCCCGTTTCCAACGAAATCTTCAAAGCTATCCACATATCCACCTGCAGATTCTTCAAAAGGAGTGTTTCCAAAATGCTGTATCAAAACCAAGGTTCAACTCTGTTAGTTGAGGACACACATCACAAATAAGTTTCTGAGAATGCTTCTGTCTAGATTTTATATGAATTTATCCCCTTTCCAACGAATCCCTCTAAGCTATCCAAGTATCCACCTGCAGATTCTACAAAAAGAGTGTTTCCAAAATGCTGTATCAAAACAAAGTTTCAACTCTGTTAGTTGAGGACACACATCACAAATAAGTTTCTGAGGATGCTTCTGTCTAGTTTTAATTTGAAGATATTTCCTTTCTCCCCATAGGCCTGAAAGCGCTTGAAATGTCCACTTCCAGATACTACAGCATGAGTGTTTCAAACCTGCTCTATCAAAGTGAATGTTCAATTCTGTGACTTCAATGCAAACATCACAAAGTAGTTCCTGAGAATGCTTCTCTCTAGATTTTATATGTAATCCCGCTTCCAACGAAATCCTCAAACCCATCCGAATATCCACTTTCTGATTCCACAAAAAGATTGTTTTAAAACTGCTCTGTAAAAACAAAAGTTCAAGTCTGTTAGTTGAATACACACATCACAAACAAGTGTACTGAGAATGCTTTCTGTCTAGTTTTTATGGGAAGATATTTCCTTTTTCACCATAGGCCTCAAAGCGCTCGAAATGTCCACTTCCAGATAGTGCAGAAAGAGTGTTTCAAACGTGCTCTATAAAAGAGAATATTCAACTCTGTGACTTGAATGGAAACATCACAAAGCAGTTTCTGAGAATGCCTCCGTCTAGATTTTATATGAAGATATTCCCGTTTCCAACGAAATCTTCAAAGCTATCTAAATATCAACTTGCAGATTCTACTAAAGGAATGTTTCCAAAATGCTGTATCCAAGCAATGGTTCAACTCTGTTAATTGAGGACATACAGCACAAAGAAGTTTCTGAGAATGCTCCTGTCTGGATTTTATATGAAGATAACCCGTTTCCAACGAAATCCTCAAAGCTATCCAAATATCCACTTGCAGATTCTACCAAAAGAGTGTTTCAAACCTGCTCTGTCAAAAGGAAGGTTCAACACTGTTACTTGAGTACACACAACACAAAGAAGTTTTTGAGAATGCTTCTTTCTGGTTTTTATGAGAAGATATTTCCTTTTTCACCATAGGCCTCAAAGCGCTCGAAATGTCCGCTTCCAGGTAGTGCAGAAAGAGTGTTTCAAACCTGCTCTATGAAAGGAAGTGTTCAACTCCATGAGCTGAATGCAAACATCACAGAGAAGTTTCTGAGAATGCTTCTGTTTGATTTTATATGAAGAAATTCCCGTTTCCAACGAAATCTTCAAAGCTATCCACATATCCACCTGCAGATTCTACAAAAGGAGTGTTTCCAAAATGCTGTATCAAAACCAAGGTTCAACTCTGTTAGTTGAGGACACACATCACAAATAAGTTTCTGAGAATGCTTCTGTCTAGATTTTATATGAAGATATCCCCTTTCCAACGAATCCCTCTAAGCTATCCAAATATCCACCTGCAGATTCTACAAAAAGAGTGTTTCCAAAATGCTGTATCAAAACAAAGTTTCAACCCTGTTAGTTGAGGACACACATCACAAATAAGTTTCTGAGGATGCTTCTGTCTAGTTTCTATTTGAAGATATTTCCTTTCTCCCCATAGGCCTGAAAGCGCTTGAATTGTCGGCTTCCAGATACTACAGAATGAGTGTTTCAAACCTGCTCTATCAAAGTGAATGTTCAATTCTGTGACTTCAATGCAAACATCACAAAGTAGTTCCTGAGAATGCTTCTCTCTAGATTTTATATGTAAACCCGCTTCCAACGAAATCCTCAAAGCCATCCGAATATCCACGTTCTGATTCCACAAAAAGATTGTCTTAAAACTGCTCTGTAAAAACAAAAGTTCAAGTCTGTTAGTTGAATACACACATCACAAACAAGTTTCTGAGAATGCTTCTGTCTAGTTTTTATGGGAAGATATTTCCTTTTTCACCATAGGCCTCAAAGCGCTCGAAATGTCCACTTCCAGATAGTGCAGAAAGAGTGTTTCAAACGTGCTCTATTAAAGAGAATATTCAACTCTGTGACTTGAATGGAAACATCACAAAGCAGTTTCTGAGAATGCCTCCGTCTAGATTTTATATGAAGATATTCCCGTTTCCAACGAAATCTTCAAATCTATCTAAATATCAACTTGCAGATTCTACTAAAGGAATGTTTCCAAAATGCTGTATCCAAGCAATGGTTCAACTCTGTTAATTGAGGACATACAGCACAAAGAAGTTTCTGAGAATGCTTCTGTCTAGATTTTATATGAAGATATCCCGTTTCCAACGAAATCCTCAAAGCTATCCAAATATCCACTTGCAGATTCTACAAAAAGATTGTTTCAAAACTGCTGTGTCAAAAGGAAGGTTCAACTCTGTTACTTGAGTACACACATCAAAAAGAAGTTTCTGAGAATGCTTGTTTCTGGTTTTTATGAGAAGATATTTCCTTTTTCACCATAGGCCTCAAAGCGCTGCAAATGTCCACTTCCACATATTACAAAAAGAGTGTTTCAAACCTGCTCTATGAAAGGAAGTTTTCAACTCTATGAGTGGAATGCAAACATCACAGAGAAGTTTCTGAGAATGCATCTGTCTTGAGTTTATATGCAGAAATTCCCGTTTCCAACGAAATCTTAAAATCTATCCAAATATCCACCTGCAGATCCTACAAAAGGAGTGTTTCCAAAATGCTGTATCAAAACAAAGGTTCAACTGTGTTCGTTTAGGACACACATCACAAATAAGTTTCTGAGAATCCTTCTGTCTAGTTTTTATTTGAAGATATTTCCTTTCTCCCCGTAGGCCTGAAAGCGCTTGAAATGTCCACTTCCAGATACTACAGAAAGAGTGTTTCAAACCTGCACTCTGAAAAGGAATGTTCAATTCTGTGACTTGAATGCAAACATCAGAAAGAAGTTCCTGAGAATGCTTCTCTCTAGATTTTATACGTCATCCCGTTTCCAACGAAATCCACAAAGCTATCCAATTATCCACTTTCAGATTCCACAGAAAGAGTGTTTTAAAATTGCTCTGTAACAGAAATGTTCAACTCTGGTAGTTGAATACACACATCACAAACAAGTTTCTGAGACGGCTTCTGTCTAGTTTTTATGGGAAGATATTTCCTTTTAACCATAGGCCTCAAAGAGCTCGAAATATCCACTTCCAGGTAGTGCCGAAAGAGTGTTTCAAACCTACTCTATAAAAGGGAATATTCAACTCTGTGACTTGAATGCAAACATCACAAAGCAGTTTCTGAGAATGCTTCCGTCTAGATTTTCTATGAAGATATTCCCGTTTCCAACGAAATCTTCAAAGCTATCTAAATATCAACTTGCAGATTCTACTAAAGGAATGTCTCCAAAATGCTGTATCCAAACAAAGGTTCAGCTCTGTGAATTGAGGACATACAGCACAAAGAAGTTTCTGAGAATGCTCCTGTCTGGATTTTATATGAAGATAACCCGTTTCCAACGAATTCCTCAAAGCTATCCAAATATCCACTTGCAGATTCTACCAAAAGAGTGTTTCAAAACTGCTCTGTCAAAAGGAAGGTTCAACACTGTTACTTGAGTACACACAACACAAAGAAGTTTCTGAGAATGCTTCTTTCTGGTTTTTATGAGAAGATATTTCCTTTTTCACCATAGGCCTCAAAGCGCTCGAAATGTCCGCTTCCAGGTAGTGCAGAAAGAGTGTTTCAAACCTGCTCTATGAAAGGAAGTGTTCAACTCTACTGAGTTGAATGCAAACATCACAGAGATGTTTCCGAGAATGCTTCTGTCTTGATTTTATATGAAGATATTCCGGTTTCCAACGAAATCTTCAAAGCTATCCAAATATCCACCTGCAGATTCTACAAAAGGAGTGTTTCCAAAATGCTGTATCAAAACAAAGGTTCAACTCTGTTAGTTGAGGACACACATCACAAATAAGTTTCTGAGAATGCTTCTGTCTAGTTTTTATTTGAAGGTATTTCCTTTCTCTCCATAGGCCTGAAAGCGCTTGAAATGCCCACTTCCAGATACTAGAGAAAGAGTGTTTCAAACCTGCTCTATGAAAGGGAATGTTCAATTCTGTGACTTGAATGCAAACATCACAAAGAAGTTCCTGAGAATGCTTCTCTCTAGATATTATATGTCATCCCGTTTCCAACGAAATCCTCAAAGCTATCCAAATATCCACTTGCAGATTCTACAAAAAGAGTGTTTCAAAACTGCTCTGTCAAAAGGATGGTTCAACACTGTTACATGAGTACACACAACACAAAGAAGTTTCTGAGAATGCTTCTTTCTGGTTTCTATGAGAAGATATATCCTTTTTCACCATAGGACTCAAAGCGCTCGAATTGTCCTCTTCCAGGTAGTGCAGAAAGAGTGTTTCAAACCTGCTCTATGAAAGGAAGTGTACAACTCCATGAGCTGAATGCAAACATCACTGAGAAGTTTCTGAGAATGCTTCTGTTTGATTTTATATGAAGAAATTCCCGTTTCCAACGAAATCTTCAGAGCTATCCACATATCCACCTGCAGATTCTACAAAAGGAGTGTTTCCAAAATGCTGTATCAAAACCAAGGTTCAACTCTGTTAGTTGAGGACACACATCACAAATAAGTTTCTGAGAATGCTTCTGTCTAGATTTTATATGAAGATATCCCCTTTCCAACGAATCCCTCTAAGCTATTCAAATATCCACCTGCAGATTCTACAAAAAGAGTGTTTCCAAAATGCTGTATCAAAACAAAGTTTCAAGTCTGTTAGTTGAGGACACACATCACAAATAAGTTTGAGGATGCTTCTGTCTAGTTTTTATGCGAAGATATTTCCTTTCTCACCATAGGCCTGAAAGCGCTTGAAATGTCCACTTCCAGATACTACAGAATGAGTGTTTCAAACCTGCTCTATCAAAGTGAATGTTCAATTCTGTGACTTCAATGCAAACATCAGAAAGAAGTTTCTGAGAATGCTTCTCTCTAGATTTTATACGTAATCCCGCTTCCAACGAAATCCTCAGAGCCATCCGAATATCCACTTTCTGATTCCACAAAAAGAGTGTTTTAAAACGGCTCTGTAAAAACAAAAGTTCAACTCTGTTAGTTGAATACACACATCACAAACAAGTTTCTGAGAATGCTTCTGTCTAGTTTTTATGGGAAGATATTTCCTTTTTCACCATAGGCCTCAAAGTGCTCGAAATGTCCGCTTCCAGATAGTGCAGAAAGAGTGTTTCAAACGTGCTCTATAAAAGGGAATATTCAACTCTGTGACTTGAATGGAAACATCACAAAGCAGTTTCTGAGAATGCTTCCCTCTAGATTTTATATGGAGATATTCCCTTTTCCAACGAAATCTTCAAATCTATCTAAATATCAACTTGCAGATTCTACTCAAGGAATGTTTCCAAAATGCTGTATCCAGGCAATGGTTCAACTCTGTTAATTGAGGACATACAGCACAAAGAAGTTTCTGAGAATGCTTCTGTCTAGATTTTATATGAAGATATCCCGTTTCCAACGAAATCCTCAAAGCTATCCAAATATCCACTTGCAGATTCTACAAAAAGATTGTTTCAAAACTGCTGTGTCAAAAGGAAGGTTCAACTCTGTTACTTGAGTACACACATCAAAAAGAAGTTTCTGAGAATGCTTGTTTCTGGTTTTTATGAGAAGATATTTCCTTTTTCACCATAGGCCTCAAAGCGCTGCAAATGTCCACTTCCAAATATTACAAAAAGAGTGTTTCAAACCTGCTCTATGAAAGGAAGTTTTCAACTCTATGAGTGGAATGCAAACATCACAGAGAAGTTTCTGAGAATGCATCTGTCTTGAGTTTATATGCAGAAATTCCCGTTTCCAACGAAATCTTAAAATCTATCCAAATATCCACCTGCAGATCCTACAAAAGGAGTGTTTCCAAAATGCTGTATCAAAACAAAGGTTCAACTGTGTTCGTTTAGGACACACATCACAAATAAGTTTCTGAGAATCCTTCTGTCTAGTTTTTATTTGAAGATATTTCCTTTCTCCCCGTAGGCCTGAAAGCGCTTGAAATGTCCACTTCCAGATACTACAGAAAGAGTGTTTCAAACCTGCACTATGAAAAGGAATGTTCAATTCTGTGACTTGAATGCAAACATCAGAAAGAAGTTCCTGAGAATGCTTCTCTCTAGATTTTATACGTCATCCCGTTTCCAACGAAATCCACAAAGCTATCCAATTATCCACTTTCAGATTCCACAAAAAGAGTGTTTTAAAATTGCTCTGTAACAGAAATGTTCAACTCTGGTAGTTGAATACACACATCACAAACAAGTTTCTGAGACGGCTTCTGTCTAGTTTTTATGGGAAGATATTTCCTTTTAACCATAGGCCTCAAAGAGCTCGAAATATCCACTTCCAGGTAGTGCCGAAAGAGTGTTTCAAACCTACTCTATAAAAGGGAATATTCAACTCTGTGACTTGAATGCAAACATCACAAAGCAGTTTCTGAGAATGCTTCCGTCTAGATTTTCTATGAAGATATTCCCGTTTCCAATGAAATCTTCAAAGCTATCTAAATATCAACTTGCAGATTCTACTAAAGGAATGTCTCCAAAATGCTGTATCCAAACAAAGGTTCAGCTCTGTGAATTGAGGACATACAGCACAAAGAAGTTTCTGAGAATGCTCCTGTCTGGATTTTATATGAAGATAACCCGTTTCCAACGAAATCCTCAAAGCTATCCAAATATCCACTTGCAGATTCTACCAAAAGAGTGTTTCAAAACTGCTCTGTCAAAAGGAAGGTTCAACACTGTTACTTGAGTACACACAACACAAAGAAGTTTCTGAGAATGCTTCTTTCTGGTTTTTATGAGAAGATATTTCCTTTTTCACCATAGGCCTCAAAGAGCTCGAAATGTCCGCTTCCAGGTAGGGCAGAAAGAGTGTTTCAAACCTGCTCTATGAAAGGAAGTGTTCAACTCTACTGAGTTGAATGCAAACATCACAGAGATGTTTCCGAGAATGCTTCTGTCTTGATTTTATATGAAGATATTCCGGTTTCCAACGAAATCTTCAAAGCTATCCAAATATCCACCTGCAGATTCTACAAAAGGAGTGTTTCCAAAATGCTGTATCAAAACAAAGGTTCAACTCTGTTAGTTGAGGACACACATCACAAATAAGTTTCTGAGAATGCTTCTGTCTAGTTTTTATTTGAAGGTATTTCCTTTCTCTCCATAGGCCTGAAAGCGCTTGAAATGCCCACTTCCAGATACTAGAGAAAGAGTGTTTCAAACCTGCTCTATGAAAGGGAATGTTCAATTCTGTGACTTGAATGCAAACATCACAAAGAAGTTCCTGAGAATGCTTCTCTCTAGATATTATATGTCATCCCGTTTCCAACGAAATCCTCAAAGCTATCCAAATATCCACTTGCAGATTCTACAAAAAGAGTGTTTCAAAACTCCTCTGTCAAAAGGATGGTTCAACACTGTTACATGAGTACACACAACACAAAGAAGTTTCTGAGAATGCTTCTTTCTGGTTTCTATGAGAAGATATTTCCTTTTTCACCATAGGACTCAAAGCGCTCGAAATGTCCTCTTCCAAGTAGTGCAGAAAGAGTGTTTCAAACCTGCTCTATGAAAGGAAGTGTACAACTCCATGAGCTGAATGCAAACATCACTGAGAAGTTTCTGAGAATGCTTCTGTTTGATTTTATATGAAGAAATTCCCGTTTCCAACGAAATCTTCAGAGCTATCCACATATCCACCTGCAGATTCTACAAAAGGAGTGTTTCCGAAATGCTGTATCAAAACCAAAGTTCAACTCTGTTAGTTGAGGACACACATCACAAATAAGTTTCTGAGAATGCTTCTGTCTAGATTCTATATGAAGATATCCCCTTTCCAACGAATCCCTCTAAGCTATCCAAATATCCACCTGCAGATTCTACAAAAAGAGTGTTTCCAAAATGCTGTATCAAAACAAAGTTTCAACTCTGTTAGTTGAGGACACACATCACAAATAAGTTTGAGGATGCTTCTGTCTAGTTTTTATTCGAAGATATTTCCTTTCTCACCATAGGCCTGAAAGCGCTTGAAATGTCCACTTCCAGATACTACAGAATGAGTGTTTCAAACCTGCTCTATCAAAGTGAATGTTCAATTCTGTGACTTCAATGCAAACATCACAAAGAAGTTCCTGAGAATGCTTCTCTCTAGATTTTATATGTAATCCCGCTTCCAACGAAATCCTCAGAGCCATCCGAATATCCACTTTCTGATTCCACAAAAAGAGTGTTTTAAAACGGCTCTGTAAAAACAAAAGTTCAACTCTGTTAGTTGAATACACACATCACAAACAAGTTTCTGAGAATGCTTCTGTCTAGTTTTTATGGGAAGATATTTCCTTTTTCACCATAGGCCTCAAAGCGCTCGAAATGTCCACTTCCAGATAGCGCAGAAAGAGTGTTTCAAACGTGCTCTATAAAAGGGAATATTCAACTCTGTGACTTGAATGGAAACATCACAAAGCAGTTTCTGAGAATGCTTCCCTCTAGATTTTATATGGAGATATTCCGTTTTCGAACGAAATCTTCAAATCTATCTAAATATCAACTTGCAGATTCTACTCAAGGAATGTTTCCAAAATGCTGTATGCAAGCAATGGTTCAACTCTGTTAATTGAGGTCATACAGCACAAAGAAGTTTCTGAGAATGCTTCTGTCTAGATTTTATATGAAGATATCCCGTTTCCAACGAAATCCTCAAAGCTATCCAAATATCCACTTGCAGATTCTACAAAAAGATTGTTTCAAAACTGCTGTGTCAAAAGGAAGGTTCAACTCTGTTACTTGAGTACACACATCAAAAAGAAGTTTCTGAGAATGCTTGTTTCTGGTTTTTATGAGAAGATATTTCCTTTTTCACCATAGGCCTCAAAGCGCTGCAAATGTCCACTTCCAAATATTACAAAAAGAGTGTTTCAAACCTGCTCTATGAAAGGAAGTTTTCAACTCTATGAGTGTAATGCAAACATCACAGAGAAGTTTCTGAGAATGCATCTGTCTTGAGTTTATATGCAGAAATTCCCGTTTCCAACGAAATCTTAAAATCTATCCAAATATCCACCTGCAGATCCTACAAAAGGAGTGTTTCCAAAATGCTGTATCAAAACAAAGGTTCAACTGTGTTCGTTTAGGACACACATCACAAATAAGTTTCTGAGAATCCTTCTGTCTAGTTTTTATTTGAAGATATTTCCTTTCTCCCCGTAGGCCTGAAAGCGCTTGAAATGTCCACTTCCAGATACTACAGAAAGAGTGTGTTTCAAACCTGCACTCTGAAAAGGAATGTTCAATTCTGTGACTTGAATGCAAACATCAGAAAGAAGTTCCTGAGAATGCTTCTCTCTAGATTTTATACGTCATCCCGTTTCCAACGAAATCCACAAAGCTATCCAATTATCCACTTTCAGATTCCACAAAAAGAGTGTTTTAAAATTGCTCTGTAACAGAAATGTTCAACTGCTGGTAGTTGAATACACACATCACAAACAAGTTTCTGAGACGGCTTCTGTCTAGTTTTTATGGGAAGATATTTCCTTTTAACCATAGGCCTCAAAGAGCTCGAAATATCCACTTCCAGGTAGTGCCGAAAGAGTGTTTCAAACCTACTCTATAAAAGGGAATATTCAACTCTGTGACTTGAATGCAAACATCACAAAGCAGTTTCTGAGAATGCTTCCGTCTAGATTTTCTATGAAGATATTCCCGTTTCCAACGAAATCTTCAAAGCTATCTAAATATCAACTTGCAGATTCTACTAAAGGAATGTCTCCAAAATGCTGTATCCAAACAAAGGTTCAGCTCTGTGAATTGAGGACATACAGCACAAAGAAGTTTCTGAGAATGCTCCTGTCTGGATTTTATATGAAGATAACCCGTTTCCAACGAAATCCTCAAAGCTATCCAAATATCCACTTGCAGATTCTACCAAAAGAGTGTTTCAAAACTGCTCTGTCAAAAGGAAGGTTCAACACTGTTACTTGAGTACACACAACACAAAGAAGTTTCTGAGAATGCTTCTTTCTGGTTTTTATGAGAAGATATTTCCTTTTTCACCATAGGCCTCAAAGCGCTCGAAATGTCCGCTTCCAGATAGTGCAGAAAGAGTGTTTCAAACCTGCTCTATGAAAGGAAGTGTTCAACTCTACTGAGTTGAATGCAAACATCACAGAGATGTTTCCGAGAATGATTCTGTCTTGATTTTATATGAAGATATTCCGGTTTCCAACGAAATCTTCAAAGCTATCCAAATATCCACCTGCAGATTCTACAAAAGGAGTGTTTCCAAAATGCTGTATCAAAACAAAGGTTCAACTCTGTTAGTTGAGGACACACATCACAAATAAGTTTCTGAGAATGCTTCTGTCTAGTTTTTATTTGAAGGTATTTCCTTTCTCTCCATAGGCCTGAAAGCGCTTGAAATGCCCACTTCCAGATACTAGAGAAAGAGTGTTTCAAACCTGCTCTATGAAAGGGAATGTTCAATTCTGTGACTTGAATGCAAACATCACAAAGAAGTTCCTGAGAATGCTTCTCTCTAGATATTATATGTCATCCCGTTTCCAACGAAATCCTCAAAGCTATCCAAATATCCACTTGCAGATTCTACAAAAAGAGTGTTTCAAAACTGCTCTGTCAAAAGGATGGTTCAACACTGTTACATGAGTACACACAACACAAAGAAGTTTCTGAGAATGCTTCTTTCTGGTTTCTATGAGAAGATATTTCCTTTTTCACCATAGGACTCAAAGCGCTCGAAATGTCCTCTTCCAAGTAGTGCAGAAAGAGTGTTTCAAACCTGCTCTATGAAAGGAAGTGTACAACTCCATGAGCTGAATGCAAACATCACTGAGAAGTTTCTGAGAATGCTTCTGTTTGATTTTATATGAAGAAATTCCCGTTTCCAACGAAATCTTCAGAGCTATCCACATATCCACCTGCAGATTCTACAAAAGGAGTGTTTCCAAAATGCTGTATCAAAACCAAGGTTCAACTCTGTTAGTTGAGGACACACATCACAAATATGTTTCTGAGAATGCTTCTGTCTAGATTTTATATGAAGATATCCCCTTTCCAACGAATCCCTCTAAGCTATCCAAATATCCACCTGCAGATTCTACAAAAAGAGTGTTTCCAAAATGCTGTATCAAAACAAAGTTTCAACTCTGTTAGTTGAGGACACACATCACAAATAAGTTTGAGGATGCTTCTGTCTAGTTTTTATTCGAAGATATTTCCTTTCTCACCATAGGCCTGAAAGCGCTTGAAATGTCCACTTCCAGATACTACAGAATGAGTGTTTCAAACCTGCTCTATCAAAGTGAATGTTCAATTCTGTGACTTCAATGCAAACATCACAAAGAAGTTCCTGAGAATGCTTCTCTCTAGATTTTATACGTAATCCCACTTCCAACGAAATCCTCAGAGCCATCCGAATATCCACTTTCTGATTCCACAAAAAGAGTGTTTTAAAACGGCTCTGTAAAAACAAAAGTTCAACTCTGTTAGTTGAATACACACATCACAAACAAGTTTCTGAGAATGCTTCTGTCTAGTTTTTATGGGAAGATATTTCCTTTTTCACCATAGGCCTCAAAGCGCTCGAAATGTCCACTTCCAGATAGCGCAGAAAGAGTGTTTCAAACGTGCTCTATAAAAGGGAATATTCAACTCTGTGACTTGAATGGAAACATCACAAAGCAGTTTCTGAGAATGCTTCCCTCTAGATTTTATATGGAGATATTCCGTTTTCGAACGAAATCTTCAAATCTATCTAAATATCAACTTGCAGATTCTACTCAAGGAATGTTTCCAAAATGCTGTATGCAAGCAATGGTTCAACTCTGTTAATTGAGGTCATACAGCACAAAGAAGTTTCTGAGAATGCTTCTGTCTAGATTTTATATGAAGATATCCCGTTTCCAACGAAATCCTCAAAACTATCCAAATATCCACTTGCAGATTCTACAAAAAGATTGTTTCAAAACTGCTGTGTCAAAAGGAAGGTTCAACTCTGTTACTTGAGTACACACAACAAAAAGCAGTTTCTGAGAATGCTTGTTTCTGGTTTTTATGAGAAGATATTTCCTTTTTCACCATAGGCCTCAAAGCGCTGCAAATGTCCACTTCCAAATATTACAAAAAGAGTGTTTCAAACCTGCTCTATGAAAGGAAGTTTTCAACTCTGTGAGTGGAATGCAAACATCACAGAGAAGTTTCTGAGAATGCATCTGTCTTGAGTTTATATGAAGAAATTCCCGTTTCCAATGAAATCTTAAAATCTATCCAAATATCCACCTGCAGATTCTACAAAAGAGTGCTTCCAAAATGCTATATCAAAACAAAGGTTCAACTGTGTTCGTTGAGAACACACATCACAAATAAGTTTCTGAGAATCCTTCTGTCTAGTTTTTATTTCAAGATATTTCCTTTCTCCCCATAGGCCTGAAAGCGCTTGAAATGTCCAC
The DNA here is from genome assembly GCF_000001405.40 of Homo sapiens. Lineage (NCBI taxonomy): Eukaryota > Metazoa > Chordata > Mammalia > Primates > Hominidae > Homo > Homo sapiens. The sequence continues at coordinate 50,485,960 of NC_000004.12, read as the reverse complement.
TTCCAGATACTATAGAGTGTTTCAAACCTGCACTATGAAAAGGAATGTTCAATTCTGTGACTTGAATGCAAACATCAGAAAGAAGTTCCTGAGAATGCTTCTCTCTAGATTTTAAACGTAATCCCGTTTCCAACGAAATCCACAAAGCTATCCAATTATCCACTTTCAGATTCCACCAAAAGACTGTTTTAAAACTGCTCTGTAAAAAGAAATGTTCAACGCTCTTAGTTGAATACACACATCTCAAACAAGTTTCTGAGAAGGCTTCCGTCTAGTTTTTATGGGAAGATATTTCCTTTTTCACCATAGGCCTCAAAGCGCTCGAAATCTCCACTTCCAGGGAGTGCAGAAAGAGTGTTTCAAACCTGCTCTATAAAAGAATATTTAACTCTGTGACTTGAATGCAAACATCACAGAGCAGTTTCTGACAATGCTTCCGTCTAGATTTTTTATGAAGATATTCCCGTTTCCAACGAAATCTTCAAAGCTATCTAAATATCAACTTGCAGATTCTACTAAAGGAATGTTTCCAAAATGCTGTATCCAAACAAAGGTTCAACTCTGTGAATTGAGGACATACAGCACAAAGAAGTTTCTGAGAATGCTTCTGTCTAGATTTAATATGAAGATAACCCGTTTCCAACGAAATCCTCAAAGCTATCCAAATATCCACTTGCAGATTCTACAAAAAGAGTGTTTCAAAACTGCTCTGTCAAAAGGATGGTTCAACACTGTTACATGAGTACACACAACACAAAGAAGTTTCTGAGAACGCTTTCTTTCTGGTTTTTATGAGAGGATATTACCTTTTTCACCATAGGCCTCAAAGCGCTCGAAATGTCCACTTCCAGGTAGTGCAGAAAGAGTGTTTCAAACCTGCTCTATGAAAGGAAGTGTTCAACTCCATGAGCTGAATGCAAACATCACAGAGAAGTTTCTGAGAATGCTTCTGTTTGATTTTATATGAAGAAATTCCCGTTTCCAACGAAATCTTCAAAGCTATCCACATATCCACCTGCAGATTCTTCAAAAGGAGTGTTTCCAAAATGCTGTATCAAAACCAAGGTTCAACTCTGTTAGTTGAGGACACACATCACAAATAAGTTTCTGAGAATGCTTCTGTCTAGATTTTATATGAATTTATCCCCTTTCCAACGAATCCCTCTAAGCTATCCAAGTATCCACCTGCAGATTCTACAAAAAGAGTGTTTCCAAAATGCTGTATCAAAACAAAGTTTCAACTCTGTTAGTTGAGGACACACATCACAAATAAGTTTCTGAGGATGCTTCTGTCTAGTTTTAATTTGAAGATATTTCCTTTCTCCCCATAGGCCTGAAAGCACTTGAAATGTCCACTTCCAGATACTACAGAATGAGTGTTTCAAACCTGCTCTATCAAAGTGAATGTTCAATTCTGTGACTTCAATGCAAACATCACAAAGTAGTTCCTGAGAATGCTTCTCTCTACATTTTATATGTAATCCCGCTTCCAACGAAATCCTCAAAGCCATCCGAATATCCACTTTCTGATTCCACAAAAAGATTGTTTTAAAACTGCTCTGTAAAAACAAAAGTTCAAGTCTGTTAGTTGAATACACACATCACAAACAAGTGTCTGAGAATGCTTCTGTCTAGTTTTTATGGGAAGATATTTCCTTTTTCACCATAGGCCTCAAAGCGCTCGAAATGTCCACTTCCAGATAGTGCCGAAAGAGTGTTTCAAACGTGCTCTATAAAAGGGAATATTCAACTCTGTGACTTGAATGGAAACATCACAAAGCAGTTTCTGAGAATGCCTCCGTCTAGATTTTATATGAAGATATTCCCGTTTCCAACGAAATCTTCAAATCTATCTAAATATCAACTTGCAGATTCTACTAAAGGAATGTTTCCAAAATGCTGTATCCAAGCAATGGTTCAACTCTGTTAATTGAGGACATACAGCACAAAGAAGTTTCTGAGAATGCTTCTGTCTAGATTTTATATGAAGATATCCCGTTTCCAACGAAATCCTCAAAGCTATCCAAATATCCACTTGCAGATTCTACAAAAAGATTGTTTCAAAACTGCTGTGTCAAAAGGAAGGTTCAACTCTGTTACTTGAGTACACACATCAAAAAGCAGTTTCTGAGAATGCTTGTTTCTGGTTTTTATGAGAAGATATTTCCTTTTTCACCATAGGCCTCAAAGCGCTGCAAATGTCCACTTCCAAATATTACAAAAAGAGTGTTTCAAACCTGCTCTATGAAAGGAAGTTTTCAACTCTGTGAGTGGAATGCAAACATCACAGAGAAGTTTCTGAGAATGCATCTGTCTTGAGTTTATATGAAGAAATTCCCGTTTCCAACGAAATCTTAAAATCTATCCAAATATCCACCTGCAGATTCTACAAAAGGAGTGTTTCCAAAACGCTGTATCAAAACAAAGGTTCAACTGTGTTCGTTTAGGACACACATCACTAAAAAGTTTCTGAGAATCCTTCTGTCTAGTTTTTATTTGAAGATATTTCCTTTCTCCCCATAGGCCTGAAAGCGCTTGAAATGTCCACTTCCAGATACTACAGAAAGAGTGTTTCAAACCTACACTATGAAAAGGAATGTTCAATTCTGTGACTTGAATGCAAACATCAGAAAGAAGTTCCTGAGAATGCTTCTCTCTAGATTTTATACGTCATCCCGTTTCCAACGAAATCCACAAAGCTATCCAATTATCCACTTTCAGATTCCACAAAAAGAGTGTTTTAAAACTGCTCTGTAAAAAGAAATGTTCAACGCTCTTAGTTGAATACACACATCTCAAACAAGTTTCTGAGAAGGCTTCCGTCTAGTATTTATGGGAAGATATTTCCTTTTTCACCATAGGCCTCAAAGCGCTCGAAATCTCCACTTCCAGGGAGTGCAGAAAGAGTGTTTCAAACCTGCTCTGTAAAAGAATATTTAACTCTGTGACTTGAATGCAAACATCACAAAGCAGTTTCTGACAATGCTTCCGTCTAGATTTTTTATGAAGATATTCCCGTTTCCAACGAAATCTTCAAAGCTATCTAAATATCAACTTGCAGATTCTACTAAAGGAATGTTTCCAAAATGCTGTATCCAAACAAAGGTTCAACTCTGTGAATTGAGGACATACAGCACAAAGAAGTTTCTGAGAATGCTTCTGTCTAGATTTAATATGAAGATAACCCGTTTCCAACGAAATCCTCAAAGCTATCCAAATATCCACTTGCAGATTCTACAAAAAGAGTGTTTCAAAACTGCTCTGTCAAAAGGATGGTTCAACACTGTTACATGAGTACACACAACACAAAGAAGTTTCTGAGAACGCTTCTTTCTGGTTTTTATGAGAAGATATTTCCTTTTTCACCATAGGCCTCAAAGCGCTGGAAATGTCCACTTCCTGGTAGTGCAGAAAGAGTGTTTCAAACCTGCTCTATGAAAGGAAGTGTTCAACTCCATGAGCTGAATGCAAACATCACAGAGAAGTTTCTGAGAATGCTTCTGTTTGATTTTATATGAAGAAATTCCCGTTTCCAACGAAATCTTCAAAGCTATCCACATATCCACCTGCAGATTCTACAAAAGGAGTGTTTCCAAAATGCTGTATCAAAACCAAGGTTCAACTCTGTTAGTTGAGGACACACATCACAAATAAGTTTCTGAGAATGCTTCTGTCTAGATTTTATATGAAGATATCCCCTTTCCAACGAATCCCTCTAAGCTATCCCAATATCCACCTGCAGATTCTACAAAAGGAGTGTTTCCAAAATGCTGTATCAAAACAAAGGTTCAACTGTGTTCGTTTAGGACACACATCACCAATAAGTTTCTGAGAATCCTTCTGTCTAGTTTTTATTTGAAGATATTTCCTTTCTCCCCATAGGCCTGAAAGCGCTTGAATTGTCGGCTTCCAGATACTACAGAATGAGTGTTTCAAACCTGCTCTATCAAAGTGAATGTTCAATTCTGTGACTTCAATGCAAACATCACAAAGTAGTTCCTGAGAATGCTTCTCTCTAGATTTTATATGTAATCCCGCTTCCAACGAAATCCTCAAAGCCATCCGAATATCCACTTTCTGATTCCACAAATGGATTGTCTTAAAACTGCTCTGTAAAAACAAAAGTTCAAGTCTGTTACTTGAATACACACATCACAAACAAGTTTCTGAGAATGCTTCTGTCTAGTTTTTATGGGAAGATATTTCCTTTTTCACCATAGGCCTCACAGCGCTCGAAATGTCCACTTCCAGATAGTGCAGAAAGAGTGTTTCAAACGTGCTCTATAAAAGAGAATATTCAACTCTGTGACTTGAATGGAAACATCACAAAGCAGTTTCAGAGAATGCCTCCGTCTAGATTTTATATGAAGATATTCCCGTTTCCAACGAAATCTTCAAATCTATCTAAATATCAACTTGCAGATTCTACTAAAGGAATGTTTCCAAAATGCTGTATCCAAGCAATGGTTCAACTCTGTTAATTGAGGACATACAGCACAAAGAAGTTTCTGAGAATGCTTCTGTCTAGATTTTATATGAAGATATCCCGTTTCCAACGAAATCCTCAAATCTATCCAAATATCCACTTGCAGATTCTACAAAAAGATTGTTTCAAAACTGCTGTGTCAAAAGGAAGGTTCAACTCTGTTACTTGAGTACACACATCAAAAAGAAGTTTCTGAGAATGCTTGTTTCTGGTTTTTATGAGAAGATATTTCCTTTTTCACCATAGGCCTCAAAGCGCTGCAAATGTCCACTTCCAAATATTACAAAAAGAGTGTTTCAAACCTGCTCTATGAAAGGAAGTTTTCAACTCTATGAGTGGAATGCAAACATCACAGAGAAGTTTCGGAGAATGCATCTGTCTTGAGTTTATATGAAGAAATTCCCGTTTCCAAAGAAATCTTAAAATCTATCCAAATATCCACCTGCAGATTCTACAAAGGGAGTGTTTCCAAAATGCTGTATCAAAACAAAGGTTCAACTGTGTTCGTTTAGGACACACATCACCAATAAGTTTCTGAGAATCCTTCTGTCTAGTTTTTATTTGAAGATATTTCCTTTCTCCCCATAGGCCTGAAAGCGCTTGAAATGTCCACTTCCAGATACTACAGAAAGAGTGTTTCAAACCTGCACTATGAAAAGGAATGTTCAATTCTGTGACTTGAATGCAAACATCAGAAAGAAGTTCCTGAGAATGCTTCTCTCTAGATTTTATACGTCATCCCGTTTCCAACGAAATCCACAAAGCTATCCAATTATCCACTTTCAGATTCCACAAAAAGAGTGTTTTAAAACTGCTCTGTAAAAAGAAATGTTCAACGCTCTTAGTTGAATACACACATCTCAAACAAGTTTCTGAGAAGGCTTCCGTCTAGTTTTTATGGGAAGATATTTGTTTTTCACCATTGGCCTCAAAGCGCTCGAAATCTCCACTTCCAGGGAGTGCAGAAAGAGTGTTTCAAACGTGCTCTATAAAAGAATATTTAACTCTGTGACTTGAATGCAAACATCACAAAGCAGTTTCTGACAATGCTTCCGTCTAGATTTTTTATGAAGATATTCCCGTTTCCAACGAAATCTTGAAAGCTATCTAAATATCAACTTGCAGATTCTACTAAAGGAATGTTTCCAAAATGCTGTATCCAAACAAAGGTTCAACACTGTGAATTGAGGACATACAGCACAAAGAAGTTTCTGAGAATGCTTCTGTCTAGATTTAATATGAAGATAACCCGTTTCCAACGAAATCCTCAAAGCTATCCAAATATCCACTTGCAGATTCTACAAAAAGAGTGTTTCAAAACTGCTCTGTCAAAAGGATGGTTCAACACTGTTACATGAGTACACACAACACAAAGAAGTTTCTGAGAACGCTTCTTTCTGGTTTTTATGAGAAGATATTTCCTTTTTCACCATAGGCCTCAAAGCGCTCGAAATGTCCACTTCCTGGTAGTGCAGAAAGAGTGTTTCAAAGCTGCTCTCTGAAAGGAAGTGTTCAACTCCATGAGCTGAATGCAAACATCACAGAGAAGTTTCTGAGAATGCTTCTGTTTGATTTTATATGAAGAAATTCCCGTTTCCAACGAAATCTTCAAAGCTATCCACATATCCACCTGCAGATTCTACAAAAGGAGTGTTTCCAAAATGCTGTATCAAAACCAAGGTTCAACTCTGTTAGTTGAGGACACACATCACAAATAAGTTTCTGAGAATGCTTCTGTCTAGATTCTATATGAAGATATCCCCTTTCCAACGAATCCCTCTAAGCTATCCAAATATCCACCTGCAGATTCTACAAAAAGAGTGTTTCCAAAATGCTGTATCAAAACAAAGTTTCAACTCTGTTAGTTGAGGACACACATCACAAATAAGTTTCTGAGGATGCTTCTGTCTAGTTTTTATTCGAAGATATTTCCTTTCTCACCATAGGCCTGAAAGCTCTTGAAATGTCCACTTCCAGATACTACAGAATGAGTGTTTCAAACCTGCTCTATCAAAGTGAATGTTCAATTCCGTGACTTCAATGCAAACATCAGAAAGAAGTTCCTGAGAATGCTTCTCTCTAGATTTTATACGTAATCCCGCTTCCAACGAAATCCTCAGAGCCATCCGAATATCCACTTTCTGATTCCACAAAAAGAGTGTTTTAAAACGGCTCTGTAAAAACAAAAGTTCAACTCTGTTAGTTGAATACACACATCACAAACAAGTTTCTGAGAATGCTTCCGTCTGGTTTTTATGGGAAGATATTTCCTTTTTCACCATAGGCCTCAAAGCGCTCGAAATCTCCACTTCCAGGGAGTGCAGAAAGAGTGTTTCAAACCTGCTCTGTAAAAGAATATTTAACTCTGTGACTTGAATGCAAACATCACAAAGCAGTTTCTGACAATGCTTCCGTCTAGATTTTTTATGAAGATATTCCCGTTTCCAACGAAATCTTCAAAGCTATCTAAATATCAACTTGCAGATTCTACTAAAGGAATGTTTCCATAATGCTGTATCCAAACAAAGGTTCAACTCTGTGAATTGAGGACATACAGCACAAAGAAGTTTCTGAAAATGCTTCTGTCTAGATTTAATATGAAGATAACCCGTTTCCAACGAAATCCTCAAAGCTATCCAAATATCCACTTGCAGATTCTACAAAAAGAGTGTTTCAAAACTGCTCTGTCAAAAGGATGCTTCAACACTGTTACATGAGTACACACAACACAAAGAAGTTTCTGAGAACGCTTCTTTCTGGTTTTTATGAGAGGATATTTCCTTTTTCACCATAGGCCTCAAAGCGCTCGAAATGTCCACTTCCAGGTAGTGCAGAAAGAGTGTTTCAAACCTGCTCTATGAAAGGAAGTGTTCAACTCCATGAGCTGAATGCAAACATCACAGAGAAGTTCCTGAGAATGCTTCTGTTTGATTTTATATGAAGAAATTCCCGTTTCCAACGAAATCTTCAAAGCTATCCACATATCCACCTGCAGATTCTTCAAAAGGAGTGTTTCCAAAATGCTGTATCAAAACCAAGGTTCAACTCTGTTAGTTGAGGACACACATCACAAATAAGTTTCTGAGAATGCTTCTGTCTAGATTTTATATGAATTTATCCCCTTTCCAACGAATCCCTCTAAGCTATCCAAGTATCCACCTGCAGATTCTACAAAAAGAGTGTTTCCAAAATGCTGTATCAAAACAAAGTTTCAACTCTGTTAGTTGAGGACACACATCACAAATAAGTTTCTGAGGATGCTTCTGTCTAGTTTTAATTTGAAGATATTTCCTTTCTCCCCATAGGCCTGAAAACACTTGAAATGTCCACTTCCAGATACTACAGAATGAGTGTTTCAAACCTGCTCTATCAAAGTGAATGTTCAATTCTGTGACTTCAATGCAAACATCACAAAGTAGTTCCTGAGAATGCTTCTCTCTAGATTTTATATGTAATCCCGCTTCCAACGAAATCCTCAAAGCCATCCGAATATCCACTTTCTGATTCCACAAAAAGATTGTTTTAAAACTGCTCTGTAAAAACAAAAGTTCAAGTCTGTTAGTTGAATACACACATCACAAACAAGTTTCTGAGAATGCTTCTGTCTAGTTTTTATGGGAAGATATTTCCTTTTTCACCATAGGCCTCAAAGCGCTCGAAATGTCCACTTCCAGATAGTGCCGAAAGAGTGTTTCAAACGTGCTCTATAAAAGGGAATATTCAACTCTGTGACTTGAATGGAAACATCACAAAGCAGTTTCTGAGAATGCCTCCGTCTAGATTTTATATGAAGATATTCCCGTTTCCAACGAAATCTTCAAAGCTATCTAAATATCAACTTGCAGATTCTACTAAAGGAATGTTTCCAAAATGCTGTATCCAAGCAATGGTTCAACTCTGTTAATTGAGGACATACAGCACAAAGAAGTTTCTGAGAATGCTTCTGTCTAGATTTTATATGAAGATATCCCGTTTCCAACGAAATCCTCAAAGCTATCCAAATATCCACTTGCAGATTCTACAAAAAGATTGTTTCAAAACTGCTGTGTCAAAAGGAAGGTTCAACTCTGTTACTTGAGTACACACATCAAAAAGCAGTTTCTGAGAATGCTTGTTTCTGGTTTTTATGAGAAGATATTTCCTTTTTCACCATAGGCCTCAAAGCGCTGCAAATGTCCACTTCCAAATATTACAAAAAGAGTGTTTCAAACCTGCTCTATGAAAGGAAGTTTTCAACTCTGTGAGTGGAATGCAAACATCACAGAGAAGTTTCTGAGAATGCATCTGTCTTGAGTTTATATGAAGAAATTCCCGTTTCCAATGAAATCTTAAAATCTATCCAAATATCCACCTGCAGATTCTACAAAAGGAGTGTTTCCAAAATGCTGTATCAAAACAAAGGTTCAACTGTGTTCGTTTAGGACACACATCACAAGTAAGTTTGTGAGAATCCTTCTGTCTAGTTTTTATTTCAAGATATTTCCTTTCTCCCCATAGGCCTGAAAGCGCTTGAAATGTCCACTTCCAGATACTACAGAGTGTTTCAAACCTGCACTATGAAAAGGAATGTTCAATTCTGTGACTTGAATGCAAACATCAGAAAGAAGTTCCTGAGAATGCTTCTCTCTAGATTTTAAACCGTCATCCCGTTTCCAACGAAATCCACAAAGCTATCCAATTATCCACTTTCAGATTCCACAAAAAGAGTGTTTTAAAACTGCTGTGTAGAAAGAAATGTTCAACGCTCTTAGTTGAATACACACATCTCAAACAAGTTTCTGAGAAGGCTTCCGTCTAGTTTTTACGGGAAGATATTTCCTTTTTCACCATAGGCCTCAAAGCGCTCGAAATCTCCACTTCCAGGGAGTGCAGAAAGAGTGTTTCAAACCTGCTCTATAAAAGAATATTTAACTCTGTGACTTGAATGCAAACATCACAGAGCAGTTTCTGACAATGCTTCCGTCTAGATTTTTTATGAAGATATTCTCGTTTCCAACGAAATCTTCAAAGCTATCTAAATATCAACTTGCAGATTCTACTAAAGGAATGTTTCCAAAATGCTGTATCCAAACAAAGGTTCAACTCTGTGAATTGAGGACATACAGCACAAAGAAGTTTCTGAGAATGCTTCTGTCTAGATTTAATATGAAGATAACCCGTTTCCAACGAAATCCTCAAAGCTATCCAAATATCCACTGGCAGATTCTACAAAAAGAGTGTTTCAAAACTGCTCTGTCAAAAGGATGGTTCAACACTGTTACATGAGTACACACAACACAAAGAAGTTTCTGAGAACGCTTCTTTCTGGTTTTTATGAGAGGATATTTCCTTTTTCACCATAGGCCTCAAAGCGCTCGAAATGTCCACTTCCAGGTAGTGCAGAAAGAGTGTTTCAAACCTGCTCTATGAAAGGAAGTGTTCAACTCCATGAGCTGAATGCAAACATCACAGAGAAGTTCCTGAGAATGCTTCTGTTTGATTTTATATGAAGAAATTCCCGTTTCCAACGAAATCTTCAAAGCTATCCACATATCCACCTGCAGATTCTTCAAAAGGAGTGTTTCCAAAATGCTGTATCAAAACCAAGGTTCAACTCTGTTAGTTGAGGACACACATCACAAATAAGTTTCTGAGAATGCTTCTGTCTAGATTTTATATGAATTTATCCCCTTTCCAACGAATCCCTCTAAGCTATCCAAGTATCCACCTGCAGATTCTACAAAAAGAGTGTTTCCAAAATGCTGTATCAAAACAAAGTTTCAACTCTGTTAGTTGAGGACACACATCACAAATAAGTTTCTGAGGATGCTGAAGCATTCTCAGGAACTACTTTGTGATGTTTGCATTGAAGTCCCAGAATTGAACATTCACTTTGATAGAGCAGGTTTTCACCATCATTCTGTAGTATGTCTCACACTCCTGACCTCAAGTGATCCGCCCACCTCGGCCTCCCAAAGTGCTGGGCGGCAGATCGAGATCCTGTTTCTAAGAAAACTAAAACAGTACAACACAAAAAAACTAAGTGTCTCAGCTGGGTGCGGTGGCTCACGCCTGTAATCCCAGCACTCTGGGAGGCCAAGGCCTGCAGACCATGTGAGGTCGGGAGTTCGAGACCAGCCTGACCAACATGGAGAAACCCCATTTCTACTAAAAGTACAAAATTAGCCAGGTGTGGTGGCACATGCCTTTAATACCAGCTACTCGA